>NC_000018.10:47320578-47621244 GCF_000001405.40 Homo sapiens | reverse complement strand
ATAAGACAGGGGAATAAATGGTATTCACCCCTGTTACAAGTCATTTATCAAGATTTGGTTCCTCCTTTTCCCAAGCCTCCTGATGTTGTGTTTCCAGAATTATCAGGTAGTAGTTGCTTTTTGTATTTTGTCCAGTGTTCTTGCTGCATTTAGTGGGAGAGATTGGCTGTAGTGGACTTCTTCCATCTTGGCTAGTGACAGAAGTGTTCCTATAATGTTTTAATTCAAACGGTTGCTTTTAGTGTTGGAAGCACCAGTGTAGTAATAGTTTGCAGATACTTTTTACCTTATCATGTTATACTAAGTCTACTCTACCTGTATCCTGAGCAGGCTGTGGAAATAGCCAGAAAGTCAGGCCAGGGCATATTAACCTGCTGTTCATGTAGTGTAAACACTTTGGGCTCTTCATCTCTCCCAGAATGGAAGTCTCATCAGTAAAGACAGAAATTAAATGTATGTTAAACCATGAAACATCTATTATGGGTTTAATTTTGTCCCCCACCAAGGATATGTTGAAGTCTTAGCCCCTAATACCTGTGAATGTCACTTTATTTGGAAATAGGATCATTGCAGTTGTCATTAAAGTTGCAATCTGGTTATACTGGAGTAGGGTGGGTCCTTAATCCTATATGACTGGTGTCCTGATAAGAAGAGGAGATTCAGACACAGAGAAACAGATGGAAGATGACCATGTGATAATGGAGGCAGAGGCTGGAGTTTTACTGCCACAGCTGAGGAATACCTGGGGCTACCAGAAGTGGAAGAGGTAAGGAAAGGTCCATCTCTAGAGCCTTTGGAGGGAGCATGGCCCTGCCAACACTTTGATTTCAGGCTGCTGGCCTCTAGACTGTGAGAGAGTAAATTTCTGTAGTTTTAAGCCACTCAGTTTTTGCTACTTATTATGGCAGCCCTTGGAAACTAGCACATCCCATCTGGGGAAAGTGTATTGTGCAAATGAATAACTGAGTAGAGTAAGCAGCCCCTGGGAGTTTCTAAGTGATTTGGGGCAGCCCTGGAGACTGGCAGAACCGGCGACATTCTCCAGAGAGTAGAGGACAGTGATTGGCGATTGCTCCAAAACAGGGCCTGTGCCTTTGGCTGGTTCCCTACTATGGCCAAGCATTTCTCACTGGAAAGGGCTGCCCAGCTGGCCTCTTGCACACTAGCACTACCCACCCCACTCTACTCACATAGGCACTCTGACTGCTGCCCTGGAGTTGGCTAAGGGACCACAGGGAAGCCACATCAGCTGTTTATGGCTAGACCACAGAATCTAAGGTCTCCCCTGCTCAAAAGCCTGCATGGGCTCCCTCTTGCCATCCTCATTCCCCTGCTGAATCCTGACTCTTCACTCAGCACTCAGGGCCTCCAAGACCTGGTACCACACTCCTGTCCCATCTACCATAGCTCCCCATAGCATCACCCTCCTCTCTAACAAGGGGTCTTGTGGAAGTCCTGAGGGCTGAAGCTCCCCAAACCTACTCTCATCTGAGACCCTTGGGAACAGATTACAAAAACAGATCTCCATAGCCACCACAAGACATTCTAATTCTTAAATGACAGCAAGGAACCTGTATTCTTAACAAGTTCCCGGAATGATTCAGATGGGACCTCCAGCATTGCCCCTCTTTATAGTAGTTTTCCCATAAACTTGTGGGAGGAGGGGTAGGGCAGCACCCCAAGGAAGGGTGCAACCAGGGCAGAAAGAAACAGTTTTGCAGGGGAAGGAAGACTTATGGGATTGGGATCTGAGGAAGAAGCTGCCCAGGGGGAGGGAGAAATGCAGGTGAAAGGAAGAAGATGGAAGTCATAGTTCTGCAGAAACAACAAGGGCACGGGAGGATGGCCTGCAAGGAGAGGAGGTGGGGCTCATCTGGGACTTGAGGGGAGGCAGGGAGGGTGGGAGAACTGGAGGCAAAGGTGTAGAACACCTCCTTTCTCTTGGCTATGGCTTGCATTAGAGTTAGTGGAGGAAAATTTCAACACATAGGTAACACGGAGCTGAATTGGTGGCCAGAGGAACACAAAATGGCCCTGGGGTGGGCATCTTATGGGACCAAATAAAAGGAAAATGCAAACTTGCCTGAGGGAGAAGCTGAGGGCTGCAGGAGGATCTGTGAGAAGATGAGGGTGATGGCCTTGGGCCTGGACTGACAAGGGGAACAAATGAGGCAGGGGAGAGATGGGCTGGGAAGGCCCGGGAAGGCCAAAGAGACAGAAAGTGCCGAAGGTGAGGGTCTGGCTGGGGGAGACCTGGGTTCCCTTGCAGAACCTATCACCCTCTTGTGGTGTGATTTTGGAAAAGCCACATAACGCTCTGGCCTAAGTCTTCTCATACTCTAAATGATAACTCAGCTGTATAGGTATCCCAAGAGGATCAGATAGGAAAATAGGTTAAAAAATGTTTTTTATTTTATTTTATTTATTTTTATTTTTAAAAAAGTCTACAGATAAAAAGGTTAATGACTGCTATCTTTATGATTAGTATTCCAAGAAATCAGATATTGTCTTCTAATGAACATGGCTATTCAACCACTCTAGGACAGTGAGAAATCATTGAGCCATCATGTCATAAGAATCAATTCAACATGTAGTCTTCCTAAGGCAGATTATATTGTGATAGAATTTAAGGGTATTTATCAGCGTTGAATAGACACTTCTTATAAACCCAGTTGGGAAAAACGTGCTGCAGAAACATCAGAGACTGAGTAATACCTCTCAATCAATGTCATGGTTTTCAATAATTGACATAAAGTTTCTGATTATTGTTTCATAGTACTTTGCATGCTACCCCCCATTACCAACTTGTTTTATGATGATGTTAATATACAGATGTTACTTTAACCTGTTTTTTAATTTATCTCCGCTATCCCACAAGTACATTTTCAAGTGATTTGTTTATTTAGTAGCACCTCATTTATTGTGAAAGTATTTTCATTTATCACTGTGAAAGTGCTAGTGAAATTTACATGTGGCTTCTCTTTCATTTCTAAATTCACCCAGAGCCAAAGAGTATTTGCTGTTCTTCTCCTCAGGGCCAAGATCACATTCCTATCTTTTGTGGTTGGATTGCCTGTTGTCATTCTGCACCAACCACATGCTGGAATGTGTCTCTCCTTTGTCTCTTCCTTTTTGTCAAAAGTATGAATACCGAGACCAGACTGGGTTCACTATCGGATGAGGGTCACCTCCTCATCACCCATCAAGCATTTTTCCAGTAAAACTTGACTCTACCTTTTAGTCCATCTCTACCTCTGAGAATGTTTGTTGAAAAATTGTGAAGTTGACTTTACACTGGAGTGCAGGTCTACATCTGGGATCAGAGTATTTTTGGTGTATCTATTCCTAAGGGGTCTTAGAGATTGGCTCAGGGAAGGCAGGGTGGGCTTCGTTCTAGACAGTCACTTCTGGCTCTGGTCCACTCCTCAGCTCCACGGTGAAATTTCCAGTTGTACCTGGGCATCTTCCCATAGTTCTCAGCCAGCTCAAGCTCATATATTCCAACAAGAAGGCATAATCTTTCTCCCAAACTGGCTTTTCCTCCAAGACTCCCAATAATCTTGATGACTGTCTTGGTCTGTTTTGTGCTGTTATAACTGAATACCATAGACTGGGTAATTTATAATGAACAAAAGTTTATTGTCTCACAATTATAGAGGCTGGAAAGTCCAAGATTGAGGGGTCAGCATCTGCTGAGGGCCTTCATGCTGTGTCATCTCATGGTGGAAGGCAGAGGAGCAAGGGACAGCAAGAGGGGCCCAAACTCATCCATTTATAAGGAACCTACTCCTGCAATAACAAACCAGCTTCTGTGATAACGGCATTAATCCATTTATGAGGGCAGAGCCATTGTGGCCTAATCACCTATCATTAGGCCCCATGTCCCAGCACTGTTGCACTGGGGATTAATTTTCCAATACATAATGTCTTGAGGAACACATTCAAGCCACAGCAATGGCCCTCCAGGCTTTCCCTCATCCTCCACATCCTGTCAGACACCATGCTCTGCAGACCCTTCCTGCTCAGTCTTGGCTATCTCATCTTTCAAGCCCATTTCTCCCGTCATCTCTGTCCAGGCCTCCTCCTTCCCCCTTGCATGACAGTGATAGCTTCCTACTACTCTAGCACCTCTAGCCACCAGCCTTGCTCCCTCTAATCCCTTTCACAGGCCAGGGTGCAGCTTTGATGGAACACTAGGTCCCTCTCTTGCTCAACAGACTGCAGCAACCCATTTTTCTTATAAGAAAGTAACAAATTCTTTAATCTTCCATTTCAGGCCCCTAAACAGAGCAGCCTTACCTTCTTTCTCCTCCAGCTTTATACTTTATCAAGATTGGTTCAGTGCTTCCACAAGCATAAAAGTTAGTAGCTTAGGCCAGTAAAAGCGTATTTGTTGTTCAGGTCACAGTGAGTCAGTAGGTGATGGTAGTGGGGAGGGAGAGATTTTCTGCTCTGCCCAGTCCTCAGGACTCTAGCTCATTCCACCTGTGGCTTCTTATTCCTCCAGGCTATCAGTCTTCTATTCAGCCTCCTGAAGAGGAAATAGAATGTGAATCACTTGGGAGATCAATGGTCCAGTCCTAGAAGTGGCAACTTATGCCTTCTGCCATATCCCATTGGTCAGGACCAGCCACATGACCACCCTAACACACCGTCCACTAGAAAGTGTAACCTAGGCCCAGGCTGACCAGGAGAATACAGACATGGTGAGCAGCGGTGCCTCAGCACACTTCCCATGCTTCCCTACTTAGGTCGCTCACCTGCTGTCTTCTATCTGGAGATTCTGGAGCTTTTCTGTTGCTAAGAAATGAACGCAGTGGGTTGACAGAGACTGAGAATAGACCCCTGAAGGCAGAAGAGCAAAATGAGACATGGAGAGCTGACCTCAGGCCTCTGGCAAGACCAGACAGGCTGAAGATGCTGGGTGCTCAGGCCTACTTCTATCCTCTCCTCATTTCTAGCTGTCTAACCAGTTCCCTGACACAGAATGAATGTCCCACAGGATGCATGGCCTCCCATATGAACCAAGGCAGAGCTCTTCAGAAAGGCACAGACTCATATCAGAGCAGCAAAGTGCCCAGTGCATCAGGCACAGTGCTTGATAGATGTCAATGGACTGAATGACATCCAGAGTTTAAAATAACAAAATGGCAAAGCCAAGCCAGAAATGGCTTTATAAGCCTGGACCAGGTTGGAAGTATTCAAAGTGAAAAATGCCACATTGGGGTCCCCACCTCACCCCTATTTTGGCTTCAGAAACCTTTAATGACATGCTTTCTCCAATGACCAGAGTGCTGACCTCATCTTTATCATTTCCTATTAATCTGGCTGCTCCAAGACAAACTCATGGTGGTTGCGGGGAGGGGGCATTTCTCTGCTCTGCCCAATCTTCAGAACTCTGGCTCATTCTCATCTGTATGCTACTTTCTTCCATGGTAGTTTGTTTGCTTCAAATTCTTCCGGCCTTCCTTTCCCCCTTGGGAAGGAAGAAAAATCATGAAAGCATGTGTGCAGCAGTGTTTATTTTTGCAAGTGTTATTTTTGCAACTCAGGTTCAAGCCACGCTATCCAACTCCTTTTTCTAACCCTCTTCCTTGTTAAGCAATACCTAAGTCATCAGGAATACCTCATGACTCTTCACATGTGGCCTAAAGATCCCCAGGGTCCTTTCCCTAATGACCACATTGGGGGTACCTTTAACAGGCACAGAGCAGTAGGCCAGAGGGTATGTGCTGTTGCTAACAAACGGTGTGTCTTCTTGGAACTTGTATTAGTATCTTCCTTTTGCAACCTCCCCCATGTCCCTATCCATTTCCTACTCTTCTCTGCCCTGTTCTGTGTTGTCGTGGGCTGTCTCTTACAGAAGGCATTACCCAGTTCACAGGTGGATTTGGACAATGGGGAGCATCTTCAGGAGATCAAGGGTGAGAGGAGAGAGAGGTTGGGGTATTTCCTCCCTTGCTCCCTCTGTGCCTCAGGGTCATATTTCGGCAGTGGGTGTAGCCCTCTACACTGCAGCCCCATAGGAAGTAGCCTCCACACCTCTGTAGGCTCCCATTAAACCATTTCTACCTCTTGTTCTGGCAGACCTAAAAGTGGTGGCAATGATTTCTTGATATTGCAAGTCTTTTGTTAGCCTTGGCATTCTTTGGTGATTGCTTTAACCCTGCTCATATTAATGTAAATAGTCTCTTCATTAAATTCCCCTCAAAATCCCAGCTGAGAGTCCCCTCTGTTTACTGCCAGGAACCTGACTAAGACAGTTTAAGATCTCTGGTGATGGAAGATGTAAAGAAATTGAAGTGTTTCAAATACTGTACTAGATTGGTTCCCTGAGAACAGGCTCTGAGAAAGAGTTTTCCTGGGGAGTGCGCTCAGGAGATACCTCTATAATGAAGTGAAGAAGGCAGGATTGGGGAGGAAAGTGGACCTGCTGTGTAGTTGCAACTGAGACATGGTGGGCTGAGCAATCAACCTCTGAAGTTCTTCTACTCTTAGGATTCATTCTGTGCTTGCTCCTCTGTTCTGTCTATGGGAGCTTTTGGATTCCTTAATGCTGCCCAGAAGGCCCTCTAGTTTTCACATTTTGCTTGAGGTTGGTGATTGATCACCCTGAGCCTGCCATTATCTCTCTTCGATAGGTCAATGGTGCTTAGCAATAGCCACCCAATTCCATAGTCCTTGTAGTTACGTTTATTCTCCCTCTCAAGCATCAGATGTTACTCTTGCCTATGTATCCCCTTCCAAGGGGATCTCATACCAATTCATCACTGCCACATGCTTTAGCAAAAATTGTGCTGTTACCTCTATCCAGACTCTACTGATCAGCAGTCACGGGATCCTTGTTGCCAGCCAGCCAGCCAGCCAATGACACATCCAGCTCCAAAACCCCATTTTAGAGTCTAAATCTGAGGATTATAGCTGCTACCCCATCTTAGAGTGGGGAACTATACTCTGAGACAGAGAGCAATGTGCAGAAGCTGACTGGGGAGTACTCTTGGGAGAAGTGGGAAAGGCAGGATGGGCAGAGGGAGAAGCTGGCCACAATGCAATGTGGTGGCAGTGAAGGAAGGTCTCAGCTTATGCTAGGAGACAGCCCTTTAGAGTTGTCCCAAGTTGGGGTGAGGGGGCTGGACTTCCATATTAGCCAGTCATTAGCCACAGGCCCTCTCCCAGGAGGAGGCTGATCCCTGGGCAGTTAACCTTAGGCATGGCAGTTCCCTGTGGCCTAGGTTGATACACAGTGAGTGCCACAGCTGTGACCATCAGCAGCTGCTATTCCTGACAGCTGGGTAATGGGTATGTTGGGCCTGTAAAGAGGATCCAGGTGAAACACCAAAGGGGACACTACAAACACTTTCATGTTAAAACAAACGTGGGTATATGATGAAATAGAGTCCAATATTTGCAGAAAATTTGAAGATAAAACATGAGACTTCATGGACATTTTCTACCTATTGCAGCCTCTCTGGGGAAGCCTGCAGACCCTGTGGAATGGGCTAATCCTTCCATGCTGCTGACAAAAGGCCACTTTGGTGAAATGTGTGAGGAGCACTACCTGCTCCCAGAAAGGCTCAGAGACACCCACTGAGACATCCAAGCCAATGTGAGACCTTGGGATTCCTCTCCCTAGAGAGTTTGCAACTTAAAGCTCATTTCCCAGTATGGAAAGAAAGACAGTACTACCTGACAAAGGGATTCCAAGCATCATTAAGCAGGTGTGTGAGGGTTGCAGGGGGATATAGGGGGTTGAGTGCCTTCCCAGTGCTTCTGAGATCACTCCGTCTGCACCACCTAAGCAGAAAGCCAGTCTAGCAGACAAGGCTGAAACAGGCCCAGGCTACATTCAGGGTTTGAAGCTCTGGGTATGTTAAAAAATGAAGGCATGCCAAAACATGGTTACAGAAACTCTTTGCATTAAACAAATTAGTCCCTTTCACACACACACACCTACAAACACAAATATGATGACTTTGTATATGATCACATTTGGAAATATTGTGAAAAGCCAAAATTTGAGTTTGTGTGAGAATATAAGTTCTAGGGTCAAACTAAGTCCTGTTCATATTCAAAGAAGTCAAAGATCAAGTCAGTGGCTTCAAGCTCAAATGGGACACAGAGAAGTCCCATTTAAGCACCACCATTTCTAGAATTGTTTTCTTCTTGCTGTACATATGTCCAACTCTTTCTCCTTCCCCTTTCCCACAAATAAACAAAAGCTTAGCCCTGTACATTTTTTATCATGGGAAGGCTGAATACAAGCCCTATTCCCTAATAAAAACAAAAGCCAGAGGGTTATTTGGTATGGCCTTGATCTCACTGTTGCTGATATCTTCCAAATGTATTTGCTATTTGCTCCCGTGTCCCTGAAAACCCCCACTGTTCTCAATTGTCCATTGCCTATTAGAAATGGTTCCAGCCAAGGTATTTTTTCCCTATTTATTTGCTTCTTTTTCCCTGGGAACTTTACTATGCATGAGTAACTGGCCTGTGATGCTGCTTTTGTTTGACATTTTGCATTCGTTAAAAACCAGTCATCTGCATGTTTTATAAACCCGTAGGGGTCTCTCTCCCCTTGATCAATGCTGGAAGTACTCATTAACATCTGGGGAAGTTATGGCCCCAGACAGGGGGGATACGCAACCTACTGAGTATGGTTTTAGGGAATTTGTCTTAAAAAATAAAGAAACACCAAAGCACTTTATATTCATTGCCACGGTTGTTCACTAATAGAAATGAGCCTGCCTGCCTTTAGGACCTCAGTGTATTCCCTTTCCCCAGCCTGGAATGTATTTTCCCCTCCACTCTGCTTGTCTAAGGTGATTTCTCCTCTGGGAAGCCCTTCCTGGTCATCTCAGCCAACTCAGATTCCCTCTTTCTCTGAAAACCACCAGTTAGTCCATTTAACCCACCTTCATTGGGCACCTCCTATGTGAAAAGTACATGCAAGGCATTTCTAGGATTTCATACAAATAAGAAAAGTCCTCCGCTCTCAGGTGCTAATGAGAAAAGCAGATACACAAATAAATGATCAGGACTAAATGCAGTGAGAATTTGGAGGACATTGTGCAGAAAGATTAGAGGCAGGAAGGCGGCAAGGGCCAACCTCTGCCCTCATTGTTAAGGGTTTCGAAGAGGAATCAGTCACATATGTCATGAAAGGACTTGTGGTCATTTAGGTGAAAATTAAATTCTGCCCTAATGGTCACCACGTATTCCACATGGACCAGCCACACCAGAATTGCACAAGCTGGTTATTAAAATGCAGTTTCCTGAGATGCACACCAGACCACTGTTTCATGGGGTATGCATTTTCTCCAGTATAATGGGTAATTTTAATGCACCCTGCAGTTTGAGAAACACTGTGGCAGGTGAAAGCCATTGAAGGGTTTGCTTTGACGTTTCAATGATATATGTTTATTGTTAATCTGTAATGCATGCACGTGATAAGTCTCTTTCAACTCTAGTTTCTCAGCCCATCAATCCTCCACCTCTTCCTATCCCAGAAGCAACCACAATAATGACTAGTTTCTTAGGTGTCTTTCCAAGTAGCCTAGTGTCCTGTCATTTGCTTACTTGGTCTCAGATTCACTCCCTGCCTTCCTCTGCTTTTCCCTGGTTCCCTTGGCCACTGACTCTCTGGTAAGTTTGGTCAATAGGAGGCATTGGAGAGTAGTGGAGGGCAGGAGGAGCAGAGAAGTCAGGCAATAGGGCTACACTCTCCATCCTCCACCTTTGAGCAGCATCCCGGGCACTCTGTGGCTTTGTGGTCCCAGCTTCTGCTGGGCAAGCTCCAGGCAGGTGGCCTTGGCCCCTGAGCCTTGATACTTCCTTTCCTTCCTCTGTTTCTCTAAATCTGAAGCTCTTGATCTCTAAATCTCCTCACTGCCCTCTCTTTGCTCTTTTAGCTCAATCAACACATTCGACGTGAGTTTCCTATAGTACGTTTTCTTTATTAAATTGTCTAGCTTGGGATGTTTTAACTGACTGGATTCTGCCTTTGCTTTTCTTTTTTCCACTTAAAAAATATCTGGAGGATGGGCACTAAGCTATTTTCAACTGACTTTTCCTCTGAGAACTAGAAAAGCCAAACAAAATTTAAAAAACAAAACAAAAACCAAAGCAAAAAAAATATTTTGAAGGTTTTGGAGTGATTTCAAGGTCCTGAGGAATTCCAAAGCCAAGATTTAGGAGATGAGGGAAGACCAGAGAAAGAGACTGAAGTAAGTGAAGCTGGAGGCCAAGAAGCTGACTGGAAAGGCAAGATAAACAACAGACACTAGAAATAGACCCAGGGGGTTCAGTTATCAAACTTGGACTTTAAATCACTATGGATAATATGTTCAAAGAATTAAAATAAAAGATTGATCATTTCAGTAGAGAACTAAAGAATCAAATAAAAATTCTAAAACTGAAAAAATATATATTAACTAAAATTAAGAACTCAGTGAATTATACATACTGAAGAGAACAACTAGTGAACTAGAAAATAGATTACATGTAAATATCCACATTGAAGCAGAGAGAAAAAAATCACAGCTATACATATGTATATATATGTGTATATATACACATATATATTCATAATGGACAAATTACTAAACTCTAATGTGCCTCAGTCTCCTCATCTATAACACGGGAATAATAATAATAATAATTCATATGTTATAAGGTTGTTGTAATCACTAAATGAGTTAAATATATAGAAATATGCTATTAATATAAAACTATACATAAATATATAAAGCTTCTAGAATAATGCCTGACATATAGTAGATGCTATATAATATTTCTTTTATTGCTAGTATTTTATCTTGGAGATTGTTCCATAGTAAGCATGTAGCACTACCTCATTCTTTTTTCCGCTTTATTCTTTTTAATAGTTATAGAGCATTCTATACTACACATAAACTATGATTATTTAATCAGTTCTCTGTTTGACATTTGAGATATTTTTAGTGAATGCTCTTACATGTAATTTTGTGCTCACATATATGTAACTATATCTGGGTTTATGAAATAATTTTATACATACATAATTTCAAACAATATGTTCTTTGAATATATTTGTCAAAGAATATATTTAATACAATATTTTAAAAAGACAGATATTTGCAGTTTCCAAATCCTAGTACATTCCCATCAATAGCATTTGAAAGTGTCTGTCTCTACAAACTTATCAATTAAGTGTATTATCAAATGTTTTGATGTGGTTAATCTGTTAGTTTCTAATTTTAGAAAAATTGGCATTGTTCTTATTGTGAGTTAGACTTTCTTTTTATATGTATAAAAACTATCTATATTTTATTTTCTCTTCATGTTCCCTTGCCAATTTTTGTATTGGATAGTTAAGTTTTTCTCTTATTGATCTGTAGACACCATCTATATATTTAGGTTATTAGCACCATGTCATTTATATTGCAAATATTTTTTTTCTTAGTTTGTTGTCTTTTGACTTTGTTTATGGCATTCTTTTCCGAGTAGAAAATTTTAATTTTAATGTATTCAAATTTATCATTCTTTTCTTTTATGGACTGTTTGTTTTACGTCCTGTTTAGAAAGGGCTTCCCTCCTATATTTAAAATGTTCTCTCTATGCTTTATTGAATTATTTGAAGTTGAGTAGTGTTAAGATGAGATTAAAGTTAGAGAAATGCTGCTCTCTGGCTATCATTTAAAGAACAGATGGAAGGGGAACAAGACCAGAGACAGGGAACTGGCTCGGAGGCTTTCATACTGATTAAAATGAGACTATGAAAGGCCGAGCTTAAGCAGGAGGAAAAGCAGAATCCAGAGTGTTTAGAAGATATCATCAAAAGGACTTAGTGATATGAAGGTAAGAGGCAAGGAGACATCTACACCACACCCAGGCTTCTGGCTTGGGCCAGACTGGCTTCTTCTTTGGCCCTTGTGTTATTGCATTTCTCTTGACTCTTGTGTCCTGGCTTCCCATGATACCTGGCATCTCTCAAGTTTAGGAGCACCTCAGAGATCTCTCTGGTTCTCTGTAGAACCTAGGCTAGTGAACACACCAAAGAGGGCTGTGAAACATTTGTGTCTGAGCCACACTAGAGTGTCTTCAGAGGAGGAGGTCATATTTGCTGTTGCCTGTGATAAACTGGTGAGTAACAATATGTTCTCCTGACTTCTTGAATGGGCAGGAAGGTATTCTTAGTCCAGCTTGCAATGCGCTTGGGAAGGGGGCAGGAGGTTCTAGTGCCCTAAGCTCATGACCTGCCTACAGGACTTCTTCACCCATGTAGCCCACTGGCACATAAAACTCTGTGTTATCACCCCTGCCCTATAAGTCTCCACTGAATTAATGGAACCATCATCCATCCAGGCTCCTAAGCTAGAAATCTCCACCATCCCTAACCTCTCCTTCTTCCTTATACACCTCAGCACAGAAATCTTCAAATCCTGGCAATTATTCCTCCAAAGTAGCTTCAAACCCTCTATTCATCTCCATGGTTGCTGCCTCAGTTCAGACTTTGTCTCCTACTTTGTGGACTCTAGTGGCCTCCTAATCAGTCTCCCTGCCTCACTTCCTTCTATTTCCTCTCTATCTCATTGGCTACAGTGATTGCTCAGAAAATGGAGGTGACAAGGTCACTCATCTACTTAAATGCCATAGTGATTAATGAATAAGTAATGTAGGCCAGGTGCAGTAGGTCACGCCCATAATCCTAGCACGCTGGGAGTCCAAGGTGGGTGGATCCCTTGAGCCCAGGAGTTTGAGACCAGCCTGGGCAACATGGCAAAATCCCATCTCTACAAAAAATACAAAAATTAACCAGGTGTGGTGGTGTGCACCTGTGGCCCCAGCTACTTGGGAGGCTAAGGTGGGAGGATCACCTGAGCCCAGGAGGCAAGGTTTTGGTGAGCCATGATTACACCACTGCACTGCAGCCTGGGTGACAGAGTGAGACCCTGTTTCAAAAAAAAAAAAAAAAAGAAAGAAAAAGAAGAATAAGTAATGTACTTGGTATACAAGAACTTTTATAACCTGGTTCTTCCTCTGTCAACACCCCATGTTGCCCCTGAACCCTTCTCTGTTCCCAGACAGAATAAGTCCTCACACATCTCTGTGCCTTTGACCTTGCTATAGGAGGAAGAATAATGGTTCCTCAAAGATGTTCATGTTTGAATTCCTGGAATCTGTGAATCTGCTACTTTTTATGGTAAAGGTGAATTAAGCTTGTTAATCAGTTGACCAGTTGAACATACAATAGGGAGATTATCCTGGAGTATCAAAGTGGGCCCAATGCCATCACAAGGTGCTTAAAGTTGGAGAAGGGAGACAGACGAGGAGGTCAGAGTGATGCCATGTGTGAAAGACTCAACTTGCTGTTGTTGGCTTTGAAGATGGGAAGAAGGGGCTGTGAACCAAGGAATGTGGGCAATCACTAGAAGCCAGAAAAAGTAGGGGAATGGATCCTCCTCCAGAGCCTCCAGAAAAGAATGCAGTCCTATTGACACCTTGACTTAAACTCAGTAAGACCCATGTGAGACTTCTGACCTACAGAACTGTGAGATAATACATTGCACTGCCTTCAGCCACTAAATTTGTGATAATTTGTTACAGCAGGAATAGAAAACTAACATGTTTGCTATATTCTCTGCCTGGAAGGCTTTTTTTAAATTGCTTTGTCCAATTTAATGTTGCCCCTTTCAGAAATTTTTGTTTCTGCAGCCAGCAGGAGTGGCTATGGTATCCACGGGTTTCCATATCATATATTTTTTGCTCAACTGTTTGCAGCAACAGACTGCCCTGTAATTTCTAGTATTCCACATCTATCTTTCCCACTAACTAGAAACTTGTTTATTAGGATTGGGATGGATTACCTTTGATTTATTTTTCTTTCCCCAGGAATTAAGACAAGACCTGGCACTTCATGTGAAAAGAATGACAGATGATAAGAAAATAGGCCAAGTGAGATTATTACTCACCCAAGGATCCACAGCTGGTGCTAGTACCAGAGCCCTGGCCAGCCTTACCATCATAGGTTGACTCAGGGAAAACAAGGTCCTTCATGGAATAAATAGCTTTGCAGTCAGGTCTTCCCGCATTTCTCTTGTATGCCTTCCTGGTCCCAGAGCCCATTTTTCTTTGGCCAACTGGAGAAATATGTCAGCTGTAAAATATTAGTCCCTGTCTGTTTGTTGCTTAGGTGTTTAGACCAAATTGCAAGCCCTGGGCTTGTCAGTGCATTGGCAAATATATGTTAAGCATCCATCTGTACTCAGCACAATTTTAGTCTGTGAAAGGGAGAGAGATAAAGTCTTGGCCTTTAGTGATAGACTTTGTTCTCCAGCTAGAGAAATGTAGTACAATCAGATGAAAAGCGTGTGGCAAAGCAGGAGGTAAATGACATCATGGGTCTATAAGACGGAGGTAGGAGTCAAACGAATGTTCCAGTCACATGAGATTAGAGTCCAGGGGAGGGGCTTCTGAGGGCTGGGACCCTCTAAGAGCTGGGCCTAGCCAAATTTTCCTGAGGGCTCAGTGGAGAGTGCCTTTGCTAGAGATCTTGAGCACTACGGATTTCATTTAGGCTATGGCTGGGGAGACAAGGTGTCTGATTCTGCAGCCAAGTGCATTCACCCCATCAAAAAAAAATTACAGGAGCCCCTACTGTGTCTAGGAATGGGCAGTGGATATAAAACGGGAGCACAAAGCTGAAAGGTACTGAATAGCCACTCTTGTGGCACTCACATTTGTAATCCAATCTGGTTATCATCGAAATCAAATTCTACCCTAGGTGTTTGATAAGTAAATGTCTATGGCTGGTTGAAGAGTGAGAGATTACTCCCAGCCAGGATGGATCAAGGAAAGGTTTCTTGGAACAAGAGACTTCCTAACTTGGCCTTAAAGGATAGTCAGGCTAGTGAGGACTAAGGTCTAATATTTTTATCTTGCCCAAATTCCTATCTAAGGGGTCTGGGGAGTCATGCCCTACAAACTACAAATTCTCATCAGATGGGTTTTATTTGACCCTGTATGTTGTGACTTACTTTCCAATCTGACTGGCATAACATTATAAGACAAGAAAAACAAATCAAAGTATTTAACCCCCAAATATATTTCCTTGCCACGCCTTGAAGTTGCCCTGCAAAGTCTCTTGTGGGAAAAATCCACATTCTATAGAGAATTCCCTTTCCCCTTTGTTTTCCTTCCTTCCTTTCCAGATTCAGGAGATAATCAACTAAGAGCCAGGCACCCTTTTAGGTCTGATAAGAAACATTTTACAACCTGCTCTCTCTCTGAAGTCTGCTATCTGAGAGCTTCCTCTGCACAATAAAACTTGGTCTCCACAATCTTAACCTGAACATTTCCTGTTCCTGTTATTGATCCCAGGTCTTCAGATAAACTCAACCAATTGTCAACCAGAAAATGTTTAAATTTACCTATAGCCTGGAAGCCCCCCTCCCCCCAGCTTTGAGTTGTCCTACCTTTCTGAACCAAACCAATGAATTTCTTAAATGTATTTGATGTCTCATGCCTCCCTAAAATATATAAAACCACGCTGTACCACGACCACCTTTGGCACATGTTCTCCTTGCTGGAATTTTATACTGTTTATCCTGAGGGCTGTGTCATGGGCCATGGTCACTCATATTTGGCTCAGAATAAATCCCTAAAAATACTTTACAGAGTTTGACTCTTTTAGTCAACACTAGTGACAGGCAGAGAAGGGGAGGAGCAGCTTGCAGTTCTCTGCAGTTTGGTTTGAGAACTCAGCACTTTAAGGTGCATATATTTTAATAGGGATTTATTTTCTGCATTGTTAAAGCTTAATGGTTCCATCAAATCATACTGACACAAAGGCAAGGCAGAGCAGTTCACCAAACAGCAGATTTTGCCCTGAGCAAGGCACTTCTTCATGCATGGAGCAGTCCCCCACTGTTTCCTGTAAGAGCCTGTGCCCGGCTTCAGAAATCAAACAGGAGCCCTTCAACAAAGTACTTCCTTTCCAGCAAAAGAATAGCTAAGAGCTGGGTTACCCCAGGACAACACTTGCAGGAATATTATGCTAATGGAAGCTCTGGGAAGCCAGCTTGGCTCCACTCAAGGTGAGCACTCAAGGCCAAGGTGGGTCTTAATTACATTTGTATTTCTCACCCAATATCCAGTAAGCCAAATATGTGCTTACTTACTTTCTTACTTGTGGGATGGAATAAACAGACTGTTTAAATAAAAAGATGGATTAACACCTTTCTGTGTGTTGCTAGTGAGTGACTGGAGTATCATAGGCTTCCTGAACGCTCAGTTCATCTTCTACTGGGGGAGGCGTGGCTGTGGTCGTCTTCACCACATGATATGTGGATGCTTGTGTAGGTCACTTGTTTGTCAGTCTCATGGGGAATTCTTAGGAGGACATGGAATACTAGAATGCTAGAGTGGTCTGAAGTTCGGGGTTCCTAAGTTCAACTCCCTCAGTTTGTGAATGGGAACGCCAATGTCAAGGAACATGCCCAAGGTGGCATGTGGCTCCTCTCCCGGAGGTTGATTTCTCAAAGGGCTACTGCCTGCCTTCAGGACTGGTGTTTGTTGATGTGCAACCTCTGCATTGTCTGTTTTGGTCAAAGGTCAGGTGGTTTGAGGCTCTTTCCAGTGAGGGCAGTAGACAGGCATCAGTTTAATGATAACTTATAAAACAAAACAATATGAACAGATTAACTTGAGAGCTCAAGTACTGTCACTGTGAAATAACATTGGCAGGAGTGTGAGGACTTAGAAATCCAAGCTCCCCTCACCTATACCAGTGACTCCAGAAGTCCTGCCTTCCCAGCCCTGAGGCTATAGGAAGGGGGAAGCCACCAGGATCTCTCTGCAGGGCTCTCAGTAGGAACAGTCTCATTTCCAAGCCTCCTCTGATCTAACCCTGGAGGGTTAGGGGTGCAGGGAGACAAAAAGGAGGCGGCTTTTCTGTTCTGAAGGATCCTCTAGCACTTCCCCAATGCAGGCGATGAGGTCCTGGCCCAGTTCCAATTTGGGTAATTGTATTTTCCCTATGCAAATTGCTCCCTTGCATTTGCATAGAGGAGCTGGTGGAGGCCCAAAGGCCTTGGCAGCCTCCGCAGGCTCATGCCAAGCCCACGTTCATTCTCCTTCTTGGCTGCTCTGAGGGAGGCCTAGTTCCCAGCTGGCATCACGAGCTACTTGCCCATCATGGCCCTAATGTTTGTGGTCTTTCTGCTCATTTAGGTAGGTTTTTAATCTGTTTAAGATCTTTCGATCAGGGTGAGATGGCATCAAAGAAAGACCAGAGTGTCTGCAAGGAGACCCAGGTCATGGCCACACACTAAGTCTCCCACCTGGAATGGATTCCTTCCTGTCATTCCACCTCTGCTTCTTCCTCTCTAAACTGTAGGATAGACTAAATCAGTGGTTTCCACATCCTTTTTAAGCAACACTTCCATGTTTTTTTCAATAAATGATTTTTGTTTTGTTTTAGAAAGCCACAGCTCTTCTTAGACAGTGATGCCTATGTCCCCTGCAGCCCCCTAGGAACCTCTGCAGGTGTCCCCTGGCTACGTGAGAACTTAGTAGTAGAATTTGAAGGCAGGATTCGTGGGTTCAAATTGTAGTCCCTCCATTTATCATCTGTGTGTTCTTGCAAAGGTTAATTAACCTGTCTGTCCCTCAGTTTCCTCATCTGTGAAATCGGTATATACCTATATCAAAAGGTTACAGTGGGGATTAAATAAATTCATACATCTAAAGTGACTTAGGACAGTAATAATGGCTAGCACTAGCTCTATGCCTGGCACTGTTCTATGTACTTTGTCTATAATCACTCATTTAAGCCTCACCACAACCCGAAGAGATAGGTGTAATTGCTATCCCCATTTAACAGAGGAGGAAACAGAACAGAGAGGTTAAGTAACTTTCTAACAGTCACACAGCTAACAGGGGGCAGAGCCACACTTAATTCCAGGCAATCTGGTGCCAGAGCTCAGGATGTCAATTATAACACTGCCTGCCCTGCCCCATCCTGTAATAATTGCTCAGAATAATTAAAAGTCCTTTTTCAGCATCAGCTTCCTGGAATTTTATACCATTTAAATGAAATTATAAAGGTAAAGTACTCAGTGTGGTGTCTGTCATAGGCAGGTGACTTAAAGAATTTAATCCTGTTCCCCCTTCTCATCTGTGCTCATCTTAGTCTCCATGAGTGTTCACCCCTGTCAAAGACAATCATGGCATACCTTTTCCAAAAAATACACATTGATAACCTAAAAGACATTATCTTAAAGATATATTTGCCTAGGAGCCATTTTTCCCTCCACCTACCTCTCTCAATTCTCCCCAACTCCATCTGGAAAATTTGAAAGATCACATTATGTTGGAATCACCGATTTTCCAGTCTGTGCCCCCCAAAGACTGTGTTTGTCTTGAGCACAGCCCCCGCTGCTGGGCCCTTGAGACCCAACGTGCACAGGATGCACCCTGTGGCCAGGCATAGGCCACCATCTTTCCAAGTCAGGAGCTGCAGGGGATGACCTCTTACTGCACAGGTGCCCGAGGTGGAGTGAACAGGGCACCACACCCATTAGAACGGGGCCCTGCCTACTGCTTCCGTCTCAGCTTCCTTCATTTGCCGTGGTACTGCCCTCCTTCTGTAAGTCCCACTGTGTCCCTGGATTTGGCCCTGCACTTCTTGGGTCTGGGGTGCCCTGGCCTGACTCCAATGACTGTTGGCTCCCTCAGGCCAAGTTCATAGCCCCGACTTCCTGACCCACTGCTCCCTGACTCCACCCTGAACCAGGAAGCTCCCAGGGAGCCAGAAGGCCTTGGCAGGGGATGCGGCAGCACCAGCCCAGGGTCTGGCCCACAGGGGCTGCTCCAAAATCAGACCGAGGCCAGGAATTCCTACCATGTGATGGTGCCCCACTGTCCTGCCCATGCCTGCTCAGCCTCACAAATGGCCCGTTTCCTCCCATTAGTAATGGGAGAAAATAATTGGGGAGATGACTCCTGCTCTCCTTGCAGAGGCTTTTGCATCCTAGCAGCAAGGCTACTCCAATGTCGCCCGTGTGTGGCTCGTGTGTATGTGGTGTGTCATTGTGCACGCGCGTGCCTATGCTTTCTGCATGAGCCAACCACTCAGAATCTGTTTATTTCCCTTTTATGATCACTTTCTCTCTCTCTGTAAAGCACCAGGACGGGCCTGGCATTCCAGGAATGGCTTGCAAGTGGTCCTCCAAGCCTCAAAGCCGGCCTCTGCTGTCCCCATGCAGTGTGCATAATGGGTCCTCCCAGGGACAATTTGCATAAAGGATAAATAAGAGAAACACAATGTGAAGTTTATTCATTTTTAAATCCTGCAGCGTTTGTGATTGAAGGCCCAAGCTCAGATGTTTGCAGGATGCGTCCCATTAAGACTTGGGGCTTTGTCTAATGTCTGCTCTGTTCCTGCAGGGGGGTGTAATGTGCACTCCTTCTCCACACTGGAGTGCTGTTTCCAGAGCCTCCTGCTCGACAAGGGACGGGGAACTGCGGGCTGTGTTCCCTTCCACCAGGCCCCCTTGCTTTAATTTGCTGTAACAGAGCCAGCACATTAAATACAAAACATATTGATGTTCTTGAGAACCCTGGAGGGTCTTTACCCTTCCTTGTCAGAGGAGCCTGGCATGCTGGGAGGGAGAGGAGATGGTATTTGGCACACACGTGGAGTGGTGCCTCTGGCAGGTCACAACCAATTGTCTGCCAAGAGCTGTGCCCTCCCAAAGGACAGAGCATAGGCAAAGGGGCAGAGGTGCCATTGTGCATGCCTCAGAGCGTGTAGACAGGGAGGGTACCCTCGAGTCCTAGGCCCTTGTGGACACAGCAGTGGTTTAGGGACTAATGACAAGGGATGGGAAGAGAAAGGGAAGGGAGGAGGGAGGAATAGAGGGAGGGAGGCAGAATGTCTCCCAACAATAGTGCTTGACTGGGCCTGGCCACTCCTAGGTCAATGTCAGTCAGCAAGTTCCCAAGATGGTACAAGAGTTAGAGGAAGCTAGATGGGATTCTAACTTTTGGCATCTCTTTATTCTAAATGACCTGGGATCCAGGAATTTGGCAGGGTAGATCTGGCTGTCATTTTATGCACATTTGCTACAACAAGTGATGCAAGAAGAATAGAGGCATCTCCTCTAGCAGATTCACCACTTTCTTAACAGTGTGTCTCCCAGGGTTGGAGAAAACAGAACCAGAGAGTAAACAAAGCAGTTGGCACACTCTAGGACAGGGTGCGGCTGAAGCTCCAGACCTCCTGACACACCAACTTCACACTCTTTTCTCAAGGTGGCAGAGAGTCCCCAGGACTCTGGGGTGAGAATTTTCCTCTTTTCCCTGAAATGACTAACTGTTGATCAATTAATTTAACCTTCTCTTGACAAATGTACCCTTTTAATAGTAGCTACCATAGATGTGGGAGCTGCTCTGTGCTTTTGTACATATATTGTTTCTAATCCACACATCTCTAGGAATGTTATTATCATGAATCTAAGATTCAGAGAATTTAAATAAGTTTTAGATAGTCGTAGGGCTAATAACTGACTGGACTCTAATTCAAACCCAGTCCTGGGTTCGGTGGTGGTGATTATGTTGTCATTGGTGGTGGTAGTGAAAGTGGTGCTGGTGATGGTTGTGGTGACAGTGGCAGTGGTGGTGTTGGTGGTCGTGGTGATAAGGGTGGTTGTGGTGATGGTGGTTTTGGTGCTTGTGCCGGTACTGATAGTGGTTGTAGTGATTATCTGAATGCTTCTGGAGAAAACAATAAGAACTTTAAAGTAGTTTGTTGTAAAATTCCCAGACTGTTAGCTTTAGCCCTTGCACCTGGCCTTTAAGGGGAGAGCAGGGAACTCATCATGCACTGGAAGGGAGTCAGGAGACCTGAGCTTGTTTTGGAATCCAGGTGAACTGGGAGTCTGGGCATTTGGGATGTGGTCATCTGCAGTGCCACTCAGGGGTTCTCAGAGCTTTGTGAGCAAGGTCTGGCCAAGCAGATGGCATCTTTCACTGAGGGACTTGAGAAGTGATAGGCGAGACCCTACCTCCTGAGTCTGGCCTTACCCAGGACCCAAGTGTTGTCTATCTGCTAAGGCTTCCTGGAAATCCACTGTTAGCTTCTCATTTTAGGTGCTTAAGCATTTCATTTTCCCTGTTTGAAGTGTGAATTTCCTACTTTTGAAAATTCTTTAGGGGGATTGATGATCCTGGGAGGCTCCTAGCAAATTCTCTGTTCCTGATCAAAGTCTGTGTCAATTCTGATTAGGAAAAGCCCCTAACTGGAGCAATCCTGATCCATATCTCTCAGAGGGGGCAGCGGATTAAGTCCTGCCCTCCTTTACATGGATGGATTCCTCACATCTGGTGAGATTAGGAAGATAGGACACATAGGGGTGCTGGGGACAGGGAGGAGAGATGAGGTGAAGACAGGGCAGGAGAGGAGTAGGTCCTGTAGACACGTCACCTGCCAAGGTGAGCCAACTGGGAGACTGCTGGACTACACACACACAGTGTCCAGGATGAAGCCTCCTGGCCTATTTCGTCTGCTTTGATTTCCTTACCTTGCTGCCTTAATTAGCCAAGGCCTTTGATATCAGAACCTCCTCCAGAAGAGCAGGCAGACCACCCCCCAGAAACCAGCAATACATAATAATAATCACAATCTTGTTACACACTACAAACAGGGGCTTTGTATTGCACTCCACAGTTCATAGGCACTTTCTTACCAATGCTTTGATTCAATTAATTTAATTTTTGCAAGAGTCCCGAAAATAAGGTATTATTATATTTCCCATTTTGCAGACTTGGAAATTGAGACTCTGGGCTTGCCCATGGTGATGCAGATAGTAAGTAGTAAAGCCAGAATTACACACTAAATGGTATATTTATTTATTCACCAGCGAATTAATGCTCACCTGCTCTGTCCCAGGCACCATGGTAGGCACTGAATAATACCAAAAGCAAGAAAAGATGTGACCTGGGTTCATGGTCTTTCTGGTCTGGGGATTCCTAAGGATTCTATTCTTTTTTTTAATGTCACTGTACTTCATAACAGCAAAAAGTAACAAGTGAAAGTGTGGCAGTAGGTAAAGAAATAGGATTATTTAGATCAGACCCAAGAACACTAGAATGTTAGCAGTCTGGGGCTATTCAGTATGTGGATAAATAGCTTCAAATACCTCAATATAATTTTTTTCTGACCCAGCACATTAATGCACAATCAAATTGATGATAATTGTAGTTAAAAAAAAGGTTAAATTATGCTTGGCAAATGTTATTTGTATGACAAAGGAATGCGTAATAAATTTTGAAAAGACTTTTTATCAATGATTATTGGAAAATATATCAGAGTTGAAATATCAGTCCTTGAGAAAACTCATTTGTGCACCTGAGGCATTGCTGTATGACTGGGGCCCAGCCCCACATACAGTCCAGGCACCTTCACTCTGGAAAATGATGCAGTTGGGCTGGCTGGTATATTCAGTTGTCCCCGCATCATCCTTCCGTGAGCCAACCCTTCCCAGACCTCCAGAGCCAGGGGCTGAAGGCACACAGATCATGCAGGAAGAGCTGGCTCTAAAGCTCCCTTCCTCCTGTCTCTGGGCCTCCACACAGTAAGTCAACCTGGGACATGGAAGAAGTGCAAATATGCCTCCTGTTGAAGGGGTCAGAGTGAGACCATTTTTCTTCCCTTGGTAAAAAGGTGTTTTTAACTCCCTATCAAGGGTAACTCATCAATCCTTGTATGAGATGAGAGAGCTTCATTAAAAATACAATTTCAATTAATTTTGTATGTATGCTTTTCTGACTCAGAACTGGGCTGGTTTTGACTTTTCATGGGCAAGGTGATGTGGGAATGGTCACACACATTGCTGGCCCGTCACCCAGGGTGAGCTGTTAAATTGAGTGTGTGTGTGGTTCCATCCCGAGGACTGGCAAGGGGGATTGCAAAGTTGATTGAAATACTAACATGAAAGCACTTAGAAAGATGAGCATCTGTGTCTTCCTAGGCACATTCCAAGTGATTTCTTTGAGCCTCTTCATTGACTCCCTCAGGCTCCTGAAACCATTTTCCTCATTGACAGCTGTAGGGATGGGAAAAGGAGAGTTGTGTATAGACTTGGGATATGCTAGCTGAGAGTCATGGAAGGTTCCATTGACCCTGACCAAGAGTCTTCTTTTCACACAACTTGCTAATTCTAGACATGAAATTCCTGGATTCCCTCATGAAGGGTGGGCAAGAATTTAGCCAATGATGACTCAATTTGACACTTCCCAGGAACTCTGCACCCTCAAATGAGCTTCTGGGAATGGGAAACACATCAAAGCAGAGGCGAGGGATGGGAATGAGTGGCACCAGACCACTACAAAGCCTTTTCTGAGACATATTGATGACTTGGTGTAGCACCTCTCAAATGCCTTGGCCGGGGTGAGATCTCCATCACAGCAGGTATTTAAGAAGAAGTGGAATGACCCACCAGCTATGTACAGTGAGATTTTCTATGCTATATGGACCACTGAATACATGACCTTGAAGACTTCATGACCCTCGTAATACATCACAAAAATACATATCTATAAGTATCTGAGAGATAGAAAATTAGATAGAGATTGAGTCAATACTTAAAGCCCACTGGACACTTAATGTCTGTTATTTAACAACAAACATTTGAAGATATCAGTTTCCACCCTGCTTTCCAAAAGTCTGGGCACCTGACTTCTAATCTCTGTTCTATCTCTAATAATCACATAACCTTAAACAAATTTCTTCACCCCTGGATCCTTGGCTTGCTCATCTTTAAAATGGAGACAATGGTACCTTTAGTGTTGGCTAGATTGCTGGGCTTATGGTCCTCTTGAGGTTAGGGACAAAGGCCGCTTGCTTCCCCACTTCTCCAGATTCTCATAGGGATGAAGGAACAGTGTGGATTCTTGATAGTGAGGACACCAACATAACTACCCATTGGTACCCATGGATTCTTGATAGTGAGCTGAAATATGGTCATGAATGGGAGTGTGCTGAAGAGAGGGGAACAATGAGAAAAGCTTCTACAGAAAGATGCTTCTGTAGGAAGGAAAAGCTTCTATAGGAAGATGGATCAATTATCAGGTCCCTTCTAGATTTAAAGACCTACAATGCTGCGTTGGAAGGGGAGTATGGGGGCAGGTATTGCAGTAAGACTGAGTTCATTTGCCTCATCATTGCCACCCTCAACTGTTACTGAGTAACCTTTGTTGAATCCTTGTGCTTGTTGGGACAAGATTTTGTGCTTTATCTACCTTCCAGAATGAATTAAAGAATCAAATGAAACTGTGTGCACAACACTTTTCAAATGCAGACATCAACAGTTGATTAATACTCTGAATTTAATCTCTGGGGTAGTTTTTTGGTTGACTGCAAAAGATTTACCAGTCTCCAAAATGATTTTCTTCAGCTGCTTTTTCTACACCCAGCAAGTCACACAGTCTGTATTAGCTATATCAGTGGTTCTCAAACTCGAACGTGCATCAGATTCTGGAGAGCTTGTTGAGAACAGATTGCTGGTTCCCATCCTCAGAGTTTCTGATTCAGTAGGTTGGGTGTGGGTCCCAGGAATTTGCATTTCTAAGTTCCCAGGTGATGCTGCTGTTCATGATGGCTCTAGGGCTATACTCTGAGAACTAATGGTCGAATTCTTTGATGCATTTAATATTTATATTGACTTTTCATGTCTTGATTACTTCCAAGATATCTCATAGTATGTCTGTGAAATGAGCAGAAGTCAGGCAGTCTTAGGGATATTCTATAACTATACAGACTAAGGCCCAAAGACTGGAAGTGATGAGGACTGGAGGACCTCACAGTGAATCAATAGTCAAGTGGTAATAAAACCAGGATTTTTCTGGACATCCATTTCAGCCTCCTTTCCCATTGGGCTGGACTGCCCCCTACTGGCCGGTCAATCGTGGTCACTAACTACCCCTCTAATCCCCCCCAAACTTAGGCTGGTGACAGGCTGCAAGGCTGCCCTTGCAGTTCAGTGTCATGAGTGTCTTCTGGTGCCTGGTGCTTGTGAGGCATCTGTTTCTTTTGGTGGAAGGTGTGAATTGAAGAATGAATTCTCACTTTCTCAGATTCTTCAGTTGGAAACTATCCCATCTGTCCCTCTGCAATCAGTAAGCACTGTGCTGGCAGCACTCTGCAGGGAAGACAGTGCCACCACCCACATGGCTTTTCCAGACCAAACTGGAGTCAGGCTCCTTTGAGTCCTTTTCTCCACTAAGCTTTATTCTTGGCCTGCAGAGCCAGCTTTAGCAAAGAATCCTGCTAAGCCAGTTTATCAAGAATTCCCCTACCCTTGATATCCAATCAAACTCTTCTTCCTCCATCCTTGTTCTCTAATCAGGTTCCTCTTCCCCCTCACCCTTGACACTCAACCAAGTCCCTCTTAGTAATTTTTCATCCTCTCTCACCCTGCCCGCTGGCTGTAAATCTCCACTGGTCCCTGTGTATGGGGAGTTGAGTTCAATCTCTCTCCTATTGCAATAGTCCTGAATAAAATGTTTTGCCGCTTTTAACACATGTCCAGTGAATTATTATTATTATTTCTAACACTAAGAATATACTTGAGGTTCCTCTTTCTGTGCCAAGGTATTCCTTTTTCTGGGTACCAATGGGTAGTTATATTGGTGTCCTCAAAATTGCCCTGAAAACGGAATGATTTGTCACTCCAGCTATGAAGCCTCAGCCCTTGAGTTGATAGGGAATTTATTCACATCCTTCTAAAACTGCTTTTGCCAACACCCACATCTGGAGGCCCTGCTGGCCGTGGGTAAGGGGACAGTAATGTTTCAACCTTCTGCCCATTTACCCCTTCTCACACTCTATGAAGACCCCCATTCTTTTCCACCTGCTGAGGCCAGGGGTCTTGTGGATCCCAGGTGAGGCTAGAGGGGGACTGGCAGTGCCGACAGCCTGGAGGAGGTGAGTTGGGATAGTGCTGAATCCTTCTAAGCTGCCCAGCCAAGAAGGGTAGGAGGTGTCAGGAATGAAAACCAACCAGTGAGCGCTAAAAACCCAACAACAAGCACTTAGTCCTGCGAAGCGGCAGAGAAAGGCTCAGTCTTTTGGCAGTATTTTTTTTCTTCCTCCCTTCTCCCTTTCCGGATTCACAGCAATCTTCTCTGGGCTGAGCAGGTTTGTCTGCTGCTGTTACTATGGCTGCTGCTGCTCTTGGATGCCCGTGTGTGTGTGCATGTGTGTGTGCGCGCACACGCGGGCGAGAGCGTGTGTATGAGAGCATGCGTGCGTGTTTTCTCCAGAGTGACTGGTTTGTGCTGTCATCAGCCGTTGTTTTGGTAAATGGCGAGTTAAACAGATATATCCAAGCGTAAAATCTAAAAAATGTTCCCTCTGGGCGCCTGGGGGGTGTTGTTTGAAATCAACTACATATCAATTGAGCGGCGGCGAGCGGATCCGATGATAAATTCCAGTCCACAGACGCCTTATAAATTACATTTTTTTGTTCGCGATCTTGCCTCATCTCAGCTCCCCAGAGGCCCTTAGACTGAGAACTATGATTGTGTTGGAGAAACGTTTGCTCAGCTTGAGTGAGGCCATTAGCATTGCATGTGCCAGTCCGTCCCTGCGCTCCCCCCACCTCCCCCTGGCCCCCCCACCCGCCCCTTTAACAAAATACAATATGTGCCTGGTAATTTTTCTGTTCATTATCTCATTGTTTTCTGTAAGTACAAGGTTAGATTGAATTACTGCGGGCTCCGCCGTCTATTTGTAATTCTCCTTCCATGCCGAGCTGCTAATGAATGGGCAATTTAGTCAATTCTTTGTAACGGCTTCTTCTGTGCGTCAGCCACTTAATTACTCTGAGCCTTTCTCACTGCTGCTTTATTGCACGGAAAGTCGGGGCTGCTTTGAGGGCTTGGCATAGGGATCTCCAGCTTCCAAAAAGGAAAAAAAAAAAAAAAAAAGAGGAAAAATTGTCAGAGGCAACCAGGATTCGGTATTCTTGCTGCTTCCTGCGGTGGCTGGAGAAACATTCTGTGCCCTCAGCCCACACAGCCCCCGTTCTGTCTGCACACAGGGTTTATCTTCCTCCTTCTTTGCTGACAGTTGGCTTAATCCTGGCTGTGGCAGTCACTGTCGGGTGGCAGAAAGGCTCAGGCTCCTGCACAGAGAACAGTATCCTAGGGGAAGGTCCTGGTGTTTTAAAACATTATTATTAGCCTGATTGGTATGCCACCTATCCCTCTTATCAGTATCTCCAAATCATAGCCAGAGGTCCCATTCTGTGACATCCAATGTTTCCTCTTTGCCTTAATACAGAGCACCTCACCCTTGTGACATCGGGAACTGGGCGGGGTGTTTATTATCCCCATTTAACAAAGGGAAATAGCAAGTCCGGGCAGGTGAAGGGACTTACTCGGGTCAATGAACCAGGAATGTCAGAACCAGGACTTGCATCCAGATAACCCAAGACACCTGTCCTCTTCCCATGCCATCCTGCTGCCCAAGGGAAGACTTAAGAATATTGTCCTGTCACTGAACTCAAGTGTCCCAAGGTGGAAATAGAGTAAGTTGGCTTTAAAGGGACCGGGACAATTCTGGAAAGGGAGGAGACTTTCCGGTAGTG
This sequence comes from Homo sapiens, assembly GCF_000001405.40. Lineage (NCBI taxonomy): Eukaryota > Metazoa > Chordata > Mammalia > Primates > Hominidae > Homo > Homo sapiens. Next base: position 47,593,615 of record NC_000018.10, on the reverse strand, counting down.
GCTGAGGGGCTAAAAACCCCCAAGGAACTGGGAACTCATTAAATAGAACATCCGTTTTCAATGTGGCACGTTTGGATACATCTGTCATGCTACCAGGATATTTCTGTGTGGCCCAGAGTTATTACAGATGCACGTATAATTTATCGTCCAAACTGGGACATGTCTGAAAGTGAAATGAGGCAGGATCATGCTGGAGCCACAGGAGTGAACTGGGACTGTCCGGAGCAAGCTGGGTCGTATGGTCACCCGACCCAGGTAATGAGAATGTGTAAATGCTGTGCAGATAGCGTGTCTTCAGACCGGACTTACTCTGATGATAATACTTAGAGGGAGTCCCACCAGCTGGATCTACCCTGAGTTTACAGACATTCCCTGTGTTGCACATTGCAGTGATGTATATGAGCTACAGGGCATCTTTACCCAAATCCAGAAAGTGATGGATTCCACAAACACTGAGTGAGCACCCAGCTAGGTAATAGAGACATAAGAATGAGAAGACAAGGTTTCTGGCATTTTGATCCGACTGCTCTACCAGAAGGAAGGTAAATGGTTGTCTAAATGTCGCTAATCTCCCCAGATAGCCTCCTGAATGCGCCGGGCCTTGCTTAAAAAGCTATTGTTTTCCTCTGGATTCTGGCTCACTCCTCTTCATCCTTTGGATGTCAGCATAAATGTTGCCTCCTTCAGGAAGCCTTCCCTGATCTCCAAGATTATATTAGGACCCCTTTTATTCTATTTCATGGCATCGTATACTTTTTGTCTTCATTACTTACCACAACTGTAACTAAATTATTTATGTAGTTATGTGTTCAATGTCTTTCTTTCCCCTCCCCCACTCAACCTTGACCTGTCTGTAAAAGTACAGAGCCTGGCACATAGATCTAGAAAAGTGTGTTAAACTGAACAGAGCCAACCACTTTTCTGGGTCAAGCTCTAGTTGCTTCCTCTGCCGAAAGCCTTCCTGGGTTGCTGCAGCCTGTTCTAATCTCTCTCTTCTCTGAGTTCCATGTAGCTCACACAATCTGCAAAGCATCACGACATTCTCTATTCTATCCTGGCTGTGCCCATTTTCTATAACTTCAGGGTTCTGAAATCAATTTAGTAGGCTGAGACCAGGAGGATGAGGAGGAGTGGGGAGGAGAGGAATAGAAGCAAATGGTGGAAAATACTGGGATGCATCACGCTTGGTAAGGTGAAGGATTGTGTCAGGAAACTCATTTCAGTTATGTCTGTGTACACACATAACACACACATGCACACACACACATGCACACATACATATGTGAGGTTGGTCACAGTGTGAGAAGTGTGTCTTAAACTGAGGCGCAGTCCAGAAAGTTTTGCCAACCCTGCCCAAGGGTGGCGCCTGCTCAAGGGTTGCATTTGTGTGAGTTTGTCAGGAGGAGCTAAGTGGGCCTCTGATGCAGTGGTTGCTCATCCCTACCAGACTTTCCTTGCTCAAAGATCTAGGTGGAATAAGGTATTGTACCTGCCGCTCACCTGTGTACACCTCCAGAGAAACTGAGGGTTTTAAGTGCCAAGGTTCCCCAGGTGGCCTCTCATGCCTATTTCTCTGGTGCTTGTCCATGCCTTGAGTTTCCAGGGCAGATAGAGCTGCCACATCCTCTCCTGTGGGCTTCTTCAGTAGTGCAGGTCTCTGCTCCACCTCTGGCAGGGTCTCTCCTCCAGCAGGCAGCAGGTCCCCCACCTCTCCCTTTGGTTTCTGGTGTCCTGCTGTGGGCCAGACAAGCCATTTTCTCTTTCCTTCTCTCTCCTGTCTGCCGTAGGGGAGCACTTACTGACATATTAAGGCTTGCTGTTATTTCACCACCCTGAGCCTCAGTTTTCTCATCTGTCACTGCATCCTCGTAAGATCTTGGAGATAATTCAGTAGCAGAAAACACATGTGAAGGGACTGGCACAAAGAAAGCACTCAGCAAGTCCTCCCTGCCTCCACCCTGCTTCCTTCTCTCCCTTCCACCACAGCAGGGCTGGGGCAGGAAGTGGGCTGAAGGGTTAATGTGGGGCAGGGCTGGGGTTGCTCTAATGCCTTCTGCCATCACAGTCTAATTCTATGTGTGCTCAGTGTCCTCCTAGGACAGGGCCGTGGGCTCTGCATGGATGTGGTGGACTCTGAACACTGCTGGAGAAAATAACATAGGATCTTCGCTTTTAATACACATGGGTTCAATTTCTATTTCACAGGAAGTGGCACCAGGGGCTCTCCCAAGTCAAGGGGCTATCATATCCTGCCCTTGAGTGTTTATCATCTAAGCAGGCTCCATGACCATGGAAATGGAAGGTTGAGCACAAACCCCTGTCCTCTTGGAGATTTCATCCTGCAGGTAACAATGGTGATAGAGCACTCCTGTGCGCCGGGCTTTGTTCTAAGCCCTACTTATAAAATAACTCATTTCATCCTCACGACAAGTCTGCAAGGTGGGTGTTGCTTAATCTGAACTCATTTCAACCTCACAACAACTCTAAAAGTTGAATGTATTAGTCTGTTTTGTGACACTATAAAGAAATACCTGAGGCTGGGTAATTTATAAAGAAAAGATGTTTGATTGGCTCACAGTTCTGCAGGCTGTACAGGAAGCATGGTGCCAGCATCTGCTTGGCTTCTGGTGAGGCCTCAGGAAGCTTAAGATTATGGCAGGAGGTGAAGGGGGAGCCAGCGCATTAAATGGTGAGAAACGGAGCAGGAGAGCAGGGGGGGAGGCCCCAGACTCTTAACCAGATCTCTCTTGAGCTAATTGAGCAAGAACTCACTCATCACCAAGGGAATGGCTCTAAGCCATTCATAAGGGATCCATCCCCATGATCCAAACACCTCCTACCAGGCCCCACCTCCAACACTGGAGGTCACATTTCAACATGAAATTTGGAGGAGATAAACATCCCAACCATACAGTGAGTGTTGGTGAATGCCCATTTTACACATGAGGAAAGTTGTTATAGTTCAGAACTCCTGTAACTTTCCCACGGTCACCTAGGGAATAAGGCAGCAAAACTCAGGTTCAAACCTGGGCAGCCTGGCTCCAACACAGAGCCCAAAGGGAAGACACGAACTCCTTCACCTTTCAGACAGAATGCAACACTTCAGCGCAAGTTTTTTTGGAAAACACCCTGGCAAAAAGTAGCATGTATCCTGGTTTTTAAAAAGTTCATTCCCTTTGATGCAATATTGGGACTCTAAGAAGTTGAATCAAGACCACATATTATAGAGGGAAACAGAGAAAACTTATCTACCGGCAAAAAGGTGCTCAGGTGTCATTCTGAACACCAGTCAGCCTGAGGTGGCCCTTCTCCCAGGCCCTACCCACTTTGGATACGTTTCCTCTGTAATAATGAGTATACGGTCTGTCTGTCTGCCTCCCCACTAGATACTCTGATTAATGAGGGTGGGGACTCTGTTTTATCAACAACTGAATCCCTATAGTTAACAAGAGACCAGCTTAAATTGAACCCTTAATAAATATCTATAGAAAGAAGAGGTGATAATGGCTGAGTCTACATGGTGGATACATGGTGTTGCCTGTAAAATCCATTTTTTTTTTTTTGAGACAGAGTCTCACTCTGTCACCAGGCTGGAGTGCACTGGTGTCATCTCAGCTCACTGCAACCTCTGCCGCCTGGGTTCAAGTGGTTCTCCTGCCTCAGCCTCCCGAGTAGCTGGGACTACAGGTGCGCACCACCACGCCCAGCTAATTTTTGTATTTTTAGTAGAGATAAGGTTTCACTATGTTGGCCAGGATGGTCTCGATCTCTTGACCTCATGATCCACCCCCTCCTCAGCCTCCCAAAGTGCTGGGATTACAGGCGTGAGCCACCGTGACAGTCGCCTGTAAAATTCTTTTACCATTGCTGCATGTTTACAATTTTTCAAAGTAAAATGTTGGGGGAAAAAGACAGTAAACAAAAGAAATGTATAAGCATATTATAATAATTTAAAATATGTTTATGCATGTGACAAAATGGCAGGAAACTAAGATGACATCTGCAAAAATGTATGTGGAAAAAATGGTAGAAGAAAATATTAGGTTTTGCGAGTTTGCCGTAACTTTTAATTAGAGTCCCAATATTGCATCAAAGGGAATAAACTTTTAATTTGCCATTAAAAGTAATGGTAAAACTGCAGTTACTTTTGCACGAACATAACACATAGAATCTTAGTAAGAGTTTGGGATGGCACTGTGCATGATTTTAACATTTCACTTTTCTTGTATTTTCTATATCCTTTGCAATGGACATGTTTTACTTTGATAATGAAATAAGTTTATTTTTATCTGCTGTGAGTCCTTAGCCCAGGTTTCTATAACAAAACAATAGGTCCCACTTTTAGCAAACCCATTGCATGAAAACTTGGACAAACTTGGACTCCATGGCAGAAGTCTGTGCTTTACAGCAGGATTTCCAGCAGTGCTGCTTTCCAAGGCCAGTCCTCTGAAGACATGACAGAACAAACCGGTCCCCATGGCTGATGTCAGGTGGTGGCAGCCCCAGCCTCCTTGAATTAGAAGAAGTTGGTTCCTCACCAAGAGGGAGTCAGCCTTCCCCTCTTTGTCTCCCAGGTTTGGAGGCTGCAGAGGCCCTGTGGCCACTCAGCTGCCTCTCACACAAGGGCATAATGCCCTGAGCAAACAGGTGATGGATAGCCCAGGTCTTTCCCCACAGAGGTCAGCTCTCACATCCCCTAGGAGAGGTGCATGCCAAGAGACCTCATCCAAGTTGACCTGGCCCATCAACAATGCCACACACCTCTGCCCTGCCTGTCTAACCCAACCTCAAGCCACCCTCATCTCCCCAGCTTGGCCACAGTGATGGAGTCTGCTGAAGACTCCCAAAACAGTGATTTCTGTGACTACTCCCATGCAACTACCACTCTCCAAGTACTCTGCCCACCAGCCTCTCCACATTGCCCATATCCCTAGTACCCAGGCATGGGCCTCAGACATGTGTCAATGAATGAGACCAATGCTGATGTCCTGCCAGGAGGGACTTTGCAACGCTGCTAGAAGCTTCTGAACTGCTGTTTCTGACCCAGCTCTCACCAGCAGTGCTCTTGAGCAAGTTTTAAAATCTCCATGGGTGGCAACTTCTATCTTTCAAAAGGAACTAACATTTATTAAGCACCTATAATCAGTCAGAGGCTATGCTGTGAGCCCAGTTAATTCTCACCTGATATTTTGGGGTCTAATTATGATCTTCATTTTCCCAGTGAGGTAACTGAGGCTCAGGGAGGTTAAATAACTTTAATAAGGTCAAAGCTCCTAAGTGACTAAACCCAGATTTGAGCAAAACTTCTATAATTGTCAAACAAATGAAAGGAATTACGAACATTTTGAACCTCCAGGCACTCTCTTTGACGATACAATTGGAGAGCTAGTTGTCAGTGATTCACATCTTACTGGGAATTAATAAGAAGGATTTCTTCCTTGACCACTGTCCAGGACTCAGTTATCACAAGAGGGAACTTTGCAGTCATTTACATTATAGTATTAGTTAATCAGAAGGCTTTCCACTTGACAGCTGTCCAAGACCCAGGTACCTAGAGAAGGGGATTTTGGTTAATGGGAGGTGAATGATAGAAGGAATGATCTTGGACAGGTGACAGACATGAGGAGGGCAGGCCCTGTTTTCTCCTAAGGGAATGCAAAGGGCTGAACCTTTGGAGAGGATAACTAGGAACAAAACACACTTCCACTAACTTCTCTTTGTGACTAAGGAGTGGATTTCTGCATGTGATTTCAGATCACTGAGAGAACCAGGTGTGTTGACTTTCCATCCAGTGGGACTAGGAACTGGAAAATTGCCTGGAATTCAACCTTTAATTCCAGTATGGAGCAGAGAAAGCAGCCGTGGCTCCCTGCCAGGAGCCCTGGGCTGTGTGACTTTGGGCAGGCCTTTCTTCCACGCTGAACTCCAGTGTCCTCTCAAATGAAACCTGGGGGTTCCTCCAGTGTCAACTCTATGGTTCCATATGTTAGTGCTGGTACTGGGCTCATCTCAAAGGTAAGGGTTTCCACCATGCCCTTAAGAAGAATTTCAGATGTAGGATGGCGTTGCGGGGCAGAAGGGTAGGTCATCTCCTCACCCTGAACTTAGGGATGACCTGAAGGAGAGATTCAAAAGTGCTGTCACTCACTCATTACTGACATTGGTTACAGCCAGTCCCTCCTTGCTCTGAAATTAGCTATCTCCCTGTCTCCTGCATGAGACCCTGAGCTTTTGAAAGCAGAGACTGCATTTTGTCACCTCCAAACCCTCAGCTTCTTTCATCATGCCTGGCACCATGATGCTGCAGTTGCTCATTGCAGGTTTGGTGAATAAATGAACAAAATAATGGAATGTGTGCCTATGAGAATTAATTTCATAAGGCTTTATCTTAATAAGAAGATGACATTCTGGAAGCCAAAAGACACAACTTACATTTGACCCGGGCTCTCATTTTCTACCCCTTCCCTTCAATTATTTACAAGAGGCAACTCCCACTTAATAGACAGAAAAGCTGAGACCTAGATAGGACACATGACTTGGAATTTTACTTATGCAAAGCAGAGATTCTCTATCATCTTTTAGATTCCTTAATATTAGACATGAGGAAATTGAGGCCCAAGAAGTGAGGCAATGATGACATGAGGTCCCACAGCTCAGCAGTGGTAGGGTGGAGACAAGATTCCAGCTCCCAAATCATAGTCTAGAGCCACTTAACACAGAGCTCAGGCAGCCCTGGTATCCAGCTCCAGGTTCCCATGGCAACTATGTGGAACAAACCATCTTCTTTGGGTAGCATTGATTAATTCTTTATATTGCTTTTCTCTTTCTTTGAGGGGAAGTGTACTCTTCACTCTCCCTTCCTTTCATTTATGAAAGGAAGAGACTAGGATGCCTTCCAGAAACAGGTATCCAGACAATAAATGAAGATCCTGGCTGATATAGGCCTGAGAAGGTCTCAGGATTCGCCAGTGCCTGTAAGTAGAATTAATGACATGGAAAAAAACATTCTGGAATCTGTTTGGAATTCCTTGGCTTATCATTGACACCCATTTCTGCACATCTCTTTCTGAGTAGTAACAGCCTTTAACCACATGAAAATATGTGACAGGCCCCTGGCAATTCATGCTTTCCAAGAGGTTTTTATCGTATTTATTTCATTTGATTCTGTGGCATAGACAGGGCAGGTATTGCCATTTTACACATGAGGAAACTGAGGCCCAGAGAGGTTAAGTTCACAGCACTAGTGTAGAATTCCTCAGCAGATAGAATTCTCCTTGTCTGAAAAGAGGCCAAAGAGTCAGCACCTGTGAGGTGTCAGACACTTGCGAGATCCCTAGATACCTCAGCGAGGGCTCAGCCATGCAGAGATGGATAGGGGGCCTGTGAGGGGGCAGACAACAAACAACTCACTAAACTGAGATCCCCACACGTTGTTGTAACTTCCATGGAGGAAATACATGTAGGAACACCTTCAAGATGGCTGGGAATGTAACTCTCAGAGGCCAGCATGTCATTTGAAAACCAAGTGGTAGGAAAGGGGCAGTACAGGAGACGAGAAAGAGACATTGCTTGGTGGAAGCAGCAAGCCCTGAAGTATCAGCGTCCTGAGAGGACATGGTTTGTATCCTCAGGCAAGAGGAAGGAACCCAGTGAGGGACCAGCGTGGAGTAGGGAGGGGAGGAGAGACTGGTTGAGTAGACAGGGGCCAGAGTATTTCAGGCCTTCTAGGCCAGGTAAGATATATGCATACTATCAAATGCACCTTTACACCCATATACACAAACATGGGCATCTGCACACCCAACCACACATACGCACACATGTGTGTGCTTAACATGTTCACATGTGCACTGACACACATACATAAACTTACCTGAAAATGCATGTACACACAGAAGCACAAATACACAACTCTCTTACACACATTATCATCTGCACTTAAACACACTTGCTCACCTATCCACACTGATTGCACCCACATGCACATTCATATCTGCACAAAAGCACTCACACACACTCTCCTGCACATGTGTGCTTTGTTTCACAGATGCACACATTTCTACATGCATGCACACTTGCCCACTCACACATAGCTACTCACATGTGCATGTGTACAGCCTACAACAAGCCCAGCTCAGATAAGCTCTCAGCCACAGATAAACTTCTCTGCTGGTTGGTTATAATCTTTCATTGGAACTGACACGTTGATAGCCCCAGTTTTTCTAGGAAGTGACCTTCATGCCAGCTATTGATTTCTAGTGACTATCAGGCGCCTGCCACTGGAGTGACAGGCCCGGTCAGAGGTCAGCCCTTAAATAAAGCTTCTGGATTACTAAGCACCAGCCACTCTAATGAAAATGGAAATTGGCATCCCTGGCTCCCTTTTATGTGGAGTGTTTCCGCTGATGGGGTTTCAGCTCCGAGTGACCACCTGCACCCCCTCTCCCAGACCCAGGGTGCTGTGGGTGCCCACAGGTGTGTGTTTTACCAGGGAGCTGGACCAAAGGCTATAGGTGGTGACAGCTACCACGGCCTGAAGCTTCCTGGATTCTGCCTTCTAGCAACATCCGGGGCTGTCCCTATAAGCTTGACATTCAAGTAACAGACAATTGCTACAGGCCCCAAGACCCACAGGTGACCGGCTTTGTGGTCTTGGGCAGGTGGTGTCATCTCTCTGAGCTTTGGTTACTTCCACCCTTTCTGCCTCATCCACACATACTTGTTCATCTCCTCCCATTTCACAAGGCTGGGATCCAAATAAATGAAGAGGAAGTGTACCAAGTTGTATACAAAACAGCACAAGATGATGCTACTAGTATCCCTGTTTTAAAAACATCACAATTATGAATTATAAAATTCTACTTAATTAAATCACATGTTTATTTGATGATCCAGTAGCCTTTCTTGTTGCTGCAGCATCTTGGGGTCTTGTGGCAAGCAAAAGTTATGGGATGGGAAGGAGCTGAAGGAAGCTTTGCCTTTTGCTTCTCCTGCCAGGAACACAGAGTTCCCACTGCCTCACCTGGTATTCCGGACTTGTGACAGCCTTCCAGCTGATCACAATCAAACCTATCAGCCAAACACCATCTCTGAAACATGCCCTGTGTTTCTACTCCCATTAGTACCTACGCCCCCCACCAACACCGTCCACCCCCGTGGCTTCGCCCTGAATGCACCTTCTCTCCCCTCTATCTGTGTGAGCACACCACCCCCAGACTAGCCTACAATCCTCCTCCTCCTTGCAGCCTGCCCAGATCACATAGCTCATACAATCCAGGAATCCACGAATAGTCCTTTCTCCTCTTTGGCTTCAGGAAGTGCATTCAGCCTTCCTTCTGAATAATTTTCACCTCAAATATAGATTTACCACAACAAAAAACCTTGTCTTGAATAATGTGGATTGGAAAAAGCAGAAAAGGCTGCCAGCCGCCAGCTTCCTAGTATCCCTCCAGTGCAAACATCTGTCCCTTCCTGACTCTACCTGTACATCTAATGACCTTTCTGGCCTGTGTGTTCCTTTGGAACAGGGGTCATAAAATGAAGTTTGCATGTCCTGAAGGGAAGATAAGCAGAAATTAGAAATGTCATCAAATTAATTATTTGGCAAAGGAAGTGATTTGTTTAACAACATCAGGGAAGCAAGAGTTGCTGGTGGACCCTGAAACTCAGATAAATCACCCATGTTGAAGGGAAGAAGCCCAAGCAATCTAGGTGAGTCCATCGGCCAGACCCTTGGCCACAACTTGCACCAGACCAGAACCAACTGGGGACCTCCTGGCCTGCAAGACAGCAAGGGGGCATGCAATTCAGGGAAAGGGGTCAAGAAGAGTTCAGGCTGTACAATTTATATGTGTGGTTGGACCGCTTTACTGGCTTATATATAACTTAATGCCTACTCCAGATTCTATAAAACAAATCTGGGGACAGGCACTCTGGAAATAGGTTTGTTTTACTTAATAAGCACAAAAGATGTTCACAAATTTGCCACTTACTTCTAGAGAGGGTTTAAGGCAAGTTGTAATTAAAGACTTACATGCAATTGTTAAAATAGCAGTAGCAACCACTTGACCACTTTCCTATATTCTAAAATTCAAATATTTCATTTTTATAGAGATGGAATCTCCTAGCTTATAGACTGATTTAAAGGGCTCTACAATACCCTGCCCCGTGAGTTCTACACCAACCTAGTAAAGTGACTGAAATATCACAGAGTGCACTGCTTTGGTTTTTCTCCCCAGGGATCTTTTACAATGTAAGCATCCCTGGGAGGGGTTCTAACTTTCTCTCACCACCCTGGGTCCTGTGGGTCAAATGTTGTTATGGTGCAAAGGGGTTGCTCCAGGGCACAGAAAGGGGAGCTCTGGGGGAGATGGGCTGTGGGGAAAAAGAGGCCCTGTGTAACATAGTGGAAACAGCGCGAGGACACAAAATGAGCATCCTCTGCCGCAGGCCAAGTATGCAATCATAGAACATTCAGGGCCCCACATGCCATGTTTGCCAAGCCCTTACACTGAGAACAAGGACACAAGGCTGCAGCAATGTGCAGGAGGCTTCCAAAAAAAAACTGGATTTTAAACCCAGCTTAACTCTCACTTCTCAGGCCTCAAGAAAATCACTTTCCCTCTCTAAACTTCAGTTTCCTCATCTGCAAAGTGGGGTCAGGAATTCCAACGATACAATAAATGGTTGCAATGATTAGGCAACACGGTGTTCATAAAATATTTGCCATCTGTTTATGCTGTCCCAGAAATGGTTTTTGTTCGGGGAACATGCATGCCTGCCACGGTCATAGCTCAGTAACTCACTGCCCAATTTGTCTTACCTTTAGAGCTGCCCAGCAGTTCTCAAAGGGGTTGATTTTTCTCCTCCTCCAGGGGACAATTCAGCAATGTCTGACATCATTTTTGGTTGTCACATCTGGGACAGGGGTGCCACTGGCATCTAGAGGGAGGAGGCCAGGGATGCTGCTCAACATCTTACCATACATAGGACAGCCTCAGGCAACAAAGAATTATCTCGCCCCAAATGGCAGCAGTGCCAAGGGTGAGAAACCCTAAATACAGAGAAGCCCTAAATAATCTCTTGAAGAGATTATTTTCCAGTTCTGTCTTCCCCTTAGTAGATGAGCACAACAGTTCTGAAACACTTCCATGTCCTGAATGCCACAAAGACTTGGGGGCTGCATGAGGAGCTGCTGCCTGCCTCTCCTCACCCCGAGGCCACTCAGCCAGATGGCAGAGGGGTCAGTGGCAACCAAACATCTAATGATGTGTGACAAGTCTGGCCAGACAGCAGGCCCAGGCTGGGCCCCTTCGAGGCCACTCATTGGGCAAGGGGGACTCATAAATAACAGCACAGTGACAGCCCAAGTCTTGCTCAGTGGGAGGGATGAAGCTCTGCCTGGCTCCCAGCCCCTGGGGCAGGCCTTTGTGGGACAGGGCTCCAGCGGGAGGGACTGAGACAGGGCTGAGGATCCCATGCAGAGTGAATGTGCTGGTGAGACATTGAGTAGCCTGTCATTGGGGTGTCTGTCCTGACGGTGACTGCCTTGGCCACATTAGCTCTATTCCTGATGGTGAACTATTCCTAATTTCTGACCTGGTGCAATTTTGGGCTTCAAAGCATTTGCCCAACAAAGCATGTGTGATAAGAGGCAGAGTGGTAAGGTGGCAAGCTTGTTGAAAATCCAAATTTCAGTCCCAAGACCCCCTCATTTTGCTATATGCACTTGAGCCTCCATCTCCTCATCTGTTAAATGGGGATGCTTGAGCAGAAAATGTGCTAATTCATGAGACATTATGTGAGAAGCAATACATTAGTGGAAGGAATGATGATGATGATAATGACTATGATTATGCTTTTTCAACCATTTGGGAAAGAAGAATTTATACTGGGGAAAAAAAAGCATACCTTCTGATGCTCTAAAAATATTAATCAGTCTTAAGGTTTTCAGGCAGTTCCAAATAGGCTCTTTGCAATAATAATAGTAATAATGATACCCATATTAAACGGCGCTTTTATTTTCACATTTATTTTTCTCAAGCCTCATGTGGCTCAAAATGGGACCTGTTTCCAATGATGCGTATTCTTCTAAAATAAAAGTAAAAAAAAAATCGAAACAAGCGGCTGGTACACAGACCTACTTTGCTTTTTTGTTTATTGAAGTCCCGGTTTAGATGGCACGCTAGGGCGGGATGGCCACTGAACTGAGGCTGGTGCCTCTAAGCACAGCATTCAGCTGATTGGGTCTCAGTTTTGTCACAAAACAGGGATACTAATTTCTTCCCAACTGTCTCAGGGCTGCTGTATTAGTGTGACCATGTATGTGGGTGCTTCATGATAAAGTTAAAGCATCATCCCATAAGAAAGTCTTACTACCACGATCATTATCTTCATTATTATTGTTAATTATTCTTCATAATGATGTTTGCAAGATGGAGTTACTCCAAAGCACCATTTCTGTGAACAGTTTTTAGATACTTTCACAAAAAAGTCTCTGCATGCATATGATGAAGAAACTGACCCTTTAAGAACTCCTTCTGAAATCCAGGCTGATGTTTTTGAATTCTAAACAACTCCCCACCCCCTTCTTTTTATTTCTAGCTGGAAAACCGGACTCAAGAAAGGGACCTCCCTCCTGGCCCCTGCCTTATAACTCTTCTATAGAAATGGCTCTGTTGGCCCAAGACCTCGGATGCCAGTTTTCAGCCAGGAGCACATTTTTGCAGGGAGGGTTATAAATCAAAGCCTGGGTTCTAATGAAACCACTGACACAACTTTAACTGTAACAGAGCGCACCCAGGCACCACTCGAGAGAAATTAGAGGCGCAGAGCAAGTATTCCAGGCACTAGGGCACCTAGGGGGCCTTCCCCCTCCCTTTTTTCTCTCCTTCTCCTTTTCTTCCTCCTCTCTCCCACATTGCTGCTTTTTCCCTGTATAATTCCTATAGCGTCTCTAACTACCGGCTTATTCCGCAGCATCTTTGGGACTCAGCCTCATGGCCAAGCTGCAGACTCTGCCATCACAGCTCCCCCAGGGAGGCCCCCTTCCTGGCCCTCTCAGGGGGCAAGGGGGCAGAGCCTGCACTGCTGTAGGCAGCAGAGGATGGTGAAGGGCGAAGCCCTGGATTCAGGCAGGACACTGTCCTAGTCCTGGCTCAGACACTTACTGATCGATTATGCATGCTTTTGGGTGAGAGTTGTAACCTCTCTAAGACTCAGTATTTATAACTGTAAAATGGGGATAACAACAGCACCTCCCTCAAAAGGCTATTGAGAGGATTAAATGAGATAGGTAAGGAATGGGAGGAGAGGGGAACAAAGGGACAGTTGTGGCTTCAGCTGCTGAGGACCTTTCCGGTCACTTCTAGGAGCCAGCCCCTATCCAGACTGGTTTTTGTTTGTTTGTTTTTTGAGACAGAGTCTAGCTCACGCGATCTTGGCTCACTGCAACCTCTGCCTCCCGGATTCAAGTGATTCTCCTGCTTCAGCCTCCTGAGTAGCTGGGGTTACAGGCATGCGTCACCATACCTGGCTAATTTATTAATTTTTTTTTGTATTTTTAGTAGAGACGGAGTTTCACCATTTGACCAGGCTGGTCTCGAACTCCTGATCTCCAGTGATCCGTCTGCCTCGGCCTCCCAAAGTGCTGGGATTACAGGTGTGAGCCACTGCGCCCAATCAGACTGGTTTTATACAGAACCATAGACCGTTACTCCCACAATTTGATTTCAGAAGACTGAAAAGGGCACATCATCTATTTCAAATATCTATTACAATTGATGTCATCGATTCACCATTATCAAGTTATCTGAAAGAAAAGTTATTTAAGGCCTGGCACAATGCTAGGTGCATGGAATGTGCTCTCTCATTAGCTCACCCCTAAATGAGGGAATTAGAATTAAGAGCTTGAGGAATAGGCGGGGCTCGGTGGCTCACACCTGTAATCCCAGCACTTTGGGAGGCCGAGGTGGGCAGATCACTTGAGTCCAGGAATTCGAGACAAGCCTGGCCAACATGGCAAAACCCCGTCTCTACTAAAAATACAAAAATTAGCCAGGCTTGATGGTGCACGCCTGTAGTCCCAGCTACTCAGAAGGCTGAGGCAGGAGAATCGCCTTAACCTGGGTAGCGGAGGTTGCAGTGAGCCAAGATGTTGCCATTGCACTCCAGCCTGGGTGATACAGACTCTCAAAAAAAAAAAAAGAGCTTGAGGAATACCCAAGCTCTTAATCCCTCAACATGAAGAGCTGAGCCCACAACAGCAGGCCTGTCCTGCAGGTGGATGAAGTTTCTGAGTCTCATCCAGTTTGAGTTAATGCTCTAAAAGTTCTTCCTGAATCACCCAGCTCCTCCTCCTCTCCCTCCTTTGAGCTCCTGAAGCATTTACTATTTTCACCATGTTTTTGGCACTGGACAGGTTCTCCTCAATTAGACTGTAAGCTTCCTGAGGTCACACAGTGTGCTCAGAATTTCTTGAAATTTCCTGGAGAACCTTCTTTCATCAGCTTAGTCTAATTATGATGATCTGAGTGTTTCTAGTAACAGAGGTTTCACTGCTACTAAAACTCACTAATAACAGGTTTTTTTTGTTCATTTGTTTGTTTTTTGAGACAGTCTCACTCTGTCTCCCAGGCTGGAGTGCAGTGGTGTGATCACAGCTCATTGCAACCTCCGCCTCCTGCGTTCAAGCGATTCTCCTGCCTCTCCTGCCTCCTGAGTAGCTGCGATTACAGGCCGCACCACCACGCCCAGCTAATTTTTGTTGTTTTAGTAGAGTCAGGGTTTTGCATGTTAGCCAGGCTGGTCTTGAAATCCTGACCTCAAGTGATCCACCTCCCTCAGCCTCCCAAAGTGCTGGGATTACAGGCATGAGCCACCACACCTGACCTCTAATAACAGAGGTTTCTTACTCATGTGGGTGAGATGCCCATGGAATCTCAGCCATTGATCTGCACTTTGCCACTTCTGCTCACATTTCGTGGCCAGAGCAGGTCACATGGTCGACGGGGACAAGGACGTATAATCCTCCCACATAAGGCAGACTAACGGTGGGGAGGGGGGCGGCAGTAAATATTTTGAACAATAATATAACCTATCGCAGACCTAGAATATTATTTCTACAAAACTGTTACTCAGTAAATATTCAATCGGAATGATGAGACAAATATCCTAAGACACAAATATTTGAACACACTTTTCTGGTCTACGCTAACCAATGAAATGTTGGGGTACTGATTTTCATGGCTAAGTGATAAACTGAAACCAAATCAGCCCTCTGGCTGGAGTGTGGTTGAGGCAGATGAGACAGGCCCAAGGTCACCTAGGAAAATGCTGCCGTAAGGGGCTAGGACTCGGCTCACTCACTCTCCCTCTGGAAGGCAGGCTGGCATCCGAAGAGGAGCTGGGGTTCCAGGATGGAAAACTTGAGCTTAATAGATGAAGACATTTCCCAGGCTGAGAGACTCCCATATCTGCAGTACCTACTCTGGGTGAATTGAAGGCAGGGGCTGCTGTCTTTGGGGATGTTATGCAGGGGATTCCAGCAGTGAAGAGAAAATTGGTCTAGAGACCCCAGGACTGACTCTTCTAGCTTTAAAAGTCTGTCCCAAACCTCAAAGGAACCTGCGTTTCAATTGTGAGGCCAATACTCACTCTCCAGAACACGCAGGAGTAAGGAGAGATTAAACGTGTCAAAGATCCCAAATAACACGCTGTGAGGGACCAGGGAAACGGGACAGGCCACACGGCTTCCTGGGACTTAAGTGGGTCCCAAAGGCCAGGATTCATAGGAGTTACAGGTCAGATCAGAGGGCGGGAATTTGAATGTGCAAGACAAAAGCCTGGGTTAGTGCAGGGACACCTCAGGTGGTGCCCCTTCCCTTCTCTTCCCCCTCCCTCCAGTACACAGGGTCCCAGGAAGTGAAAGAAATACAATCTGCACGTGACTCAAAGGAGCTGCGGCTGCTGCCACCACCGCCTTTCAGGCACTTTCTCCAATTCAGGTTTGCATCTTATTGTCCTGCTAAGGCTTTTTTCCTTCCCTTTGCCACTCTGGCTTTTGTTGATATAACCTCAATTTCTTGCTGCCTTTCAAAGCCTTTATTCCCCAAATTGAGGGAAGGAATTTTTAATGTCACGCTAGGTCTCTAGCCAGGCCAGTTGTCTTTTTCCAAATCAGTCAGGTGCTCAGGGCAGCTAAGGTTAGAAAGAGGCTTGGCAGAGAGAGGGAGAGAATCAATAGCAAGGAGGAAAACAGCAACTGCGACTGATGAAGGTCCCCGAGGTGATTTGCAAATCTGCTGAAATCCTGAACAAGCTTTGATTTAACCCAAGCTTGAAATGGCTTTTATTTACTGTCTATTGTGGAATAAATGACATCTCATAAACAGGCTTTATCCATTACCCCAGAATGAAGAGCATGCTGTTAGGGACATTTTATCCTCTTGATATCAAAGGAGATATGCCAGGGTGTGTTATTACAAATAGAAAAATCAATGCTGAGACACACACATCTGAAATTTCATTTTCGTCCAACCACATTTTCAAAGCTAAAAAAAAAAAAAAAAAAAAAAGGCAATCGCTAATAAAAATGACTTCAGAACTGAGGATTTACCAAGCCTGAGCAAAGGACCGGCTGGGACCAAGCCCAGACAGTGAATAAATCTGGCTCTGCCATGGGGCCATTTCCTGCTCTGCCTCCCAGACAACCCAGCCTGCCCAGGGCCACCCAAAGCACAGCCTTCTCTCCCCGGTCCCCAGCCTCCTTGGTCTCCACTCTAGACCATGCGCAAACACTGTTTATGCCCTCCAGATGCCACCTCTCTAGCTGTACTCAGTCCGACCACACACTACATTTGGCAGCAGACCACATGGAACATGCCAGAAATGTCCAGAGGCCATTGCTATTTCTCCCAGGTCCCTCCTACCTGAAGGGCAGGGGCTCCTGAATCTTTCAGGTATGGTGTGAAAGTGAAAAGGCCCCCATGGAGTGAGGAGGGAAGGTTGGCCATTCTCCAAGAGGCTCAGTCCTGCCTCTCACTGACCTTAATGCCATTTCTGCCAACCACAACCCCTCTTTCCGAGATAAGTATGGGAGAGAAATACTTTTAGCTTTTCATAAAATTTTCTGAAAGCCACCATCCCAGGGCTCTATCACATTGTGTGACCTTGTGTTGGGGTGAATTTCTGGTTTAGAACCTTGTTTTTGCATGAGGCTGTAAGCTCAAGGAGTCCTGATGTTTTTCTCTATATTTCTAGTCCTGAGTACAGTGTGTGGCATAGAGTAGCTGCCTGATAAATGCTAGTTGAATCCAAGAGATGTGCAGGCTGGTTGTGGGGACAAGAATGGCTGGCTAGACACCATGGAGATGCTAGAAGCCAATCTCAGCCATCTGAAAAGGAGTACTCCAGCTCTTAGCAGCAGCTCTTGCCTTGAGGCCTGAACTATATGGAGTTTGCTGGTTTCACGCAGTCAGTCACATTTGACGCAGGAATGGCTTACTGAGTTACCTGAGGAAAATGGACCAGTAGAATTTGCTTGGTTTTAAGACCTCATACAAGAAATACTGACCTGCCTCCCTCCCGGAAAAAAAAAAAAAAAAAAAAAAGTATTGGTAAGATGGTGAATAGGAATGGACAGCTGGGCACAAACGTATGCCCACTCCTAGAGAAAGAACTTGGCATTTCAAAATAGGCAAAGCATCAGGGTTCATTTAATCTAATGCAGTCTCTTTAGAGGTGGGAAAACTGAGACCCAGAAAGGGGGGCTTGATTCATCCAAAGTCACACAGAAAACTGTGGCCATGTGTGGACCAGCGTTTGAAATCCCTGATCCCATTCCTGAGGCCTTTGCTATGCCTGAAAAGAATCCAGAGAGAGAACATAAGCACGAGGGGACCAACATAGCAATCATTGCAAAGGCAACCACAGTGTTGGTCTCTTTTATCACGGTGGTTGTTTCATTTAAATAGTCACATAATGATGAACGTGCTGAAAAGCATCCACACTGCACAAATGGTATTTTTGCTGTTTTAAAGAGGTACTGCTCTTGTTTTCTCTACAATCTTTACTTGTTTGAAGGCCACTGATCAGAACTGGGACAGGCTGACTACTGACGCATTTTGGGAAGAAAATTCCCTGAGAGGTGTGTCCCCTGCTCCCACAGAGACATGGTTATTTCTTTTTCGAGTGTTTATTTCATAAAGCTTTGAGAGAATAGCCTAAGCCAGCCAATACGATGGCAATTCTGCCCAAGATAGGCGGCAGTATTTAAATAAGGTTTCAATAGGAAGAACGGTCTCTTTGGACTCGGTCTGTGATGTAGTTATCAGGAGGGGAAATTTGTAGAACCCATTACCTGCCACTCCTTCCCCCAGGAAATCCCTTGTTTGCGGAGCATGAATCCCTCTGGCTTTGGCTGGCTTTTACTCTCTGGATTGTCCTGGGTAAACATCTGTCTCACAGTGTGTGTTTATAAAAAGAGGCATTTGTGCCTTTGATTGTTTCAAGGTTTCTGCAGCACAAGTGCGTTCTTTCTCTCCTCCTGTCTTCCCCTCCCCAGCCCACCCGCTCCTCCTGAGCAAACAACTCCCCATGTTGATTTTGGCCCTTTTGGTATCATAGTACTTTGCTTTGTCCAGAACAAGGAAAACACATACCACAACTCACCTGCTCCACCTTGGGATAGAGTTTTTCATACCGAGGGCAGTATATCTTAACTGGATTAGTATTATTATTTATCACACAAAAAATTTTCAAACACTTCCTCTAAGCAGAGCATTGAGGTAGATGTGATACACTGCACAGAGACCCAATTCCTTTCTCAAGGAGCTCACGGTCTTATTGAAGAGTCAGCTTGCAAACATTCAGCATGAGGACTCTACCTGCATAAGGACCACAGAGCTTGGGCCGGGCAGGGAATTTGTCACTGTTCTTGTTGTTAGTGAAACTGAGCCGCTCATCTTCAGTCCTGAGGTGGTTCAAACCCATCCATGAGCCAGGCCTCTCAATTGTCTGCTCCTGGAAAAGAATATGGCAAACAGTTTCCTTTTATTCTCACACCTGTCTTTGTAGGGCTTCCTTCCATGGCTGAGTCAGACCACTGGTGAGTATCATTCCAGTAGAAACTCTACAAACTAGAACTCAACAATATTCCTGATGGTTAGGAAAATATACGTATATATTTGCATCACTTCAATTTAGATCAGAAACAAATTACAAGAAAATAATGTCATCAAACACTTAGTAAGAATTTCTTTTTAAAAGAAGATGTAAACAAAGCTTGGCTCCGATGTAGTCGAAGCTCCTTCACCTCCAGTTACAGATTAGACAGTGAGCACTGCTGTCTTCAGAGAAATGGCTAGAAGCTCCATCATTAGCCAAGAAAGACGTGTGATGTCAAGCAGTAGGGACTTCCTGTCAAGGGAAGTGGACCCAGATATTTGAAAAATGTTTCTTAACAACCTGAAAGGGCTTTCTGCTTTACCTTCCACTCCTAGGAAGCTCAATCCCCAGTTCCACTCACTTATCCTGGAAAGTCTAGCGTGAAGCGTATCATGATTCAGATGATTCACACGGCTGGCAACTGAGCTCACCTTGAATTCAGTGCTTGATGGGAGACCCAGGTGCAGTCCAGGCTCTGACATACCTGGCTGGTGACTTCATATCAGTCACTCAGCCTCTCTGGCCTCCATTGTAACTGATTTCTAATGGCCTTTCCACAACTAAGGTCAATGATTCCATAAAGTAATTGGGCCATGCTAGATTGCAGCTACTTTTTTTTTTTTTTTTTTTTTTTGAGACGGAGTCTCGCTCTGTCGCCCAGGCTGGAGTGCAGTGGCGCGATCTCGACTCACTGCAAGCTCCGCCTCCCGGGTTCACGCCATTCTCCTGCCTCAGCCTCCTGTGTAGCTGGGACTACAGGCACGCGCCACCATGCCCGGCTAATTTTTGTATTTTTAGTAGAGATGGGGTTTCACCGTGTTAGCCAGGATGGTCTCGATCTCCTGACCTCGTGATCCGCCCGTCTCGGCCTCCCAAAGTGCTGGGATTACAGGCGTGAGCCACCGCGCCCGGCCTGCAGCTACTTTTTATATCTGCTTTTTCTTGGAGGTATGTGCTCATGAGAATCTCTGCTATACCCTCTGGGGCCTGGTGTCAGCTAAGTGGCTGACCTTATAGTTGTCATTTGAGGATACACTAATACCTTGCTGCAGAAATACAGCTGAGCACCTGGGAGTGGAGTGAGCTGGCCAGCAATTAAAAGACAGCTCTAGCTTTATCTGTAATGCCCTCATTACTTTATTTAATGAGAAACAAACAGGACAACTTGTTAACAATGATCAATGCTATACAACTGTACACAGGTGTTTGTTAGGAATTCTTGGTACTTTCTGAATTTTTATAATTTCTCAAAATAAAAATTATAATTTAATAAGGGCAGGGCAAATTCAGATGGCAATTGCCTCTGGTAAGGGATGGAGAGAGGTGTGGTCAGAGAGGGGAACACAGTCCTTCAAATATGTTGGGTTTTTCTGTTGCTTAAACTGGATGGTGGAAGGTGATCACTTCACTATATATTAAATTGCACTATATGTTATATATACTTCTTGTATTTATATATTTCATTATAAAACCATGTTAGAATGACAAGGTAGAAACATTGATCTTAGTTTGGTGTCTCCCCTTGAATAATGAAACGACCCATATGGTGTTCAATAGAAATATAATTTGAGCCATGTGTAATTTTAGATTTTCTTCATAGTCCCATTTTAAAAGGCAAAACAAAACAGATGAGATTTTAATACTGTATTTTATTTAACCCAATATATCCAACTTATTGTCATTTCAACATGTAATCAACATTTCAAAATTATTATTTTACTTTTTCTGCACTAAGTCTTGGAAACTCTCCATATGTATTTTACCTTTGCTGCACATCTCAATTCTGACTAGCCAGTGAACTAGGACAGGCAAACCCCTGGGTTCCAGACTCCCTTCCCTGGCAGGCCCCATGGGCTGAGAACACTGGGCTCTCTTACTGTACCACTTATGAAAGATAGCCCCAGAAAAACCTCACATTCTCCCCATCTGGGCTCTCCTTTCTACTCTGAGATGGGGACCCTAACTCACAGGGAGGAGCCACCCACCCCAACAGCAAAGAGCCAAGGAAGAAGAATGTAGAGCTGCCATTGTCTCCAAATTCCAGGCAGTGTATGCTTTCTGCAGGCAGAGAAACAGCCTTTGCTCATGGGATGCTTTGCCTTTTCCACCAAGGAAGACCCACAGGGCAGTTTGCTGTTAGAGGGATGAGGTGTTAACAGTCTGGGAGAAAATGACAAGCAATAAGAAACAGTGTTTGTGACAGAAAGAGCCAGCTCCATAAACCCCCTTGCTGGCTCTTTGGTTCAGAAGTGGCCTCATAAAACACTGGTGGACGGTGATTGATGCCCCGGGACCTGCTGGCCAACCAAGGCCCTGGGAAGCAGGGGGCCCTGGCCAGGGAGCAGAAGGTGGAGATCAAATCCCACCCAGGAAGGGGCTTGCTCCCTTGTCACGCTGACAAATCCATATCCTTGGAAGTGAAATCAAGTCCAGGAGAGGCTGGTTTCTTCTGGGCAGGGTCAGAAAAATATTCTTAATCAGATTTGAAATACATCACTCCTAGAGGAGGACTGGGACTCTTTGGACCCTGGAGAGGCACATATCTCAGGGGACTCAGGGGGACTCAGGGACTCAGGGGCAGGATCTGGACACCTCCTTCCCCCTGCTCCAGATCCTACCCTGCCCTAGCTATTTACAAGAGGTGATGTTTGTACAGGAGACTTGTGCCTTAAACCAAAACCACAGTGAAACCGGATGGCAAAAGTGCTGTTCGGGGTTTCTAAGGATGGACACTTTTCCTTTCTCCATATATATGTATGAAAGGGAACATGTGGCATATATATAGGATATATATGAATAGGATATATTTCTCCTGTTAGAAAGAAAGGTCAGGCTACATTTGCAACAAGCAAAGTTTCCCAGTCCACACAAGCATGAAGCCCTGCTTGGAGGCTGGTGGAAAAGATGTAATTTACCTTTGGGTGCTGAGGCTGGGATTCCCATTTAAAAGTCTAAGCTGGCTGATTATTTATTGATGTCTCTCTCTCCATAGCTGTCTGACTCTTACTGGTTGGAAGAAGCTCCTTTGTGCCTAAAGCATTTTTTGAATTAAGTTCTTTTCAGTCATTTCCCCTCAGGTGTTAACCAATGAGACTGTACTTTGACAAAAGTCCGCTTCCCCCCACCTCACTGCCCTCCTTATTTTATGTCGTGAAATGAAATTAAGTATCAGGAGAGAGGCCATCAAACAACTGGGCCTGATGTGGTTATTTGGCATGTATTTTTTATTTACAGAAACAGTGAGAACAATGTGCTGGAACCATTCATATTTTACAGTGTATCTGCCTCCAAATCCTACTGGGACAAAAATCCAGGCAATTTAATGAATAAACAGGGCTTGTTCTCTATGTCTCTGTCCAGTGCTCTGGCCGCTAGCCCAGAAGTGGTCCTTGAAGCTGCACGTTTTCCTCAATTCCCTGAGGTCAGGATGGTCTGGCCTCCCTACCTCAGTGGGTTCATCTGTGAAATGGAATGAGAGTGAAATGGAATGACACTCACCACAGAGCAGGGAACCGAGGTCTCTTCCGGTGGTAACAGTCATGGTTCCATGAGCTGAAACCTTCTTTTCAAAGAAAGTTTTCCCTTCTGGGAAGAGGGTACCCGGATCCTGACCCCAAGCCCAGATATGTGCCTCCCCAGGGTCCAAAGAATCCCAGTCCTCCTCTAGGAGTGATGTATTTCAAATCTGATTAAGAATATTTTTCAAAGATTTTCCTACAAGTAACCTCATCCAGAGCAGCCCAGTTGACTATTTTGGCAAGAACCACCCTCTCCTTCACATCTACCCTCACTTCTACCCAACCCCACCTAGGGAGAAACGGCTGCCAAATGCATCTTCTGGAAGTGAGAGACTGATGAATGGGGAGCGCTTGGAAAGGCTGGCTGAGCAGAACCGGGAGCCAGCAAGGACCTTCCTTGAGGGTCTTGGCGCCTCCTGAACTGAAGGCTGGCATGGAAGCCTAGCTGGAACAGCACTGAGAGGCAACCCCACAGAGTATACCCCAGCCAGGGGATCTGCTCCAGCCAGGCCACCCCAGGCAAGTTTGCGCAAGACTTATTACCGAGGATGGATTTAGGGTGACAGTGGAGAGGTGTCTGTTGCTGATAAGCATGACTTGATAGCATATTCTCACCCAGCCAGTCCTGTCCTGGACCCTTTTGTAGGTCTTGGAGTCTGGCAAAATGGGTTCAAATCCCAGCCCCTTGGGATGCTATTTAACCCCTCTGAGCCTTAGTTTCCTCATCTGAAAAATGGGATAATATTACTTACTCAAGCAGTTGTGAAGATTAAAAAGATAACATATGTGGAAAGCCAATGTCTGGTACACAGTAGGAGCCAGTATGACCTTTTTAGTTTAATAAAACAGGCCCTGCACTTAAAAAGCTGTTGGAGCTAAATCACATTCTCAGAAAAATTAATAACAGAAGCATGTGATTCAAAGTCACCCAAGGAAGTGTTTCGTGTAAGTTTTTGAAACTGAGTCGCACTGAGTCGTTCCTGTCTTAGCATGGCCACCCTCCAGATTCCCTGGGACCTTCCCTAATTTTAGCACATGGTCACCCTAGCCCCACACTCACAGGATGCTTTGCCCTCTGCCATCAGCCTGGCACACTGCCATATCCCAGGCCTCATCTCCCTGGCTTCCTCCACTTCCCCTGCCTCTCTTCTACCCAGCTCCCACCATTCAGATGGGTCATTCTGGATCAATAGTGTACATGCTAGGACCTATCCTTCTGGCAGTGAGGAGGGTTGATCCTATATCACCCCATTCTCTGGTAGGACTGTCTCCCCAGACAAGCAGAGATAGGCTTCTGTGGCAGAATTTCTGTATGGAGAGGCCTAAAAGTCACTGACCAGGAGACACTACTTTTCATTCAGTTGTGCTGGAGAAACAGAGGCAACCCTCACAGAACTTTCTGTCTAGCACAGGAGACAGATGCTGTCAACAATCACACACAAATCACATAGCTACGGCCCATGACAAGAGCTGCGAGGGGTGGGCACACTGTGGAACGGGTGTAAATGGCACCCTGCACTGGGGAGGGAAGCACAATGACTTCCCTCCCTAGTATGTGCCAGTGGCTGGGTGTTGATGGGGGCTGGAAGAGATCACAGGGAGGACTCACAACAGCTGAAGGAGGAGAAGGACTGGGAATTTCAGGGAGAGGATTTTAAAATCCAGTTTCTGGACTGGCCAATCTTTTTCTGGACTTTGGAGTAAAACCAACAAAAAAAAAATTGTTAAAACCTGAAACTAGTTCAAATCCCAAAACCCCAGGCAAGCTCCTTCACTTCTCTGTGCCCTTATCTTCTCATTTGAAAAATGGAGACACAGCTGACTGGTCATCTCCTGCCCTACTTTCTCTAATGGCCAAACAGCCTGACTCTAGGACACAGCTGGCCATGGCTAGAGCCTGGAAGGTCCAGGAACAGAGGTACTATGGCCTCAGAGCCCTGGGACTGTCTGCTAAGCCTGAGCCTGGAGGCTACATTCTCTCAGGGATCTATCCTCACATGTACAGCCCTTTCCCATCCAGGGTGTTTTCTTACCTCTCTCTCTCTCTCTCTCTCTCTGTGTGTGTGTGTGTGTCTGTGTATGTGTATGTGTGTCTAGGATATTTGCCAAAGTTACCGAGGTCAGTGCTTCTGGTAAAAAGGGTAGAATCAACTCCAACCGGGGATGGTGTTATGACCATTTTTGTGGGCAGGGAAGATAAAATATAATACCCGCTATTTGTAGAGCACTTTCAGTTGCTCTTTAAGGCAAACATCTTTTCCTTAGAATCCTCTGAAAAGTCCTCTATGATTTCCTCTTGCTGAAGCAATTTGTCCCTTCTTGGAACACTCTCCACGCTGCAGTGCATGCTGCTCTTAGGACACTTAACATGTTCTCCCTTGTGTTATGACTGTTTGTGCTCTTGTCCAACTAGACTTGCAGATCAAGCAATATTATTCCTTTTATATCCCTGCATAATCCCTAAAATTGGGTTAGAACATCCTAAGAATCAAATAAATGCTTGTTGGATGAATGAATGATGTGTGCTGGAATGAATGCACAACATAAATGCAAGAGGCTTTTCCCAGAGCCCTTTAACCCACTCTACTTAGCCCAGAACTCGTTTCACTACACAGACTTTTGACCCTAACCTCTCTCCCATCCCCTCTCTGCTTCCCAATCCTAACAGGTCCCTAGTCTTCACATCTTATTTGGCTGCTTCTATGGTTGAACAATAGTGATATTGTTATTGAAATAGCTTAGATGAGCCCAGTCACCTTGTATCAGTGACAATATTAATAGTGACAGGTTCCAGGGCCCACCTTATGTGCTGGATATGGCCATTTGGTTGCCAAAATGGAAGGTTAATAGGTAGACACCCACCCAGTTTGACCCTGTTACTGACACTACACACATCCTGAATCTCTTTAAGCCCCGTGAGATTAGTGCCTCCACTGAAAGGCTGAGGGATGTGTAGCTACACTTAGAAAAATACAACCAATAATTGAATTGGTGGCTCCACTGGAATATTAAGCAATGATTGTAACAATGCGTACTCAAAAGCAGCCATCTACATCCACTGAGACACTAGGACACATATTTTGTGCACTCCCAGAGAGTTGGATCAGCTGAGGAAGTCTCCTGCCCACCAATGAGGATGTTGAACACAGGAATCCACTGTGCCCTGGGTTCTAGGAAGGGAGAAAGACAGAAAATGCTCTGGGCTGACAATTCTTTATGCCCTTCACCCACAGTTGAAGTCTATGGACAATCAGGAGAATCAACTGAAGCCAGAGGTTCATTCCCCCAGAGGCTCTCAAGCCTTGTTCGTCCACAGCCTAGGACTCCCTGCTGCTCCACAGCCCCATGCACGTAAATCTTACAAACAAGTTGCTGTTCACAGTGAAGATGGGCTGAGAATGAGGATGGTTCACGAAAATGCAGCTTCACCATTGATAAATTCAACTGAAATTAATATACCCAGCAAAGTACCACTGTCTCTGGTGGGGATGAGGGGCACAGGGTGGTGGTAGTACAGAATTAGGCACACCAGTCTCTGTCTGCAGGAGGCTCACATTCAGGGGAAATGCAACCAAACATGAGACATGTTTTCCTGTTGGTAGGTCACAAGCATCATAGCTATATAGGACAGCAGAGCCGAAATCCTCCAGTCACCTTAAAGAATCAAAGTGTCTGTGCGTGCCGTGAACCTAGCAATAGAGGGCTCCTGGGACCACATGGTTCACAGGAAACAGCCTGGACTTTGGAGACAGACCCACCTGGTTTCAAATAGCAGCCTCACCACTGACTACGGAATATCCTTGGTCAGATTGCTTACTCTAAGTCTGTGTTCTCCCATCTATTAAACAGGGCTAAAAATGCCTTCTTTGATTTAATAACATAATAATTTAATAACAATTTATATATTAAAAATTTAAATATATAATTTAAATATATTATAAAATATAATAATAATTTATATTATATTATTATGTTACACAGAGAACTGAGCCTCTGTGTAAGAAGTTCCACTGCTCTGAGGCTGCCACATTGTAAGGAAGCCCAAATAATAAATAAACATCAAATAATGAACATCAAATGCCTAGTAAAGTAACTGACATTTAGATGATACTCAGTGAATCTCTTTACTGCTTAAGGTTCTCTTATTCACCTTCATATCCTCTGTATCTATAACTGGGCTCGGCAATATTGCATGCGTGGATGGATGGATGGATGGATGGATGGGTTGATGGGTGGCTAGATGGACAGATAGACAGATGGATTTCCACTATTGGGACACTTTTTTGCATCCCTATTTTACAATTAGGAAGCAAAAAGAGGTCAAACACTCTTGTAAGGTGCTGGTGTCCTTATTGTCTCAGGAACTTGTCACCTCATCCCAGTCTCTGTCTTCCTGTAGGTCAGTCTGTGTTACCCAGAAGTTCTGCCTCTTTCCCTCCTGTCTATCCTAAATCCTTCAAGATTCGATTCAAGTCCCACTTCCTCTGCAAAGCCTCCTCTGACCAGATAAGCTTACTCTCCTCTCTCCTTTTCCTGAACTTGCCAATAGTGAATCTCTGTCACATCATTTGACTTTTGGTTGATAACTATGTTATGTATGCATCTTATTTCCCCAGTCTGATAACAGAGAATGGGTTCTAGGCTTCCCTTACACCCCCAAGCATGAAGCTGGGCACATATGCCTACCATGCAAAGAATGCAGAAAATACTTTTTACTCCTAATGACAAACATTAGTTGCTAATGTTACTTCTAATAATAAAAGTTGAGATTTATTGAGTGGTGCCAGGCACTGCACTGAGCACTTGAAATACCTTATCTCATGTAAGCCTTATAATAACCTTAGAAGATAGGCATGATTATCTCCACTTTACAGATAAGAAAACTGAGTTTGAGAGGAGTTGCAATGCTTTTAAAACATAGACCCTAAATTCTTTAATGCTCCTCTCATTGACAGGTGGGGCTCTACATCCTCTCCCTTCGAATCTGGGTGGGCTTCTGACTGCATCTACTAATAGAGTATGGCAAAAAGTGATGCTCTGTGACTTCTGAGGCTGGGCTATAAAAGACCAGGCAACTTCTACTTTGTTCACTGGAACCCAAGGGCTTGGAGAACTGAGCCTCTGTGTAAGAAGTTCCACTGCTCTGAGGCTGCCATGTTGTAAGGAAGCCCAAGCCCCATGGAGAAGCCACAGACAGATGCTCTAGTCACAGATCATAGTCTTTGAGTCATTCTAGTCCAGGAGCCAGACATGTGAGTGAAAGAGCTTAGATGATTCCAGCCCCAGTCTTTGAGATATTCCCAGGTTTCAAGTCTTCCCAGTGAGGCCTCAGATGTATGGAGTAGACACAAACCATACCTACCACAACCTGTTCAAATTCCTAACTTGCAAAATTCATGAGTACAATACAGTAGTTATTTCAAGCTGCTAAATTTTGAGGTGATTTGCTATGCATCAATAATAACTAGAAGTTCATTTGACTTGCCCAAGGTTACCCAGCTAGTAAGTGGCAAAGGTGGGATTCAAGCTCATGTGGTCTGACTTCAGAGCTCATGTTCTGGAACTGCATAACAAGCCTCCCAATACATCCTTGAGTTAAGCTGGCATGCAGTGCCCCATGTGGCTGATCTCAGATTCTGGAAAGTGGAAGATGGCCCTGAAGAAATAAAGCTGGGGCAGGGGCCCCGGTGGGTCTCTGGAGAAGAAGAAGGTGGCATGTAGCAGGTGTGACATGAGGCTTTGCCTCAAATACAAGATTTTGTAAGTCCTGGGCATCAAAAGGCAACAAGAGGGCACCTGATTGGGAAAGAAAGTAAAAGCATCAATGCAGTATGTGCATGAGGTACGGGCATGGAGTGGAGAATGGTAACAGGGAGCTGGTGAGCCCTTGGGACTCATGGATTTGATGTAAGAGAGAAGGCTGGGCAGGACAGCTCCATGGCAAAGAGCTGAAGGAAAAGGATGTCTGAATGCAGACAACAGAGATGACCCCCTCTGTCCTCTGCCCATCAGGACCCTCCACAGAATCTGGCTGCTTCTTTGGGTGTGGGCTGAGCTTTCTCCAGCCTTAGATGAAGGCTCAGGCAGAGCCCCACTGCAATCCTGCAGATCTCCCATTCACTGACAACTCCCGTTCTCTGCCCAGCCTCCTTCCAACTTAGGGATAGCATCATCCTTTTATTCTTTCCTTCGTTCAACATTTAGGACCTGCTTCCTATAGGGTAGGCTCTGTTCTAGATGCTGGGAACAGAGACCAAAGTAAAAATAATGAGCTCTTTCCATTGAGTTACCAGGCAACAAGGTAAGGGCTGTGATGGAGGTGTTTTGTGGACAGGGAAACAGGGATTCCCCACCCCTGTGAAGCTGATGTCTTGACACCTTCTTCCAGCTACTGCCATTTTCATTTTCCAAGTACTTTCAATTTGATGATGCCTGTAGCCTTTTCTTTTCTTTTCTTTGGGCTTTTAGAATGACACGATGCAGAATTTCTGTAAAGTTGTCTTCAGTCAAAAGCTTAAAATATTAGCTCCACTCTCTTGGGTAGTGATGAAAAATCAGGGAGACATTTGCTCAGATACAAACACTATGACCCCTGGATCATAACCCACAGCCATGTGTTTCTACAGTCAATAATAGTACAAATGCAATAAAACTTCACATTTTACATATTGCTGTATAATTTTAAGGTTCTTCCACAATCATCATCATTATTTGATCCTGACTTCCCCAAATGAAAGGTGGAATAGGTGCTGTTTCCTGAGTGACTTAGTCCATTCAGGCTCCCGTAACAGAATACCATAGATTGGGTAGCTTTTAAACAATGGGAATTTATTGCTCACACTTCTGGAGGCTGGGTAGTCCAGATCAAGGTGTTGGCAGATTGAGTGCCCAGTGACCTGCTTCCTGGTTCATAGATGGCTGTCATCTTTTTGTGTCTTCACATGGCAGAAGGGGTGAGGGAGCACCCTGGAGTCTCTTTTATGGTACTAATCCCATTCATGAAGGCTTTACCCTCCCAAAGGCCCCAGCTCCAAATTCCATCACCTTGGGGCTTAGATTTCAACATGTGAATTTTGGAGGGACATAAATATTCAGTCCATAGCACTGGGTTTACAGCTTGTGAAACTCCGCATGCAGAAGTTAAGCAACCGATTCAAGGTTCACACACTGGGCAGTGGTGGAGACATGGTTGGGATCTGGCTGGAGACTGGACATCCTGAGTTTCTGCTGCACACACAGCCCTTCTGAACAGAATGATGGCTCCTTCCCCAGGCCGCTGTGCTTCATGCCTCTGGATCAGCTATCTCAGGCCAACAGATCTGCCAACTGTTCTTTCCATAGTGCAAGGCTGCAGCGGGAGGAAGCTAGCTTCCTGACAAGGGCGTTTATGAAGTTCACTGGTCAGTAACACACCTGGTAAAATGCCAAAGCCTGGGCACCGACATGAGATCAGAAGGGAACCTAGGGGAACTCTGCTGGGGTTACCCGAAAAAGGGCAATCCTATGCCTTCATGTATCTTGAACATAAATGAACATGAACAAGAGGCAGACAGAAGCAGGGTGAAGGGCACGGACTCTAAGCCTGGCTGCTGGATTCAAAGCCTGCTTTGCCACCTACCAGCTGTAAGGCCTTGGGCAATCACTTAAACCTCATCTGTTTCCTTATTTGTGAAACAGGGGTTGTGACAACATCCACCTCATAGAGTTGTTATGAGGATTAAGTGAGTTAATACTTATTAAATGCTGAGGGCAGTTCTTGGCATGTGGTAAGTTATTTATAAATGTTAAATAATGATGGACCCTCTAAGGCAGCGATCCCCAACCTTTTGGCACCAGGAGCCAGTTTCATGGAAGAGAGTTTTTCCATGGACAGAGGGTAGGGGATGGTTTCAGGATGAAGCTGTTCCACCTCAGATCATCAGGCATTAGATTCTCATAAGGATCACACAACCTAGATCCCTCACATGTGCAGTTCTCATAGGACTCCCATGAGAATCTATTGCCACCACCAATCTGCCAGGAGGCAGAGCTCAGGCTGTAATGCTGTCTTGCCCACCCCTCACCTCCTGCTTTGTGGCCCAGTTCCTGACAGGCCTAGACCAGTACCAGTCCATGGCCCAGGGGTTGGGGACCCCTGCTGTAAAGGCCAGGCACTGTACTGGTACCATGGCAAATGGAGGGCCAGGACATGCCACTGACCCCAGGGAGCCTACAACCTGCCCACTGCCTGTGTCCATGTGAGATCATGGCCATATCTTCCACTGGACTCTCCATGTCAAATATTTACTGTGACATCTCCTTTAACAACAAAGTATTTAACAACTGGTAGTATGAATGAGAGTTAAATAACCTTAATGTCAGGGATTAGGAGGATGGGAGTAAGGAAGGATAGGATGAGGTACCTATCTATGGATGTCAGCAATGAAACCCAGACTGAGCACTGTTAGTCTCTGTCTCTATCCCTTCCAGCAGGACAGCCACTAGGCACCTGTGGCTATTGAGTACTTGGAATGTGGCCAGTCCAAACTGAAATGTGCAGTAAGACTAGAACCAAAACAGAAAGCATGCCAAATATCTACTTAGTAAATTTTCATATGTATTCTATGTTGAAATGATAGTATTTTCAATACTTTGGGTTAAATAAAATATACTATTAAAATTAAGTTCACTTGCTTCTTTTTACTTTTTAAAATATGGCTACTAGAAAAGTTTAAATTGCATCTGTAGTTGTGTTTGCAGCTCATTTTATTAGCCAAGTGCTGAATGACATGGGTCGCAGCAGATGAGTGAGCTGGGAAAGGAAATATTCAACTTCCCTTAGGAAGACACTCACAGAGAAGGTGAGAGTTTGGTGCAGGTCCCAGGGAGATGCTCTTTCCTGTGTATCCAGTGCCTGACCAAGGTCCCATTCTTACTGGGTGCTCATCTTTGATTTGTTGAATTATTGCCAAAATGTGACCTGGCTGTGTGGTGGGAGAGAGAACAGGAAAGCAAGGAGGCCTAGGACAGATGCTCTGAATTTTAATTACATCCCTTATACACCTGAAGATACTAAAATAGCCAGCTGGAGCCCATTTCTTACCAGGTGCAGCCAATGGCTGTCCATCTGGGGCTTTCTATTTTGTTGAGTTGGCCTCCACTGAATCAAATTCTTTGAAGGACTCTGCTGATGCCAGCGTTGGTGCTTCCATTTTAAAGTGCTGCGTGAAGAAAGATTTGGACTTCATTGCCTCCTTTTCTTGGTGGCTGAATTGAGCCAGTTCCCACCTTCCCCGGACCACATCCCTACACCATCCGTGGGAGAAAATTTAGGAAAAGTTGAGTCTCTGCAAATGGCTTTAGGGGAGGGAGGGGGAGGATTCAGTAAGACCGGGCTGGTGGCCGACCTCGGAAAGCCAAGACTAATTCTGCAGTCCAGTCACTCCGTCAAACATTTAGTGTATCCGGGTGATTGTTCCCTGGTAGGCTGAGATGGTCTATCTGCTGGGCCTTTTGTCATGTTAACTGCAGCCGATCAATGGATTGAGGTCAGGACTTCTGATGTAGGTGCAAGCTTAGAGGGAAAAAAAGTCTCAAAGATTCATTTTTTCTCGTCTGGTAACACTCCGGTCACTTATTTTTTCTCAGTTAGCCTCTGCCGCTCTAAAGTGGATATTGATCAGTGCTTTAATGCAAACCTGTCAAATTAATTTTGCAGACCTGGGATATGACTGGCCTAAAATTGCTTCTGCATCTGTTCTCTGCAGCAAGCCTATGAATTTTAATCACGGCCAGAATGGGTTGGTGGCTTTTTTTGTTAGAAACTTGAATAGGAAAGGTTTAAACTGTAAATGCCAGGGAATGATGCTGTTTTGTTCTTTTCAGAAACTCATGTGGTGGAGGTCAAAGAAATTATTATGTCGGGTGTATTCTTGGCAGATGCTGTGGGAAGCTTTGTGGGCTGGCTTTCTCCAGAGCTGCTCCCGGGTAGCAGTGGTGACTCCGTAAACACATGCAGTTGCAGAGCCACAGCTCTGGGGGGCTGGCGGGCACTGGGATGCCTGCATAGTTTGCCACCCCAGCCTGTGGCGCTATCCCTGCCTTCTGTTTTTTGTTACCCAAGACAGCTTTACCTCCTGGGGGTGAAGGAGGCTTAGATTTCACTTTGTCTTGAAGATTTAGGTTCCAGACCTGGCTCTGCCTCACCCTCCCATGTACTGTGGGTAAGGTGGATGTCTTTTTGAGACTCAGGTAATCATAGAAAATATTTAATGTCAAGAAATATCCTAAGGCCAGGCTTCTCCAGACAGGGCCATGCTATGTCAGCTCCCTACGCCCAGGAGTCCTGCAAGGGCAGGGTGGTCCTTAGCCACTGCCAATGGAATTCTCACTGTGTCCCCTGCAGCTGCTGTCCTGAGTCCTTGTGGGAGGCTCCCCACCCCTCCACACCTCAGATCCTGGGCATGGAGACAGAGCTGACACCCCCACTGTCATGCCCACTTCTGGCCACCACTACCACTGCCACCAGAGTGTCTTCCTGCTGCTTGCACTCCCTGGGCACTTTCCCCAACTGGACTACTGCGGCCAGATGGCCCTTTTGCAGGGAAAGGTGTTCCTGGCATCCCCACTTCTCTGGAGAGGGTGGCACATCTGCCCCAGCCACCCAGGGGCTCTGTCCCTCCCTTCTGATGGCAGCTCCCCTCCCCACAGACAGTCATGGCAAGTTCACTCGGCACAGAATCAACCAACTACAACCCTAACCGTATTTGCCCTTCACTGCACATCATCATCATGTATGTATTGAGTAGCTGTTATGTGCCAAGATCTGTTCTCAGTGCTTTTCATACATTACCTAACTTAATGCTCACAAAAAAAGATGCGAGGGACTTGCTGTTATCACCCCTGTTACTGGGAAGGCGACTGAGGCACACAGGTGAGATGATCTCACCCAACTTGCACAGTTCACTCGTGGCAATGCTAGGCTTGAACTCAGGCCACCTGGCTCTAGCACCCACCTTGTGATCTGCACTGTCTGTCTATCTGCCATGTGCAGGGAAGCACACGATGCGGTGTCACCTTATCTGGGTACGTGATTGTTGTATCTGTGTTATTTTTACTTCCCCAATAAAACTCCAAACTTGAGGATGTCAACCCTCCTATTAATACTCAAATAGATAAATGAAGGTGAAGAACCACATGATCACAGAGAACAGGCCAGGGAAGTGTTTGGGGACAGCCTTGAAGGCAACTCTGATGAATTCAGCTTTACAAAGTAAGGGGGCGAGATGGGTGAGGGATAGAAAAGAGAGAAGTGAGAAAAAGGGGAGACAGGAGAAGGGGAAGGGGAAGGGGAAGAGGAAGGGGAAGGAGAAAGGGGAAGGGGAAGGGAAGGGAAGGGAATAATTTCATTTCACATGGGTGTATCTTGTCTCTCCAACTGTAAGGTCCCAGCAGTGGGAGGTTGGGAGGTGAACCCCCTCTTTCCTCTGGGAGTAACGAGCTGGAGGGGCTGGAAGACATGGAACTCAGAGCCAGCTGACACTCCCAGGTCAGAGAAATGGGCAGTGAGAGACCCCTCAGGAGCCCATGGGAACTCACATGAGGGCCCACGAGAGAGCAGCATCTGGAAGGTTGTGGCTGAGGCATTATCGGCCTGCCAGGGGTCAACAGAGAAACAGCAGAGCCAACAGAGAGAGGACTCCCCAGCACCTGTAGTACCCAAGGGACACTTGTCTCCCTCCCTGGGACCTTCCTGGAGGAGCTGGACACTGAGGAGGGAAGGGATCTGGGTTGTCTCAGAGCCTGGCCAGCCTCCTCCCCAATCCCATACCCCTATCATCCTTGCCCCAGACAACCCTCAAGAGAGTTGGGGACCCTCTCAGACTGCACTGGGGAGAAGCAAACAGATGCTGTTCAAACTGAACTTGAAGTTATACTTTGAACTGAACAGGATTGTCCTCACTGAAAGTGATCAGAAAGTTGTGGAATTTAAGTTGTCATTGAAGCATGGAGGTAGGAGACTGAGCATAGTAGGTTTGTAATCATGCTCCCTCCTTTTCAGTGAGCACAGCCACTCCCCAGCCCAGAAACAGAGCTCCCTGTCTCATATATGGGTTTTAAATCTGAGAAAGGATCCTGATTGCACAGGTTTGGGTCAATCTTCAGTCCCTCCCTGTGAACTGGCCACTGTGGGGGAAGTTCTGTAGGTAGAGAAGCTCAGTCCATCCCCAGAGGGCCGGGGAGTGGGGTATGGGAAGGGGTTCTCTTATTAGAGAAGACAGCAGCAGGGAGCTTGGGGGTAGTTACCTGCATGGAGGGAGTCAATCCCAGTGTGAGTGTTTTGTGGCTGTGCACAGCTTTGTGCTGAGTTCCTCCATTCATCTGAAAGGAGTCAATGCCTCTCCTGCCAGAATGGGGTCTCCAATCCTACCTCATCGCCTCTCATATGTGAGTTGGGTCTCCCATGTGTGAGAACAGGCTCCTGTGAGGCCCCTGCCTCCTTCTCTAGCATCCTCCTCTACGCCAAACAGAAAGCCAAGGAGGTGGGAGGTGCTCAGTGAATGCCTCGTGAATGAGTGTCTGCCTGAGTGAATGAATGACTCTGTGAATGAAAGGAAAGGAAATGAAGAGCAATTAGACACACACATACCCAGAGCTCACCTAACCACACAGCTTCCTGCCCTCCACTCATCTGCTAAAAGCTTTGTGCCCATAATATCAGGTTTGGGCTCCTCAGTCCCTGAGGGGAGGGCAAGAGGCTGCTGCTCTGTGGTCTGCAGGAGAAGGCACCAGGCTAGGGACCAGGGGAGTTGTCCTGCTGTTAATTACTTGTGTGACCTTGGGCAAGCCACTTAACCTGCCTTTGCTTCAGTTTCATCGTCCATCAAATGGGGCTAATGCTCTCTGTGTGTTTACCCCACAACAGGCATGAGGAAAACAGACAAGATGGCAAAGTTAACAGCACTTAGACAAATCTAAAAGAAAAACAGTGAGGGAGAAGGAAGGCATTCTTATGACCCTGGGCCTCCCTCGGGGGTGCATTTGATTACACAGCTGGATGTTAGCGTGGTGTGTGGGGAAGGCAGGAAGGCCCTCCACACCGAGAAGCTCGCACTTTCAGAGAAAATCCCCCAATATCCAGATGGGGTCCTGTCGTGTGCCCAGCCCTGAGAGGGGAGAATTTAAAAATGAAAGAATCCCGCCTGCCCTTAAGAAAAGATACACACCTGTAAACAATTGGATCTGCAAAAAGGGTTCAGTCATGTGTCACAGAAAATCAGTCAGTCCATAGATATTTGTTGAGCAACTACTATGTACTGGGTGCTGTTCTAGAAGTTCAGGATAGGAGGCGGACAGAGTCCTGCCCAAAGAGCTACACACCAGGGAGTGAATGAACAATAAACAAGCAGGCAGTAAATGAATGGGATGGCATCAGAGCCTGGTAAATGCTGTTTTAAAAAAATGAATAGGGTAACGCCATAAAGAGCAGCTGCGGTGGAGTAGGAGGCTGCTTTAGTGGAATGATCACAGAAAGGGTCTGGAAGGTGATGACATTAGAGCCGAGGCACACAGATGACAGCCAGAGGGCAGCGGAGGGAGGGCCCGGAAACGGGCAGGGTACCGCAAGCACAGGGAACACAGGATAAGGTGGGCTGGGCCTGGCAACATCCACCTTTACTGGCTATGAGGAGGAGGGCAAGGCAGTGGGAACCCACTGGAGGCTTAAGTAGGGGTGGACATGATCTGAGAGAGAGAGAGTGACCAAGCAAATGTGGCACAGTGTTGATGATGGATGGATATGGGTGATGAAGGCGTGACAATTCTCGTATTTTTCTTGCAGGTTTTCTACTTGGTTGAAATTATTTCAAAATAAGAAGATGAAAAACAAAAGACCACTTAGGCTTCTGGTGGACAGCTGATTGCAGGGATTGGGGGAGGAAGGACGCCTGAGGAGGCTCTTGCAGGAGTCTAGGTGACTTGGACTAGGGGGAAGATGGAAGAGAGAGGTCATTTCCAGGTCATATTTAAGGAAGTTGTGTTTGTTTTGTATTGCTCCTATAACAAGTTACCACAAACATGGTGGTTATCAAAAACACAAATTTGTCATCTTATAGTTCTGTAGGCTAGAAATCCAACACAAGTGTCACTGGGCTAAAATCACGATGTCGAGCTGTGCTCCTTTCTGGGGGCCCCAGGAGAGAATCCATTTTCTTGCCTCTCCAGCTTCCAGAGGCTTCTTTCCAGCTCTTGCACAGAACCTCCTGCTTACAGAACCAGAAAGGGTATTGAATCCTTCTCATGCTGTCATCTCTGTCTGACCACAGCCTAGAAAAGTCCTTGCTTTTAAGGACTTATGTGATTGCATCGGGCCCACCCAAGTAATCCAGAATAATCTTTCCATCTCAAGATACACAAATCTTAATCACATCTACAGAGACCCTTTTGCCATGTAAAGGAACATATTCACAGGTTCATGGAGATCAAAGCGTGGACATCTTTGGGGGCCACAATTCTGCCTATGAAAAGGTGGAACCATTAGAGTGAATTGGACTGGATTTGGGTGTGAGGGAAAGAAATGAACCAAGGATGACTGCAGGGTTTCTCACCTGAGCCACTGAGTGAAGGATGGAGCCATTGCTCCAGAGAGCAAGCCCTTTAGGAGGAGTGGGCTGGTGAGGTGGGGAGAGCCAGGGAATCAATTGCTCTGCTGGAAGTGTGCTAAGTTTGGGCTGGCACAGGGCAGAGTAATTGGGGGGGGCCTCATGCTGGTGCCAAAGGGAAGAGAGGAGCATAAGCAAAGATGGGGCCTGAGAGTGGCACTCATGGGGGTCACCATGCATACCTCCTCAGTACATAAGCAAGTACTGAGCCCCTGATAGTCACTGGGCCTGAAGATACAAATACCTTCATAAATAAAAGATGTTCCAGAAGGAAATGGAAGGCCAGACGCAGACATGGTTGGACAGACAGGTTGGGGTCTGGTTTACAAGGCCTTGGGTGCTAGGTCATCAGGTGTGGGCATGAGGCAGGAACAAGGGGCGGCCCCTGTAGGGCCTTAAGGAGACAAATGGCACAACACAGGAAAAAAGACATGACAACATATGCAGTCTCTAAACAGGCACCAAACTGGCTGAGTGTGGGCACATGCAGACAAGCTGGAGACATGGGGCAAGGCTGCTCTAGCCCAGCCAGGGAATCCTGGCTTGGGCCTGTCCCTTCCTGCCTCTCCTGGCTTGAAGGGATGTTCGTGGCACTGCAGGGTGGGGGATGTGTGGAAGGAAAGGGAGAGGCATCTCTTCCTCTTTCTGAACTGCCACTCTTAAATCAAACAATTCAATCCAGGTGGAAGAGGCTTGGCAGCTGGGAGGGAAGAAGAAGGAGAAGCAGACGATAAAAAAAAAAAAAAAAATCAATAACGCTTCCCCATAAAATAAATTGAGATTTGTGGAATTCACTTCCACTTGACATCGAAGATGCCGATTTGGTGAATTCGTTTAAGGCCAAATTGAAAACGTATCATTTTAATCCGGGTCCCCAGGCTGCCCCAGGCTCCATGGCAAGAGCCCTGGGGACTGAGTTTACTGCAGCTCCCGATGCTCATTTGGGGCAGATTGATCTCCATGGCTTTGGAGAAGCAGTGCTGTGGGTGGCAGGAGAGGTGGGTAGTTCCCCACCCCCTCCTCAGGCCAAGGTCCCTCCAGCTAGGATGCCGCCAGGAACCACTGATGTTGCCATGCTTGGCTGCCTGAGAAGTGGCTTTAAGAGGCAGACACAACGCTGGCTAGTCAGAACCTCAGGCATCATGCAGCTCTTTCCACCCCACCAGGCCTTCCTGTTTCCTCCTGTAACCTAGTGTGCAATAAACTACAAGATATGTCATAGAGTGGATCCACTGTGGTTCTGGATCCCCTGTCCCTAGGGCATGAGTATGACGTGAATGGTGGTGTGGAAGGTGAGGGAAGAGGGCCGCTAAATATTAAGAAAACAAGGCAAACACATGACAAATGAGCACCCCGAGGGTTTCCTTGGCCTGGGCTTCAAAGAAAAGAGGACAGCTCTAAAAAGCATTGGGTGAGGCTCTGGAACACATCTTCACTAAAGTTAAGATCCAGTATGAGGGGCTTCCCTCGTCCGAGATGTGGACACAAGGGCAGGAGAGTCTCCAGGCTGGCGGGTTAAGATGATGCCAGCCCTAGACTTTGAAGAAGCCATTTCTAACTAGACAGGAATGGCCAGGCTTGGGGTGGTGTGGCTAGGACAGCTCAGAAGTGTGGGCAGACAGTGTGGTCCAAAGTGCAGAGTGCTGGTCACCAATAAATATCCTAGGTGAGCATGTCCGGGCTGCACGAATTCGAGCAACTGAACCTCTCTGTGCCTCTGAGTTCTTATCTATAAAATGTAGGGGTGGGGGGTGGGCACGGTGGCTTACACCTGTAATCCCAGCACTTTGGGAGGCCGATGGGGGAGGATTGCTTGAGCCCAGGAGTTTAAGACCAGCCTGGGAAACATGGCAAAACCCTGTCTCTACAAAAACATATATGTATTAATAATAAAAATAATAATATAAAGTGAAAAAGGGTAATAATGGCCTTACCACAGAGGATTACCTCGGACCCTTCTTTTTTTTGGACAGAGTCTCACTCCGTCACCTAGGCTGGAGTGCTGTGGCACAATCTTGTCTCACTGCAACCTCTGCCTCTTGGATTCAAGCTATTCTCCTGCCTCAGCCTCTCGAGTAGCTGGGACTACAGGCATGCACCGCCACACGAGGCTGATTTTTGTATATTTAGTAGACATGGGGTTTCACTATGTTGGCCAGGTTGGTCTCGATCTCCTGACCTCAAGTAATCCACCCACCTCCCTTCCCAAAGTGCTGGGATTACAGGCGTGAGCCACCATGCCCAGCCTACCTAGGACCCTTCTATGAGAAAACATAAAGTACTCAGAATCATGCTTGGCAGATTGCTGACACTCCATAAATGTTACTATTTTGATGATTACAGTGACCAGTGGGGGGCCTTTGGTCACACCATTGAGCCCTTACCCAGTGTCCGCTCTGTAAAGTGAATGAGTGGAAAGAGATGCTCTCTGTGGTCCACAGCCTGGGCTTGCCTGAGTCTTTGCTTCTGTGGATCCTTCTTCTCACCCATCTGACTGCACAGCCAAGCAAGGGCTGTTCACCCCAGGGCTTCTAGTCTCAGCAGTTTCCAGCCCTAAACCCTTGGAAGCTTGGACAGAGACATTTGAGCATTTGCAAGAGCCCCAAGAAAGTCAGCCCAGAGGGAGGCCCAGGAAAGGTGGCAAGGACTAAAGCAAGACTAAATCCATGGTCAAATCCATCCCAGAGCCAACTTGGACTTGCTGCGACCAGGCTTTGGGCTTCAGGACTTGAGCTTGATTTGACCTCCTCAAATTGAATGCTCACTTTAGCCTAGATTTGCAAAGCAATTTGTTAATGCTTCTGTGCAGGGGCTGTTATCTCTAGGGTTTTAAAGAAAAAACTCATTTCAATGTAAAATTCATAGCACCAAATTGAAATGTATTCTGAGCAGAGTAAGCGGTTCAGAATTTCCAGACCCTGGCGATCAGCAGCACGTCACATTGTAATTACACCTTTCTTTGTGCGTCAGCTGCAGGCCTGGCGAGGAAAATAGAAGATAATGCTGCCACTTTTCAGCAGAGAAAGAACTTTTGTGACTGTTCCCTTTCAGAGAGAGCTCTCCCAAGATGACAGGAGAGAGGGACACCTGAATCAATCTATCAAGGGGAACAAAACCATTCGTATCTTTAGCCTCCCTAGCCAAGACAGATTCTGCTCAACAGTTGCTGGAGTTTGGCTCTTATTTCTTCACATGCATTAGGCAAAAAAATAATAATAAAGCATCTTCTTTCTGGCACATCTTGGTTCGTTTTGCTCAAACAGGATCCCTAGCATCTCCTTCCTCAATACACACATGCACACACACACATGCATGTACACATACAAGCACATGTACACATCACACATGTGGACACAAAACACTGCTCACACACATATATGCATGTATGCATTCATACTTATACACGTCACACACAAACATACATGAGCACTATACACACACACATTTCATAAGCTTAGTGACAGATATACACACACTTCTCTCCATTAAAAACAATACTAGCAGACCCATAATTGGATCATACTTCTAAAAATAGAGAAATCTGGATAAGGCCTGGTTTAGATGATACTAGGGAATTCTTGTTAATTTTCTTAGGCATAATGATGATCTCACGATTAAGTAGGAGAATGTCTTCATTCTCAGGAGATATAGGTTGAAGCTATATAGTGTCAACATATCTGCAACTTGTTTTCAAATGATTACCAGAAAGAGAGAGAGGAAGTAAATATGGTAACCTGTTAACAGTTGTTGGAACTGGGTATCTGGGTGTAGGGCAGAGGCGTATTCTTTGTATTATTCTTTCAATAGTTTGTGTGTTTGAAATTTTTGTCCTAATTAGAAATTAAGCAAATCAAAATCAGTGAGAACATTTCCAAATTGTATGCAGTTGTCAATTTCTTTGAAATCTTCCCTTTGTATCCCTTCTGTGTATGCTAATTGTACAAGGACTTCAAATTTTGATAACCCCCACACTGATCTAATTTTGCAAGCAAGCATTAGGGTTTTTTATAGTGTCTGGAAAACAGAGAAGCTCTGAAAGGGCAGGAAAGAAGGAGAGCAAAAGGTTTTCTTAGGTCAGGTGAAAATTTGCAACTCTCTTACTTTAATCTTGGTTAATCAGGTCTTTAGTCTTTAATAATATTTACTGTAGGGGTCATAGCTCTAATCACTTAAACTAATGAGCTTCTCTAATTAATATTAGTAGATTACCAATTAGATCTGTAGAGTTACCTACAAACTCAACTTTGTAGGTAAAAGGAAGGTCCATGAATGTCACTTGGCAGTTGAGGCAAAGATGGTATGTGGGCTAATTTTCAGGTAATTGGAAGCTGTGGGCCTTTTGCCTTCTATTTAGAAGCAACTGTCAGCTACAGTTTATGGGAAAAAAATTTAAATCCACACAACGAAATTGCCACTTGCTTCCTCATTAGAATCCTCATGATAATGCATCTCCACTCCCTTCTCAGCCCTTAACAACAATAACAGCTAACAATTACAGAGGGCTGTCCACATGCCAGCATGAATAACTTATTTAACCCTATGGAATATTTACAATTATTATCCCCACTTCACAGGTGAGAGAACTGAGGCAAGGTGAGCAGCAGAAAGCGAAGACAGGCCGTGTGTCCAGGCAGTCTGACCCCAGAGTCTGTGCTTTTAAGGATTCTGATAAACCACCAGTACCCATCACACTCAATGCCCCTGCCAAAGATGTCCCTCTGAGGCTAGCCACATCCCTCCAGCAGGCCCCCAAGGACATATTTTTGGTCACGGCATCTTGAAACATTTTCTGGACCTGATCTTTCTACAGTAATGCCTCCATTAACTGAGTGAGAAACTATGCCAATAATACCTTGCTTTGTCTGAACCTCTGGGTTAAAATAACGGCTGCTTGTTGCCTGGCAGCCAGGCCTTTCTCCACTGGTCCTGATCATCATTCAGGTTTCTCCTGTTTGCCCCCACCCAATGCACACCTGTGCTACAGCCACAGCAGCTTCTGTTTCTGTGCAAAGCAGCTCCCCACAGGGTTATTCGTGCTATTTCCTCCACTTAGAAGAAATGTCCTATTCCCTGCCCCCAAAAAGAAGTCAGAACATGTGCTCTCGGACAGGTCAAATCAGATCACCTCCCCTACTGACCCTGGCAGGGAGAATTCCATGTTCCTGCTCTGTGGGTTGGTGGAACAGCATTGCTGGTACTTTCCAGCATTTCATCCATACTCCCTGCCTTCTCTGGGCACATGTCTATTTTGTTCAGGTGGTCACTCCTCCCCCTTGGGACTTAGAGGTAAGTCTTGGTTGGTCTAAGCTAGTTCTGCTTATTACATTCTCTTCAGTTAGAAGCTGGTTCAGGGATGCATGCAGGACCCTACATGCCCATATCAGGCCAACAAGCCACGCTTGGGGACTTCTGAAGCAGGTTTCCTCACTGATAAACAGAGGCCCCACCTGGCAGGCAGTGATGTGCCTGCTTCTTTCCTGGACTTTGCTGGGAAGTGATGCCTGGAGCTGCTGTAGCCTTGAGGATCATCAAAACCCTGGCACATGGGTGGGGGGCAGGGGGCCAAGAAAAAGCACAAAAGTGGGTTCACACTGTGCCTGGAGCTGCCTGGCCTCAGGACTTCCCATTATGGGAGATTATAAATCCCCACTTTGAGTTACGTTTACTGTTACTTGCAACCAAAAGCACCCTGATCGATAAGATCCACATCACTTAGTACTTTGCAGTTTGGATTACAGGCAGCTGTGTAGGGTCCCTCTTCCTGCTTTTGTTCTGTTTAGGCTAGTTTTGTTCCCTGAGGACAGATATCTTGTTTTATTCATCCTGTACTTTTCACATCCAGGTCAGTGACTGACTAATACATAGTAAAAAGTAATTTGTTAACCAGGATGTTGATGGATCCCAGTGTTTCCTGGGGAGCTTCCTCTTAGAAATTATCCAAAGGGATTTATCCATCTCATATTCTTTCTGGAATAAGATAGGGTATAAATATGCAAGTGGGATGGAAGGAAGGAAAGAAGGAAGGAAGGGAGGTAGGCAGGAAGGAAGGAAGGGAGGGAGGGAGTGAGGGAGGGTTAAATGTGTTTATTAAGAATATTGTTACTTCTAGAAAGGGTTTCTGTGACAACCTCCATGGGAGAGGCCCCATCTCCAAGGGCAGTGTGAGATTAAGGTGTGGGAATAGTTATGTTTTTCAACCTTTTCTTCATCCATCTCTCCTTTGATACTTTAACATTCTCCTGTGTCCTCCAGAGAATTTTATAAGATCCCTGGGGGAGAAGGGCATCTTCTCTGGGAATTTCTGTCTTCAACAATTTCCCATCATTCAGAAAGATTTTTCTCAAGCATTAATTTCTGTAGTTTACATTTTTAGAAATTAGGTTTTAGCCGGGCGTGATGGCTCATGCCTGTAATCCCAACACTTTGGGAGGCCAAGGCAGGTGGATCACTTGAGGTCAGGAGTTTGAGACCAGCCTGACCAACACGGAGGAACACCATTTCTACTAAAAATACAAAAATTAGCCAGTCATGGTGGCAGGCTCCTGTAATCCCAGCTACTCAGGAGGCTGAGGCAGTGGAATCACTTGAACCGGGGGGACAGAGGTTGCAGTGAACCGAGATCATGCCACTTCACTCCAGCCTGGGCAAAAGAGCAAAACTCTGTCTCAAAAAAAAAAAAAAAAAAACGAAAAGAAAAGAAAAAGAAAAGATATTAGGTTTTAATAATATCCCCCAAATAAAATAAAATTATTTATTTTATTTATGGTTGTTTTCAAACATATATGTTTTATTTTATTTATGGTTATTTTATTTATGGTTGTTTTCAAACCTTTTCCCCCATCCCCAAGCCCCT
Source organism: Homo sapiens (assembly GCF_000001405.40). Classification (NCBI taxonomy): domain Eukaryota; kingdom Metazoa; phylum Chordata; class Mammalia; order Primates; family Hominidae; genus Homo; species Homo sapiens. Next base: position 47,549,441 of record NC_000018.10, on the reverse strand, counting down.
AGAGATTCTAACATGGCCCTCCACCTGGAGACCACTAGTCCAAAGCCCCATATGGTCACATGCAAAGACCAGGCAAGGGCAAACCCCTGGCACTGGGCTTGTGTTGCTACATCAGCACTTGACTTAATTGCATACTTTGTTAACTGGTGATTATAAATAGTGAAACACCACACTGTGCCTGCCTTTTTTTTTTAATCTTTGGGGCCAAGGTTAATTGTGTTTGCGAGTTGTTTCAATGCCCTTTGATAGTTGAGAGGTGTTCATAATGGCCTCAGCCCTTAATTAAATGAACCAAATGTTAGGATAGAGAACTAAAACTTCACAGCAGCTTTACAGTCTGCCAAAAGCTGAGTGTCTCGCCAGTTCACAAATTATATGGAAGGTTTCTCTCAGGCAGGAAATATGGTTGGGCAAAGCTGGGAAACAGGAAGACAAAAAAGCCCAGGCCAAGAGCTCAGACAGAGGTGTACCTGCAGGGCAGAGGCAAACCCCAGATGGCCAGTAGTTCTCCAAACAGATCACTGTCCTTGCCATGGGGCACAGTTCAGAACTTTGTGGAGTCCTGTTTCTAGCCTCTCCTCTTTCAATCCACCCTGCTAGTTGGCAGACCCTCCAAAAATACTGTTCACTACATCACTCCCTGCTTAGAAATCTTTAGTTCACCATTCTACAAAAATTGACTGGACACTTTCTGCTAAATACACCCAGCACTGTGCAAGGTGCTTTGGGGATGCAAAGATGAAAAGCTAGTGTTTTCCCCTTGAAGGGGGAGATGAGGCATGAACGGTAACAGCATGTATGTATGCTCTGCTGTACAGCACCAGTGTACTTGGCTGTCATCATCAGAGATATACCCTAATGCACCGTAATGCATGCACACATAGAAAAGATACAAAGTACCATAACGGAGGCCCCACATTTGCCAGGAGAGATAAGAAAAAGGAGCCTCACTGTGCCTCAGTTTCTATATCTGCAAAATGAAGATAATGTTAGAATCCTCCTCAAAGAGCTATAGGGATGATTATATTAAGTGAATTAATACCTGTAAAGTGCTTTGGATGATGCCTGGAACTTAGGAAGTGCTATAGAAATTTTTGCTACTATTATTACTATTTACAGCTAACACAAAAAGTAGGGTGGGGTTTGTGGCCAAGTAGGTGTTTAAAAAAAACTAAAAAAAACTAATAGAAGTCATGAGGCTGAGACTGTCCCAATGCTAGGTAAGCAAAACAAAGCCCAACTCAGTGTAAACAGTAAAACAAAACTTAAGCTTAACCAATCAGAAACCACCAAAATAACCTCTAACTAGAAGCTTTCCACTTTAACCTATTGAATGTATTTTCTTTCTCTTGCTTCTGTGAACACCTTATAAAAGTTTCCCTTCCTGTCCCCCAGGTGAAGCCCAATCACTTGGAGTCCAGTGCTGCCCAATTCATGAATCACTGTCTGCTCAAATAAACTCATTACAATTTCAGTGTGCCTAAGTTTATCTTTTAACATAGGGAATAAGAAACCTAACAGAGTGTTTGGACACTTTAACCCGGTCTTCAATGTCCAGATCTCTGAGTTCACCCTTCTTGGTCACCACTTCCAGGTTGGGACCTGGTCACAGCCAACGAGGTTCATCTCCACCTTGCCCTCTAAACCCGCCAGGTGCACTCCCTTTTCTGCTCACGCTTTCACCTCTTCAGGTTACACATCCAAAACACACAGACAGTGCGGGTCTCCCAGGGCTAGAAGTTCTGGAGTGGCTGCACTCTGCCCACATGATGTGGAAGTGCATATATCACACCATGGGCATCTGGGGCCGGAAGTTCCCATTCCCCTGAATTAGTTCAGTGTCCAGATCATCTCATCTTCCCAAGGAGCTGCCCTTAGGAGGCTATGCATATAACCAGATGAGGGACACCGTTCCTTTTTCAATGTGCAGATGCCTATACAGGACATATTCTAAAATAACAGCCCACCTTACCAGGCATCCAGGTATGCAGCAGCTACACTGGAGGTGTAGAGAGACAGAGGCAGGTTGCATGTGGCAAACTTTTTTTTTTGAGACAGTCTCACTCCAGTTGCCCAGGCTACAGTGCAGCGGTGTGATCTCAGCTCACTGCAGCCTTGACTTCCTAGGCTCAGGTGATTCTCCCATCTCAGCCTCCCGAGTAGCTGGAACTATAGACCATCTTGCATCTAATTCCCCATTCTTCACCACACCTCCAGGAGGAGTAGTCACTGGCCACTTCAAGATTCTGGCCCCTCTCCCTACACTCTCCTCCTCCCTCCATGTTGCCCTCCAAATTCCTCTCCCTCTAGTATTCCTATTTCTCTAGGTCCTAGTCCCAAACCTAGTTTGCACGTCCAAATGCATTAAGACACTTAGTGAAACCAAAGGACTTTTCCTTAAGCAGGTTCCATTCTCCTTGGGAGGCAATGATGGCCATGAATAGCAATACTGTCCTCCTTTATGCATTTGAATCTCTTCCTCCTTCAAGGTGAATCCTCAGGCTACTTGAGGTGGCAGGTGGGCATCATTCCCTTAGTCTCCCCAGTTGCCCCTTTACTCAGGGACCACCCCTTCCTTCAGTCTGAATTTGAGGGGTCTGTTAAGTTGTCCTGACTCAGTAGGAAGGCCCTGACCCAGCCCGCCCCAGCACACCCCAGCACATGACTCACAGCCTCTCCTGTCCAGTTGGCAAGAGCTTTCTCTTCCGTTGCCGACTTCTTTTCACCCTTCCTCTCTCCATCATTCATTCTCACAGCTGGACCCCTGTCCTGGGCATTCACCTGTGCTTTAATCTAACTCTGTGGATGCGAGTGACCCTTGTCCCTCCTGGTTGGCCATGTGCTCCTCTGGTACCTCTGATGAGAGGTGTGACCTACACCTGGCCAATCCAATGCCTGCCTCTTCCAGCCAAGATTTGGGCTCTAGAGGGGCTAAACCATGGGTCGTTCTCAGTGGCTGTGGCAGAGCCAAGGTTTCGGTAGAGGGTGGTGATGACCATACTGGTCACAGGGTTCCAAGCAGACTGTCCTGCTGGCTTGATCTTTACTGAGCTGTGCCACCTTTTGTTCCCTAACCATTTCTTCCCCCACCCCCACCCCGAACCTTTTGAGCTACCTGTTGTCTTTCCAGAAAATTCTTTTCTCCTTTAGTCAATCAGAGTTTTTGCAGGAAAGAACCCAGACTTTCTCACTGCCGGCAGCCAACAGATGCCCCGTAAACACTGGGGGCTGGCCACAGGGCTGTCTGACTTAAGGCAAGTAGAGCTGCCAGGATCAGGCTTTTTCATTGATCCCTGTGTGCAGGCCTGGCCCAGAAGAGGGGCCCTGTCGTCTCACAGTGGATGAATATTAAGTAGGACTAGGCAGGCCCATTACCAAAGAGATCTCTTTAGGCGTAAACAACCTTAAGCTGACTTTGAAATAAAGATAGTGATGCCTGTTTAAGGGTAAAGGACTGCGCCAGGTGCATTTCTCAACACTAGTATCTAGGAATTGATGCTATGACCAGAGAAGAAGGGCTATTTCCTCACCAAGAGGACTAAACCTGAGCATGTAAGGAAGCTCCTCTGTGCCACCTGCTGTACTCCTTGCTCTTCCCATAGACACCCGACTTCACCTTGCTCCCTCCACTGGTAACACCACCTCTTTACATCCAACTCGCACTCAGCCATCAAGCCCAGCTCAAATACCACCTCTGCCAGGCAGCCATCCCTAATCAGCTCCACCCCATCTCAATCTCCCTCCTTGGTCCTTTACTCAAATCGCTTGGGTGGGTGGGCAAGAGTTACATAAGTGCATGGCTTCCTTCTTCTACCGTCAGCTCCTCGAGGGCAGAGTCTCTCCTCGGATTCCTCTGTGTACCACCAGTTCTCAGTGCAGGGAATAGGTGCTCAGTGAGAATCAATGAATGAATGAACTCTTGTCATCCAAATGAATGTATATGAATGCAGCATCTCTCTCAGGGTACACCTAGATTCTCCCACTGGGTTGTCAGCTTGGTGGAAGTAGACCTTTTCTGCTGGGATATGCTGCAGAGTAATCATTTGAAGAAGAGATAGACAATTGGTGATTAAACGCATACATCCTTTCTGATCTAGTGGATAAGAGTTAAAACTTTGGGCAGAATTGGCAGAGGATCAAATATTATTCAACATAAAGAACTTTGTGGCAATTAAACATGACTTACAATAGATCAGGCTTCCTTGTGATCTGTGTACTCCCTGTTTGGGGGATTCTTCCAGCAATGACTGTCAGGGATGCAGTGTTTCCCATATACGTGTCTTGTTTGTGGAGGACCTGCTCCAGAATTCTCCAGAAAACTTGTTTATAATACAGGTCTCCGAACACTACCCCCAGAAATCTGACTCAATAGGCAGAGGTGAGCCTGGAAACCTGAGTAGCTTGCACAATGCTCCCCAGCAGATTCCCTAGCACAGTCAAGTCTTGGAAGCCACATCTCGGGGGGTCTCCACCTGGAGTGGGATATGGGACCAGATGATGCCCAGGAATGCCTGCAGCTCAGAAGGAGTGTTCCTCCAGGTTGGATTAGGATACCATCCTGATTCCTGACCTTCCCTTCAGCTTTTAGTGTGTTTTGTCTTTGCGTTTTTTTTTTTTTCCAATAGGGTTATTTACCTACCTGTTGCTTTCTTTAGACAAATTCAGGAAGCATGATGCTATGGGCTAAATGTTTGTGTCTCCCCAAAATCCATATATTGAAGTCCTAACCCCTAGTGTGATGGTGTTTAGGAGATAGGGCCTTAGGGAGGTGGTGATTAAGTTTAGATGAGATCATGAGAGCTGAGCCCTGTGATGGAATCAGTGCTCTTTAAGAAAGATGCCAGAACACACACACACTCTCTCTCTCTCTCTCCCCTCCACCCCCAACATCTCTGCCATATGGGGAGACAGCAAGAATGGGGACATCTGCAAAGCAAGAAGAGGGCCCTCACCGGACACTGCATCTTGATCTTGGACTTCCAGTCTCCAGAACTGTGAGAAATAAATGTCTTGTTTAAGCCACCCAATCTATGATATTTTGTTATAGCAGCCCCAATTGACTGAGACACTTGCTCAGCACCAAAGAATACTCTCCAAGATGTCTTTGAGAGCAGGAGGCAATTGGCAACGATTCTGATAGAGTTACTCTAACTGTATTCAGAGAGCTTCATGATATCAGCAGCCTGGGCCATGAGGGGTCTCCCCACTCCTTCCTTCTTTAACAAGGTACTGCAGCATCACAGTCATTTGGGGCTCTTGGCCCTTGTAAATGGTCACATTCTGTTTCAAGTGACCTCATGATTGAATCTAAGAGACAAAGTGCAATGGGCACTGATGCACCTGCTGCAGCCTGTTGGACACTAACCTGTCTGATAAGTGGTTAAATGGCAATCAAATACATTTATGTGTACCCATCGTTTCACTGCAGACAAGTTGGTGTATGGCTGTCATTTGCACAGGACTATGCAGCAACTGATTTTACTCCTGAGGCCCAGGGCTCAGGAGAGGTTGTATGCAGGCAGGCAGGCAGGCAGGCTTGCTTAGGTCCGAGGCAGCCCAAACCAACTCCCACCCCTTCTTTCTCAAGTTTGAACTTTGAGAAGGAGACTTGAAACCTTGGAACACAAGTGAATTCTTGTTCTCTTTTCCTCCATATCTGGAAAGTTGGTTGAGGTAGGGGTGTGGTGGAAATGAACTTTCAATAGCTTGAATCAGGGTCAGCTCAGAGCAAAACCACAACACACAACAAATACAAAAACCTTGTCTTGACTTCTGTTCCACGTCCCTTCTCAGGGTCCCACTTTCCCCTAACTGTCTCTTCCCCCTCTCCTCTGCCCCAGTGCCACCCGCTGAGACCTTGCTCTCAGCTGCCAGATAAGCAGATCTCTGCTGATAGAATGTGCTGTGGTTTGCCCCCCATATGCTGAGATGCACAGCCAGCCACGAAAGAGCCCTCATGAAGAGTGGGCTCGAGACTCAGGGTTCCAGCTCTCCTGACACTCCTTAAGTCACCCTGGCTGGGTGGTCACAAGTACTCCCAACTCATGCAGTCCCTGGTATGGGCTTTGCCTGCTACAGAGTTGTTTTTTTCTTCTTCTGACAGTGCAATATTGCATATAATAACAATTACCAATGACCTCCAGTGGGTTGTCCAATCTCATTATTGCCGATGCATTTGGTACCTGCCACTGCCAATTTGCCTCAGCTGAGGTTTTATTCAGTGGGATATGATAGAGCTGTACAGCAATCTTTTTCCATTTAAATAGTTTAATTGAGGAAAGCTATCAGATGTTTCCAAATTTAATGTACACAACAATTTGCTTTTTCCTATCTCTTTTCAGAGTCGAGTTGGAAGAAAATGACATCTGATTCTTATAGAAGGAAAGCAATTACATTTTGGCGTCTGCCTTCCCCAGCTTGCATATGTTTTTAAACATAAAAAGAAATTCTTAATATGTAATTGTCAGGTAATAAAAAGGGAAAAATATTTTACTTTGTGTTTATGAAGTAATTTTTCAAAAGCATAAGGGAATTACATGTTAATGTTTTATGTTTATGATTGCACTCTAATACTGCACTGTTTCTTCAAGTTTGGAATCTTTTTTTCCCCTCTCCGAAGATAAGAGCTGAGATGATCAGGCCTAGCTTAAACCCTGCCTCCCTGCCAGAGCTGTGCTTCTGTACACAGAGCTTCCTTCTCAGAGCTCCCTCCTCATAGCTCCTGATCTCTGCACATGATTTAGCACTTGTATTCTACACTGAGTTATTACAATGTGAGACTGAATGGCCTTCCCGTCTACATTATAAGCTACTTGAGAATGAAGAGAATTCATTTTGCATTTGTATGTTCTCCACAATCCTCAGCAAAGGGCTGAGCTCAAAATAGTGGATGCTCAACAAACACTTGTTGAACAAATTTATTCACTGAATTGCCAAATAACTAATCATCGAAGAATGAGAATGCTGTTATTTTAACATCCAGTACATGATTTAGAAGAGTCCATTAAATGGAATGGGATGGAGGGATAGGTGGATGGGTGGGTAGGTGGATGGGTGGGTGGGTGGATAAACCCCACACAACTCATTTGAGATTGTGCTGATATTTTGACCAGTTGTATTAGATCTTATAGTTCCCCAAGCTTCTTCTTAGCTGCAAGACTTATTGACACCATGGATAATAAGATCATGGGTTTTAAAGCATTTTCCAGAAAGGATTGAGGGGTTACTCACAGAGTCATAGGGTATGAGGAGGGCCTGGGTCTTACTATCTCCGTTTCTCAGGAAAGAAATTGCTGGCCTCCAAGTTCATTACAGTATTTACTGAGATTTTATGATTACAAACTTCAACCCAACACTGCCCAGCAATTCTATTTCTCTTTAAGTACACTTACCTTCTCCTTTATATCCCATATAGCCCATATATTTATATCTCAAATATCCCATATCCCTTCTCAGCTGTTGAACTCATCTAATACGTGAAGGCGAAAAGCGAAGCAGGTGATGGGAATTCCCTCATCCTTCCTCCACCTAATCTTCAGTCTGACCTGCACCTGTGCCATCTTCTCTCTTTCCTCCTGTCTTCATGGAAGAACTGCCTCCCCCATTAAAGCTGTCACTCTTCTTGCACAGGCTGGAGAGCAGTGGTGCGATCTCGGCTCACTGCAACCTCCGCCTCCCAGGTTCAAGCGATTCTCCTGCCTCAACCGCCTGAGTAGCTGGGATTACAGGCATGTGCCACCACGCCTGGCTAATTTTGTATTTTTAGTAGAAACGGGGTTTCCCCATGTTGGTCAGGTTGTCTCAAACTCCTGAACTCAGGTGATCCACCCACCTTGGCCTCCCAAAGTGCTGGGATTACAGGCATGTGCCACCACTCCTGGCTAATTTTGTATTTTTAGTAGAAACGGGGTTTCCCCACGTTGGTCAGGCTGTCTCAAACTCCTGAACTCAGGTGATCCACCCACCTTGGCCTCCCAAAGTGCTGGGATTACAGGCATGAGCCACTGCGCCCGGCCAGAAAACACTGTTTTCTTAATGTTGCCTTCTTCTCCAGCCTCCACCTGATATTTCTGTTTTCTTTCCAGAAAAGCTTCTGAACTGTCTATGTGGACCATGGCCACTTCATTACCCCCTGTGTTTTCCACCGTGCACCCCAGTTGGCTTCTGTCCTCACATTGCCTTAAAATTGCTCTTGTTGAACATCGATGCAAAAATCCTCAATAAAATACTAGCAAACCGAATCCAGCAGCACATCAAAAAGCTTATCCACCACGATCAAGTCGGCTTCAACCCTGGGATGCAAGGCTGGTTCAACATAAGCAAATCAATAAATGTAATCCATCACATAAGCAGAACCAATGACAAAAACCACATGATTATCTCAATAGATACAGAAAAGAACTTTGACAAAATTCAACAGCCCTTCACGCTAAAAACTCTCAATAAACTAGGTATTGACGGAACGTATCTCAAAATAATAAGAGCTGTTTATGACAAACCCACAGCCAGTATCATACTGAATGGGCAAAAACTGGAAACATTCCCGTTGAAAACTGGCAAGACAGGGATGCCCTCTCTCACCACTCCTATTCAACATAGTGACGAAAGTTCTGGCCAGGGCAATCAGGCAAGAGAAATAAATAAAGGGTATTCAAGTAGGAAAAGAGGAAGTCAAATTGTCCCTGTTTGCAGATGACATGATTGTATATTTAGAAAACCCCATTGTCTCAGCCCAAAATCTCCTTAAGCTGATAAGCAACTTCAGCAAAGTCTCAGGATACAAAATGAATGTGCAAAAATCACAAGCATTCCTATACACCATTAACGGACAAACAGAGAGCCAAATTATGAGTGAACTCACATTCACAATTGTTACAAAGAGAATAAAATACCTAGGAATCCAACTTACAAGGGATGTGAAGGACCTCTTCAAGGAGAACTACAAACCGCTGCTCAAGGAAATAAAAGAGGACACAAACAAATGGAAGTATATTCCATGCTCATGGATAGGAAGAATCAATATCGTGAAAATGGCCGTGTTGCCCAAAGTAATTTATAGATTCAATGCCATCCCCATCAAGCTACCAATGACTTTCTTCACAGAATTGGAAAAAACTACTTTAAAGTTCGTATGGAACCAAAAAAGAGCCCGCACTGCCAAGATAATCCTAAGCAAAAAGAACAAAGCTGGAGGCATCACTCTACCTGACTTCAAACGATACTACAAGGCTACAGCAACCAAAACAACACGGTACTGGTACCAAAACAGAGAGATAGACCAATGGAACAGAACAGAGGCCTCAGAAATAACACCACACATCTACAACCAGCCAATCTTTGACAAACCTGACAAAAACAAGATATGGGGAAAGCATTCCTTATTTAATAAATTGTGCTGGGAAAACTGGCTAGCCATATGTAGAAAGCTGAAACTGGATCGCTTCCTTACACCTATACAAGAATTAATTCAAGCTGGATTAAAGACTTAAATGTTAGACCTAAAACCATAAAAACTCTAGAAGAAAACCTAGGCAATACCATTCAGGACATAGGCATGGGCAAGGACTTCATGACTAAAACACTAAAAGCAATGGAAACAAAAGCTGAAATAGACAAATGGGATCTAATTAAACTAAAGAGCTTCTGCACGGCAAAAGAAACTACCATCAGAGTGAACAGACAACCTACAAAATGGGAGAAAATTTTTGCAATCTACCCATCTGACAAAGGGCTAATATCTAGAATCTACAAAGAACTTAAATTTACAAGAAAAAAACAAACCCATCAAAAAGCTGGCAAAGGATATGAACAGACATTTCTCAAAAGAAGACTTCTATGCAGCCAACAGACACATGAAAAAATACTCATCATCTCTGGCCATTGGAGAAATGCAAATCAAAATCACAATGAGACACCACCTCATGCCAGTTAGAATGGCAATCATTAAAAAGTCAGGAAACAACAGATGCTGGAGAGGATGTGGAGAAATAGGAATGCTTTTACATTGTTTGTGGGAGTGTAAATTAGTTCAACCATTGTGGAAGACAGTGTGGCGATTCCTCAAGGATGTAGAACTAGAATTGCCATCTGACCCAGCAATCCCATTACTGGGTGTATACCCAAAGGATTATAAATCATGCTACTATAAAGACACATGCACACGTATGTTTATTGTGGCACTATTCACAATAGCAAAGACTTGGAACCAACCCAAATGTCCACCAATGATAGACTGGATTAAGAAACTGTGGCACATATACACTATGGAATACTATGCAGCCATAAAAAAGGATGAGTTCATGTCCTTTGCAGGGACATGGATGAAGCTGGAAACCATCATTCTCAGCAAACTATCACAAGGACAGAAAACCAAACAACGCATGTTCTCACTCATAGGTGGGAACTGAACAATGAGATCACTTGGACACGGGGCAGGGAACATCACACACTGTGGCCTGTCAGTGGGTAGGGGGCTGAGGGAGGGATAGCATTAGAAGAAACACCTAATGTGAATGATTAGTTGATGGGTGCAGCAAGCCAACATGGCACATGTATACCTATGTATCAAACCTATACATTGTGCACATGTACCCTAGAACTTAAAGTATTAAAAAAAAAACAAAACTGTTCTTCTCCAGGTCCCCAGTTTTACCTTCCTGCTGCCAAGTCTTACAGGGAATTTTTGGTTCTTATCCTGCCCTCTTAGCTAGAATTTAGCACAGGACATATTCTCAATCTGTTACATACTCATTTATTTATCTGTCTGTTGCCTGTCTCCCACCCTGAAATGTAAACTTCCCGTGGGTGGGATGTTTGTGTATTTAAATTACTGGTGTATCCCTGGTGCCCACTCTGGCACCTGCCACATGGTAGATGTTGGATAGATGTTGGCATTGCCCAATGCACTTCCCTCCAACAATCTCAAATCTACCCCACATCACTAAGACACACAGTCATAAAATTTCAGATTTGAGGGAAACCTTTGACATGGTTAGATCAGTGTTGCTGTCCTAAAGGTGATGTTACCAACCTGATGTTCCACTGCTGGAAGCTTCTGGAAGAGCTAGCACTTGAGCCAAGTCCTCTTGGTTTTCTGCTGAGGCTCTTTCCATAACCTGTGACCCTATGCTTGTGTGACTTAGCCTGGGTGCTATAGAGTCCACTCATGGCAGGAGCAGAGGTTTGAGAGTGTGACCTCTCAAGACCAAACTGGATTCAATAACCCAGCAGGGGAGAAAAGTGTGCACATGGCAATTTATGATCTTTTTTAAAAAAACTAATTTTGTGAAAGAGTATCTAGCTTTAGTTCAACTAGTTAAATGAACATATTTGTGTTTCTGAAATATATTTGGCTCTCTTTGTATATAAATTGCTTTATGATTTTCTGGATCATATTAAACAATACAGGTGTACTGTAAATCATTCAAGAAAGTAAAAGGTACCTGAAATCTCATCACCTAAAGTAAATGCCATTAAAATTATTTTTCCCTGTTTAGTGAAGTACAACACAAATACAGAAGGTTGCACAAATCATACACATGCAGCCCAAAGAATTATTAAAAAATGAATACCCAAGCATCCATCACCCAGGACAAGAAAGAGAATGTGAGCAGCTCCCTACAGGTCCTCCTGCCACCTCCCAGTGCCTCTCCCAGTCCTCCTCAGTCGTTATTACTGTCCTGGTTGTGTGTGTGTGTGTGTGTGTGTGTGTGTGTGTGTGTGTGTGTGACGGAGTCTCACTCTGTCGCCCAGGCTAGAGTGCAATAGCACAATCTCGGCTCACTGCAACCTCTGCCTCCCAGGTTCAAGTGATTCTCCTGCCTCAGCCTCCCAAGTAGCTGAGATTATAGGCTTGTGCCACCACACCCAGCTAATTTTTGTGTTTTTAGTAGAGATGGGGGTTTCACCATATTGGCCAAGCTGGTCTCGAACTCCTGACCTCGTGATCCACCCACATCGGCCTCCCAAAATGCTAGGATTACAGGCGTGAGCCACTGTGCCTGGCCTGTCCTGGCTTTTAACACCATAAATTAGTTTTACTTGCTCACCTTTATATAAATGAAATAATTCAGATTATTTCTTTATGTTTAGCTTTTTTTTTTGCTAAACATTATATGGAGATTCATTCATGTTGAGGTATATAGCTGTCATTTGTTCATTTTCACTCCTGTAAATATGCCATTGTAGGAATATACTATTATTTATTTATCCATTCTACTATTGTTGGGCATTTTGTGTTTTTGGTTTGGGATTATTACAAATTGCTTCCATGAACATTCTTGTACATGATTTTTACTTCACGTGTGCCCACACTCTAAGTGAACATCTAGCAATAGAATTGCTCCTTCATCATGTATATGTACATTGAACATTTAATTAGTTTTCCAAAGTGATTACATCAATTTATATTATCACCAGCAGTTTTTGAGCACTCCTTCCTTTCTACATCCTTACCTACACTTCTTCATTTTAGCCAAAGGGGATGTATATCTCATGAAATTTTAAAATTACTAATACAATTGAGCACATTTTCATATGTTTATTGGCCATTGGTATATCCTCTTTTGTAAAATTCCTGTTCAGCCCTCTTGTCATTTTTCTATTAGGTTGTTGGTCTTTGCTTACTGATTCCTAGTTCTTTGTGCATTCTGGGTGTGAATTCTTTGTTACTTTTTACATATTGCAAATTTCTTCTTTTAGTGGTTTCTTTTGATGAACTGAGGTTCATAATTTTGATGTAGCCCAATGTATTAATTTCTTCCTTTATGATTAGTGGGTTTTGTATCAGATTTAAGAATTATTTTCCTATTCCATGTTTGAGAAAAAAATTCTCCTATATTATCTTCTAGAAGCTTTATTGATCTACCTTTAACATTGACAGCCAAAATCCACTTGGAATTCATTTTTCTGTATGGTGTGAGATAGGAGTCAAATTTCATTTTTCTACATTCAGATATTCAATAGACTTAATATCATTTATTGAAAAGAAACCCTTCCCTAATACTCTGCAGTTCACCTTTGTCATAAATAAAGTTTCCACATGCCTGTTTCTGGACACTGATTCAACTGCATTGGGGTATTCATCTGTCTTTGCACCAATGTTGTATTGTCTTAGTTTCTGTAGCTTCATAAGTCTTAAGTACTGGCTGGGTAAGGTGGGTCATGCCTGTAATCCCAGCACTTTGGGAGACTGAGGCCAACATGGTAGAACCCTATCTCTACAAAAAAATACAAAAAAATTAGCTGGGTGTGGTGGCACGCACCTGTGCCTGTGGTCCCAGGTACCTGGGAAATTGAGGTGGGAGGATCACTGGAGCCCAGCAAGCTGAGGCTGCAGTGAGCCATGATCATACCACTACACTCCAGCCTGGGTGAATGAGCAAGACACTGTCTCAAAAAAATAAATAAATAAATGCTTTTTTAAAGTCTTGATATTTGATAGTGTAAGATACCCTCCTGCCCTCCTCTATGCATCTTGTTTTTCTTTTTCAAGAATGTCTTAGCCATTCTTTGCCCTTTGCATTTTTAATACATTTTATAATTAGCTTGTCAATGTACACATATGCATGTATACATTTGGATGCACATAAAAACCTGCTGAGATTTTTACTAGGATTGTATTGAATCTATAGATTAATTTGAGGATAACTGGTAGAGACCAATATTCAATCCGTGAATACATCATTAATATTTAGTGAATATTCTTTCAAATTTCTCTCTCCATGTATAGTTATATACATATAGTTTTACATAAATTCATATTGATTTTATCTTTTTTAACCTCTCTGATTCCCTGAACACACACACACCATACCTCACCCCCATCATTCCTCTCTCATGTTTGCTGGCATCACTTGTTTTGAAACTTTCCATAATATTTGTATGCTAATATAGTCATTTACATACATAAACATATGTATGTAATTTATGGAAGGTCATCACTATAAAACAGGTCATATACGTATACATTTCTCTGCATTTGGCTTTTCTCACTTAAAAATATATCATAATACCCCTCAAAGTTAACAGGAAGTTATATCTAATACAGTGTTTTTAAGAGCTGTGCAATATTCCATGGAATAATTGTCCTATAATTTATTCAATTATTCCTCTGCCAACGGGATTTATTTTGTTTCCAAATTTGTGCAGTTTTAAACAATGCTGATGTGAACATCCTTGACTTTGAACAGATACTTTCTTACTGGAATTTTGTTTTTAAAGAACAAATTCCTAGGAGTGAGATTGCTAGGTTGAAGGGTCTGTGTAACTCACATTTACCATAATCATTGAGCAGTTGCTTTCTAAAAACATATAATGACTGACATTTCCCCTAATCATATATAAGAGAAACCTTTTCCCCAACATTTCTGTCAGTGGGAGGGATTATCACTCTTTTTAACTTACCAACTTTGTGGTGGAAATGATGTCTCATTGTTACTTCCATTTGTGTTTATCTGACTACTAGAGAAGCTAAACATATTTTCATATATGTATTGACATTTGAGTTTGATCTTCTCTAAACTCTTTGTTCATATCCTTTGCCCATCTTCCTGTTTATTGTTTGCCATTTTAATTTGTTAGAATCTTTTTGTATATCTCAGATATTAACATTTTATCAATCGTCTGCATTGAAACTGTTCCTCAAGCTATTATTTGCCTTTGTTTATTGCATCCTTCACCATTCTAATATTATATTAACTTTTACATAATTGAATATGCCTATCATTTTCTTTATACATTCTAAGTTTTCTGACTTGGCAAAAACCATTTCTTTCCCTCAACCATGACCCTTTGGAGATCTATCTATCTATCTATCTATCTATCTATCTATCTATCTATCTCATATGTGTGTATGTGTGTAAGTGATTTTCTTATAATAAGATGATGGTTTTATTTACTTTACATTTAAACACTTACTCCAGATGGATTTTTAAAAATTTGATATGAGGCAGGGAATTCAACTTTATTTTCTACTAAATGGATTATTAATACCATTTATTAAACAGACCACCTTTGTCCACTGAGGTCTTTCTGGGTTTTCCTTTCTATTCCTATGTCAGTCCCATGCCTTATATGTTATATTTTTATATTTAGTAAGAAATCAAGCTACCCTCCCCAACTATTCTTTAAAAGTTTTTCTTGGCCTTTCTCAGACATTTACATCAATTTTTAGGTAATTTAATACCGTAAAAATCCATTTGAATTCCAATTATAATTTCATTATATTTATAAAGTAATTTTGGGGGAAATTGAAATATTATAAGTTCCCCCATCCAAGAATGTGGTATGTTTTTGACTTGTACAGATACTGTTTTATTTCTTTCAAAAATATATAAATATTTTTATATTGGTTGAATTCTATGTTTAAATTTCCATTTGTGTTGCCTTTACCATCAAAGGAGTTAGGCTCAGACAAGTATCACAGACTAAACTTGCTGACTAAGACAGAAGACCTTAATTAAATCAGCAATCTGTAAAAATAAAAACAAGCCCACTGGCAATTTTTTAGGGCCAGTATGTCCTACTGACTTTGTAGTCAAATAGATTCAGTTCAAATTTTGTTTACTGAATGAGCCCCAGCTGCTTCATCTATGTTAACCATAATATACCTACCTCACTGGGTAGGAGCAAGAATTAAGAAAGATATGGTTTGCCGAGCAGGTGACAGAGTTTTGGTGCATAGCAGGTGGTCACTAAGTGTGGTCACTAAGTGCTTAGGGAAGGTTTTCTCTCTCTCTCTCTCTGGTCATTTAAAAGAGGAAAAAGTCTCCATTCATTGCATATAACTCACCTGGATATATACAATTTCTATGCAATATATATCATCTCCATTCATATAAACCTCCATTCATTGCATATAACACACTTGGAAAACTGCACACGGCCTTTGGTCTTCCAACCTGGGCTCACAGTTATGCACCCCCAACCTCTACCCAAGGGGTCTTCTACCTCCCGGGCTCTATATCCCTCCACATTGGGACCTGGGGCCCCCTAGGGACTGTGATCAGCAAAGTTTCTCACTGCAGCTGCATCTTGGGCTATGAGTTATATGGATATAATTTTGTGTGACATTTTTGCTGTTTTTTAACATCTTATTGTTCCCACTTCGGGTCTTTTGCAGACACTGAGACCCAGAAAGGCAAAAACAATGGTTCTCAACTCTAAAAGACCTCAAACCCCTTTCAAAAAATCATCACAATTTCTTAGTATAATTATAAACAGAAATAAAACGAAAGCAATTTATAATAAAATAGTGTGCATTTCTCTATGTAAATTCAAGCATATTTTCACTAGAAGACAGTGAGTCTCATACCTACTCAGAATAAATAAGTTTGTATTTAAGATACACACAGGTGTGTGTAGCATGTGTATATGTAAGTATATTTATCCACATATGTCTAGGTGTGTGTATATATATGTATATAGATGTGTAGATAGGCAGACAGTGTTGGGGCTCAGAACATGATACCCCCAAAATATAGCACCTTCGCAACTGAGGAAAATCACTGAAACAAGGTCATTCCCTGACCTTCTCCCACGTTTTTGTGTGAAAGTTGGCAATAAAGGAATTCTCTGTCTACCTCCCCTGAATATAGGTCATAAGACATACATGTGACAGGTGTCTGGCCCATACCTAGAGGAAAGGAATGCTGCATGGAGAAGCCAGGAAGAATCTGAACAAATAAGCTGAGTTCCTCCCAGTTATACCATTAAATTATACCCTTTTTTGTCCAATCACATTTCTACATGACTGTCCATTCTTCTTCAAACCTAAGCATAAGAATATACAGTTTTCCCTGGGTATTTGGGTCTTCATTTCTGAATGCTCCTGTGCCATGTAAAACTTTGGTTAAATAAATTTATTATGCTTTTCTCTTGTTAATGCAATTTTGTATGAGGTGTCAGCCATGGACCTTGTGAGGAAACGTTAATACTTTTTCTCCCATACAATGGATCCATCGTTAGATAGATAGACAGACAGACAGACAGACAGACAGACAGACAGACAGATAGATAACAGACACAGAGAGATGTGTTATATTGCCATTGCTCAAGTATTATAATGTGCCTAAATGGTAAACATGTCTTAATGAGATGAACTGGAAAAAGAGCCCTGTCTCCTTTGATTTACGTGGTAGTTGCCTTCTTGGAAACACCAGAGTATATTATAACGGTGCAAAAATACTTCGATTTATATGTGAAACAGAGTCTCAGCTCAGATAATTGTAAGCAGGCTGTTCATCTCTGCAGGCCTGCTGGTCGTGCTGGGCAAATGAGGGCTTGTCCTGCACGGGGCAGGATGTCCCCGATCCCAGGCTTATCCCCACCCAACGCGCAGTAGCACCCCCATTTGTAGTGCCAATCAACAAGCCCCCCCACGAAATGTCCAAAATGCCCCTTAGGGGGCAGTGTCAGCCCCGCTGCGAGCTTCCAAGCAGCCGGTGATCCAGCAGGGCCGCCTTCCAGGGGGCTGCCCCGACGCCCACCCTGGCTGGGCACCTGGCGCGGCCAAGAGCGCGGGCGGCCGGAAGATGGATGCGGCGTGCGTGCAGCTCTGGTGCCCAGCCAGGATTTCCCCCGACCTCCGCAGCCCGAGTGTTGGCGCAGAGAGCAACAAGCTCCCAGGCTTACGGGGGAGGTCAGGGGAAAGTGATTTCAATTAGAAGGGGATCACCGGGGTCTCAAGCCAGCACAGACAAGTTGTGCAACACCAGCGGCGCGGAGACCGGAGTCATTTATCCTTCCCGGAGCCAGTCAGCCTGGGCTTTGCAGGAAGCCCCTGTGCCCCCTCCCACCCCCATCTTCCTTCTCTTTCTGGCTTTTGAAAGAAAAGGGAAAGAACAGGAAAACAGAAAGAGTGGCCTGCCGCTAAATTTCTCATCTCTGGCGGCTGAGGACAAAGACGACTACACGCAGAAGAGAAGGCACCCAAGGATTGCCAGAGGTTCCGCCTCTTGCCTCCAGGCCCAGACAGGTCTGGAAGGTTTCAAGGTTGGAAGCAGAAAAAGGAAAATGAGGAGAGGCAGGCTAGCAGCCTGGGAGCCTTCTGCTCTTCCTTTTCTTTTTGTCTGAACTCTTCCCATCCTCAGAGCCCATCTCCAGGCCTCCGCCTCCTCCATGCAGTGGCCCTGGCTTTGCCTTCTCTGGGTATTCAGAGCATTGTTCTATCCTGCCCTGCCTTGGTCTCCCAGTAGTTCTTGAGTTTGGTCTGTTTCTCCAACCACTGGTTTTGGCTACCGGTTTGTTTGGCCACTGGTTAGTTGGCTGCCTTTTGGCTTTGCTCCTTTCTAATTTCATGCTAATTTCTGGGTACCAAGGATAGACACTGGCAAGTGGGGCATGTGCAGCAAAAGTGAAGAAGGCAGGGGTATAGGGAAGCAGGATGGTTTGATGAACAGGTGAAAGGACCCGGGAAGCTGGTGCAGAAGAGAAGAGGCAGGGAGGCCAGGAAAGCTGACAGCAGGTCCTTGAAGCCTGCTCATGTCACTGGGATAGCAACACCTCCATGTAGGACTGTGGTGAGGGCCAAATGACCTTCTAGGGGCAGCCGTTCCAGCAGTGACTGGCATGTGATAGGTGTTTGGGAAAGTGGCAGCTAATCCATTCACATTTGTATCGACACACAGTAAGCAGGCCAATTTTGGAAGTCTGAACTAGGCTGATGAGTGGCAATTATGAGGCTTTGCCTTATAAATTTGTTTGATCCTAAAAAGTCCTCCACCTCTAATAGAAGGGGTTTCTGGAAATGCACAAGAGTCTTGGCAACCCTGGAAAGGAAGGAATAGACTCAACTTGACAAGTAACTATTTTTTTAATGGAGGATTCATAGAGGTGTAAAACACAGTCCTTGGCCTCAAGGATTTGCAATTAAGTTGAAGAGTAGCCTTGTGAAAAAATGCTATAAAATCCAAATTTTGCGTGTGTGTGTGTGTGTGCGCACGTGTGCGCGCATGCAGGTGCATGGGGGTGTGTGTGTGTGTGACACTGGCATCCAGAGGACCAGACTCTAGACTGGCCCTGCTGCTAAAATATAAAACCTCAGTAAAGCCATTTAACCTCTGGCAAATGGGGCCTCAATATCTTTCCAACTCACCTCACCCGGGTATTGTGAGGATCAACTGAGATAATGGATGTGGAAATACTTTGAAAGAGAAGAACGTGCCTCAGATGCCAGGAAGAGTATGATTTTGGGAAGGACTTCCCTCTGACAGGATGGATGGTTTGCAAACTTAAATAAAATAATCTCACCAGTTATATGCCCTCTACTGCTATTCAAGTTTCCACCCAGCTGTTTTAATTGTTTTAAAATTATGTGTACACCACAGAGAACAGTGGGTAGTGGAGATCTAAACTATGCCTGAAATTTTTTTTCTTTCACTTAGGAGAATGAATTCAGGGCTTGTCCAGCCATGTTGCCTGGAGCAGTGGTCTACACTCATCCCTTTAAGGGAAAGCCCTTTAGGTGTGCCCCTTCTTTGCCTCTGAGCACTACCCCTCTGCTGCAAGCCACAAGCAATACTCATCCTCAGCCTGGGTTTCTCAAGCTCAGTGCCTCCTGCAATGCCCATGCCTATCCAACTCCAGATACCCAGCTCTGGAACTACCTCCCACCTGCCCTCCCCTGCCCACTGCCCACCTCAGAAAATTACCCCATGTCCTATTTTATAGAAACTATTAATATCTTCTTTACAGAGAAATGACAAGTGAATTTATACTCAGATGGAAAGAAGATAACACTTTATTATCTTGCTCCTTCTGTGATTATGAAAGTTCTAATGCATAGGAGGGATTTCAGTAGTGGAACTCACATGATGATAGGTGTATCAGAAGACAACATTCACAAAGCACCAAACTCAGAAAAGCATAAAGGTGGCCCCATAACTACTATTTGCATGTATTGTGCCCATTAGAACTAAGCTATCTAGATGGTTTTGTTGAGATGCCCAAGCCATTCTCCGACCTTCACTATCAGTGAATGATACACTTGTGTAGTATGTGTGTGTACTGGATACATGGATATTCAATAAGGATGAGGCTGGCAAATTATAAACACACACACACACACACACACACACACACACACACACACACACACACATATGCCAAGGCCCAGAGTTAAAAAAGAAGGTTGGTCTGTGGTATACACATTTTTACAATAACCAAAGTCTAATGAACAGATTCTATCCATAGCTCAGACACAAGTCTACTATTCAAGAATTATTCTCTCATTTATCCTCCTTCTCCAAGATCAACAATTTAAAATTCTTCTTCTTGTAAACATTAGTAAATGAAAGTGGGTTTATATTTCTGATACGAAAGCCAGCGCACCAAAACCATGATATGTTTGTATCTCTGATTAAAGTAGGCTGCTTTGGTGCAGTACGCTTTGTAAACAGAGGTGTATATAGAAGCACAAATATAATCCATTCCACACTCAATGTGTTTTTAAAAGAAATTATCTAATTAAAATCAACCATTATGAGTAATATAAATTGATATAACCATAAATCTAAAACTATGCATTCCCTAGCATAGCATAATTCCTCTTAAACTCTCATACATGTGTGCAAGGAGTCATGTAGAAGATGTTTACTGCAACAGTATTATTGTAGAAAAAAAATGTGCAGTTTTCATGTGACAGAATGCCACATTGCAGGTAAAAAGAACACTATTCCACCAACACACAATTCAATACAAAATAAATAAACAAAAACAAACTTGCAGAGCAATACGTTCAATATGACACCATTTACATTCATTTAAACATACACACAAACACTGCTAGTATTTGTTCATAGGCACACAGTTCATTGTAAAAGTATATTAAAAGTATATACACCAAATCCATGATGATGGTAGCCTGGTCATGGGACACAGGAGGGATTGGCAAGACAGGAAGTGGGGAGAGAAAAAAAGGGGAAGTAAATTCCACTCAAACAACTCCATTTCTCTTACTCAACACAATGCTGGAGATTTGACACAATATTAATAACTGTCACTTCTGGGTGGTGGACACACCAGCCTCTGTTGTATTATTCTCTTTATATTTCCATATTTCTTAATTTCAGAAAATAAAAAAAGTGGATGAACACAAATAAATAATTACCTAGAAGCACATATGCCATTTGCTCATCTACCTATCCAATTACCACATATCCTTTAAGGATTAATCAAATCCTATCTTGCCCATAAACCCCATCCTGCTAACCCACCCACAGAGATTTCTCCTCTGAATGTCTATAATGCCGTCATTTGGCCCCTAGATTATACTGGGTTTGGCACCTGGTCATTCTTTCCCTCATGACATTTTTTCTGTTGTTAGCGTATTTGAGTCTTATCTCCTGGAGGTATGAACATCCTTTTTATCTCTCCTCTGAGCACAGGCAAGGCTCAGAGGACTCTCTCCAGAAACACTAAGGACCTTTTCATGTGGGGGGATGCCTTTTCATGTAAATTTCAAGGACTCCGCTTGAGAATAGCATCGATCAACTGAGAAAATTGAGAATGATCAAATTTTTTAAGAATGTGATAATGCCTTTAAATGCATTTGTATGTTTATCAATCACACACACCCATAAGTATGTGAAAAATGCTGTCTTCATGTGAAAAGACATTTTTCCTTTCAGGCTCCTGATAATGCTGGGCAACCAAATGGATCACCAACCCTCTTGCAGCCAATGCTCATATCCCTTACCTCAGGGCTTCTACTGGTGCTGCCCCCTGACCCAGGTCACCTGCCCCATCACCTTGGCACCTGCATTGTGGACCTTTTTCCAGTTACTGTCCACAATACATACTTGACTTTGTCCCAGCTTCTGCTTTGACTCACCTCTCTGCAAAAGTGTCTCCAGGCTCCGTTCCCAGAGCCCCATCTCCTCCACCTAAACCCAGCTCAGTCTCCTCCTCCATCAAACCTTCCCTGTGACCATCTCCTATTTCCATGGCCCATTGCCTGTACCTGTTAGGGCTCCAAAACTTTCCACCACCTCCTATAGTTATGGGCCTAGGTATTACATTTCTTTGAGGATATGAACTCCTTGAAGACAAAAGTTGCTTGGAGATAGCTGTTGGATAACCAGGAAGCCTAGAGTTTTCAGCTGTAGCCTATGCCAACTGTGACCCATGAAAAACTGCACATCGAGATGCAGAGTCACATTCTAGTGTCCCCTGCCAGGCAGAAATGGGTTCTCCCCAAAATACCAGACAGCACAGCCCTATTTATCAACGTAAGTCTTAAACTGAGCCTTCCTGCCTCTCACTGGCATGGCCCACACAGTGGAGGCTTCTGGACTAATCTTTACTGCTGTTATCTGATTTTAGATCCTCAGCTCCCCAGAGGATGCTGGGAGTTAATTTCTTTCCTGTTGAGCTGGTACCTGTGCCTCTAGGCTTTGGCAAACTACTGGAGAGTAGTTTGGAGGGTAGCTGGCTGACTCCCTCAATCTTCCATAATCTTGACCCTAGCTGCAATGCCAACCCTGAGCCAGGAGTCTGGGGGCCTGGGCTCTTTCCTCTCTGGGCAGGCCATCTATAAAATGGGCTGGTGACACTTTGTCAAGCCCCTTCTGAAGTTCCCTAGGTCCCTTTCACTCAGGATGGCAATTTGTAAAACAAACCAAAACAGCAACCACACCCCCCCCCCCCCCCGCGAAAAACAAACAAACAAAAAACACCCAACAAAACTGGCCACCAGTGATCATAAGAAAATTCCAAAATGGTTTTAGCACTCAGGCTATGGGATTATGGGTGAGTTTTTAAATGGGGCTGCTCTATTATCTTTTCTATTTAAAAGGGAGTGAAATGGTTTACAGAGGTGCCACCTCCAGATGTGCAGTTCCCAACCACTTGGAAATCCGGGTGGCTCCCATTAAGCTCCGTTGTGGGCGCCTCCCTCTCCCCGCGCAGTAGAGAGGCCCCTGTCACTGGTAGGTGCATTTTGATCCCATCCTGGGGGCAGCAGCCACCCAGGCCCCACGACCCGAAAAAACCAGCACCTTCCCCTCGGCCTGCTAACTGCCACCGCCTCCGCTCCCCGCTAGCCTGGGCTCCGCGTGGTTGAGGGCCGGCCTGCAGCGCGGGGACCCTCACCTCTAGGAACGCTGGGCCACGGCGGCCAAGGGGGCGGGGGACTGGGAGGGGTCGGGGCTCCATCACGCCGTCGAGAACATTAAGCCTTTGCACTCCCACCCCCCACAACATTGCTGATCAAAAAAAGGAGGCAAACAAAGGCGGGTGAATGGGAATCAAATTGAGTTGGGGCAGCGGACAGATGGGGCCTGCCAGGCGCCCACAGCCCGTCCTATTCATTAAAAAAAAAAAAAGAAAAAAGAAAAAAAAGATAATCCACCTCCTCCCCGCGGCTTTGCAAGAGGTGGGATGTACAGGATGGGGGTGGGGCGCTGGACCAGGGGGCCCAGATATTTTCTAAACCACAGGATCCCAGCCCGCCCTTGGTAACCTCGCCCCGCAGGTTAATTGTCTCGCTTGTGTTTGGGACTTCTGCTTTTGTATATTAGGTTTTCTTGAACGGGGCATCCCTGTACTGAAAGGCTGAGGGGAGGGGTGGGGCGGCGACTGTGGGTAGCCACAGGCAAGTGTGTGGCCCGAGGTTACATGCGAAAAGATTTGCAATCTAAGTAACATGTTGGTAGCTTTCCTGTAAAAAGAATGTTCCTTCCATGATCTCATTTATTCCCATCAACAAACATGCAAAATGCATAGGTTTGGTTAGCTGTACCAGTCTACAGATGAGGAAAATTAAGTGACTGCTTGGAGTCACATGGTTACGTGGTCACAGACTCTGGCAAAGCATTGTCTAGTACACATGCAAATGCACTAATTTGTGTCACACATGTAAACACATGCACCAACATTTATCTGCTCGTGCCTCTGCATACCCACCACTAGGCACATGGGCTACATATAGTGCCACGTATGTCCATGCAGAGAGAATCCTTCCCATTTGTGGCACATTTCACTGCTAACACACATCTCTACCTACACTCTCTTCTTGTACCCATGCTCACATGTGCTGGGCACACGCTGACCTTTGCTCTGCACCTACGTCCCATTCTTCAAGGGGCCAAACCAAATGAACCCTGAGATACTATCTTAATCTCCATAATATTTCTCAGAATCGGATTATAAATTTGTTCTTAGAAAGTTGTCTGCCAGGCAGGAGAAGGCTTCCCCATTAATGGGGAGGAGGAATCAAGAGAGTAGCCTGAGAACTCAGGTGTCAAGCTGACCTTTTGGAGAGAGCCAAGTACTCATTCTTACTATTGATTCCTTTCAAGGAAGACAGGAGGCACTTTATCTCCCAGCTGTTGAGCTAAAGGCAGGGCCAGTAACATGGGGAAGCAAACATAACCATCTTCTGTGCCTCAAAAACACAGGGCAAAGAGCCCTAGACCCATATCTTTTCAACATAAGTCACGGGACTTGCAATTGGACTACTGGAGATTTATTCCTTTAGGATAAGCATTGCCCATCATAATCTTTAGAAATGGAAAATCTTGCTTTATCCTACCTGGGAAATACATTAGATCTTATGCATAGTAGTTCTTGACTTTAGTTGCCGAATGTATTTTAAATACGGATTCCCAAACTCCACTCCCAGAGATAATCATGCATTCATTTATTCATTCATTGAACAAATATGCACTAAATACACAATTTCCACATGCCAGATGCTAATCTAGATATTAGGGATATGGCAGAAAATTATATAGACAAGGTCCCTGCCTCCTGGGAGCTTATATTCTAGTAAGGGGGATAGAGACAGTAAGTAAACATATGAATAAGCATAAAAAATGCCAGATAATCACAAGTGATATGCAGAGACTTGGGAAGATGCAAAAGACAATTTTAGTTTGATGGCCAGGGAAGGCATTTCAGAGAATATAACACTAAAGCAAAGCCCACCATGTGAAGGTCTGGAAGAATGGTCAAAGGTCCAGGTCAAAAATGGTTTGGCCCAAGTGAAAGACAAAGTCAAAGATGGAGGCAGAGGCTGGTTCAGGTCACCCATTGAAAACCATGCTAAGGATTGTGAATTTTATTCTAAGAGTTAAGGGATACCATGTTGTTAAGCAGAGAAGTGACTTGATCTGATTTGTAGTTGTGGGAAAATGGATTGGAAGGGCAAGAGAGGAAGCAGGAAGTCCAGTCTGGAGGATATTGAAGTGGAGGTGGAGGCTGAGAGTAAACTAGCACTAGATGAACTTGGAGGCCTTTCTGATGGTCAGGATGTGGAGATGAGGGAGAGCGAGGAATCAGACACAACTTCTAGGTCTTTGATGTGAAGCACGGAGTGGACAGTAATTTATGCACTGAGATGGGGAGGACTAGGGAGCAGCTTAAGGGAGAAAATCAAGGGTTCTTCTTTGGCCCATGTAAAATTCAAGATGACTGCTAGCTATTCATCTAGAAAGAAGGGGCCGGGCACAGTGGCTCACACCTGTAATCCCAGCACTTTGGGAGGCTGAGGCAGGGGGATCGCGAGGTCAGGAGTTCAAGACCAGCCTGGCCAACATGGTGAAACCCCGTGTCTACTAAAAATACAAAAATTAGCTGGGCATGGTGGCACGTGCCTGTAATCCCAGCTACTCGAGAGGCTGAGGGAGGAGAATTGCTTGAACTGGGACCCAAGAGGCGGAGGTTGCAGTGAGCTGAGGTTGTGCCACTGCACTCCAGCCTGGGCTACAGAGTGAGACTCCATCAAAAAAGAAAGAAAGAAAGAAAGAAAGAAAAAGAAAAGAAAAGAAGAAAAGAGAAGGTTGAGATGAAAGAGTGCAAGAGTCTGGGGTGAATTCTCCCACTGCAGATATAGATTCAGTAGCCATTGAGTACAGTAGGTACTTAAAGCCATCGAACTGAGTGAGAGAAAGTGGATAAAGGAGAGAAGAGGGCCAAGGACTGAGTCCCAAAGCACTCTAACTTTTGGAGTCAGTACAAAAGAGGAGGAGGAGTTAGCATAGAAAGGCGGCAGGGTAGACAGCAGGAACACCTGGAAGGTGTGATATTTGGGAAGCCAAGAGAAACAGATGTTTAAAGAAGGAAGAAGTGATTATATTTTAAACGCCACTGAAAAGTCAGGAAAGGTAAGAACAGAGCAAGGACTTTTGGATTTGGCCAGTGAAAGTAACTGGTGACTCTGGCAAGAATAGTCTCAGTCATGAGGTGGCACTGAAGAGAGAATATGGGGTGGGGAGGTAGAGACACAGGCTTCAACAACTCCTACAAAAAGTTTTCCTACCAAGAAAGGAAGGCAGGGTAGAGCTACAGAGAAATGGCAGTCAGTAGAGAATTTGGTGTCCTTTATTTGAAGATAAGGAAAGAAGACCCCTAAGACCAGAGAGACCCATTCTGCTCTAGAGCTGGGAGATATTGTCTACTCTTGCTCACTCATTTCAAAGGTGAGCAATTGAGGTCCAGAGACTCAGAGTCACTGCTGGAAGGCAGAGACTGGTCTGCATCCAAGACTAGACCACAGAATTCCTACTCCTCAAATGGAATTTGGAGAGGGTGGGCCGGCTCATGAGGCTCTCAGATGAGCCACCAGGGCAGCCTGCCCCTTATGCACTGGTGTCACACTCCTGTTTTTCTGCCCTGGTACACCTGCCCTTTCTCAGAAGCCTTTGTGGGTTCTGTAGGGGATAAAAAAAATATATCTTTTCACCCATCGCTAGGTTTATGACTGAGGCTTCTATAAAAAAAACACAGACTAACAAGAGAAAACCATACAGATTTACTTAATGTAAATTTTACATGGCATGGGAGCCTTCAGAAATGAAGACCCAAAGAAACAAGGAAACCTGTGTATTTTTATACAGTCATGCGTCACTCAAGGATGGGGCTATGTTCTGAGAAATGCATTATCAGGTGATTTCATCATTGTGCAAACATCAGAGTGTAGTTCCCCAAACCTGGATGGTACAGCCTACTACACATCTAGAATACAGGATAGGCCTATTGCTCCCAGGCTACAACCCTGTATAGCAAGTTGCATTACTAAATATTGTAGACAGTTGTAACAGTGGTATCTGTGTGTCTAAACATAGAAAAGGCACAGTAAAAATATAGCAGATTTTAAATGGTACACCTCTCTAGGGCTCCATTATAATCTTACAGGGCCACTATTGTATATGTGGTTCATCATTGACTGAAAAGTCATTACTCAGCCCATGACTCTACTTAGGTTTGATGACGAGCAGACAGTTGTGTAGAAGTGTGATTGGACAAAGCGGGTATGATCTTATGGTAATAAACTAAAAGGAATTTAGCAAGGCCTACTTGTTCAGATTCTTCTCTGCAACCTTGTGTCTTCAGATATTAGGATATTTCTTTTCTTTAGATACAGGGAGGGTGCCTCTCAAATGGGGGTCTTATGACCTACTTTGGAGGAGGGATTTCTTTTATGGCCTGCCTTAAGGAAGAAGGTTAGAGAGGCCTTCCTGCCTCTGCTGTTTTCTCAAATCCCGAGAAAAATTTTCTCAAAATACCTCATATTTTGGGGTAGTGTGTCCTGAATCCCATCAACTCCCTGTCAGGGCCTGAGCAGACAGGCCTCTGATGTTAACACTTTGGTGTTTTAGTTCACATCTTGCCCTTCCCTTCTTGGGGGTCCTCCAGGGGGTTACAACCAATGGCTGGTTACTTAGGACCAGAGAGGGTGTCTCCAGGTGAGAAGAGACAGGTGGCTCACTCCCCTCTACAGCTTAAATAGGTGGTATGGGCTGACACGACCTTGTGGAGTCACCCTGGCCCTGAATCATGAATGATCATATGGCAGGAGCCCTGGATGGGATTGAAGAGATCTGAATTGTAGTCCTGGCTCTGTTGGTACTGAGTCATGTGGCCTAAGTCTCTTTTCTCTCTGATCCTTAATTTATCCTTTGTATAAATAAAGGAGACCAGACTGCTTGTTTTCACTGCTTCCTTCCAGCAGGGTGGTTTTAGAATAAATGGGTACCCTCCTGTAAGTTCCCAAGGAAGGAATGCCTCCATCACAGCCCCCAAGACCAGGTAACCTGCACCTATGTGCAGGACCAGTTCCTCCATGATGCCACTGCCACTGCCACTGCCGCTGCCCACTGGAAATCATTGTATTATACTCCTGGATGATTCTTCCCAAGATACTTGTATTCCACTTCTCTCCCTTTGGAGTCTGTTTATCTTTCCAGTGTTCCCCCTTTCTTTTTTTTTTCTGAGACAGAGTCTCGCTCTGTCACCCAGCAGGCTGGAGTGCAGTGGTGCCACCTCGGCTCACTGCAACCTCTGCCTCCCGGGTTCAAGCGATTATCCTGCCTCAGCCTCTCAAGTAGTTGGGACTACAGGTGCCCGCCACCATGCCCAGCTAATTTTTGTATTTTTATTAGAGACAGGGTTTCACCATATTGGCCAGGCTGGTCTCAAACTCTTGACCTTATGATCCACCTGCCTCGGCCTCCCAAAGTGCTGGGATTACAGGCGTGAGCCACTGTGTCCTGCTTGTTTCCCCTCTTTCTAAGCAAAGCCACTTTCTAGCCCAGGGATTCACTTCCTTCTACTTGTGCTCGTGAGGTCTAGAGAAACCCTTGTCTTCTCTCCGGGCCTCTTGCTCTCATGGACCAATGGATTGGAGACCAAGACTCAGGATGATATGGTCGTTTAATTTCTCAAAAGTATTATCTGAACCCAGCACGCAGGCTCTTTCTTCTACTCCGACAGAACCTGCAATTGTTATTTTACTTGTTTTTGCTTTAGCTTTTTTTATATTTTATATATATATAGGGGAGGGCAAAGGTCTTTTCCATTTCTCCTCCTAAAGCAAACCAAATAATATAATCAATTTGGCTGGCGCAGGACTGATCCCAAGCGTTAAAGCAGGTATTTGTGGCTGATATGACAGGGGAATAAAGTGCATGTGAAAACCAACTGATTAGTTCAGCAGCTGGGAATGAATCTGCGTCCGTGTTCATCGATCTTTCCTAATCTTTGTCAACACCTATGTGTCCCACTTCTATGCCACTGCTGGGCAGCATTGGGCCCTGAGACAGGCAATGGAGTGGGCACTGCGGGGGGGGGGGGGGTTCTCTGAGGTGCTGGGCCAGGGGGCTGCTTACCACTTAAAGGGACAGGCCCAGTCAAAACGTGGGTGCAGTAGTCAAAACGTGGGTGCAGTAGGCAAACCGCCTTAGAGGAGAAATTCTACGGCCCAGGAGCGACTCCATGTTCCCCCAAATGCCTCTCCATCTGTTCCCAGACAGTGCCTACAAAGCAGGGACTCTCATCCAATATGCTGCCTCGGGCAACATGATGCCTTGGGCTGAATGAAGTGCTTTGCGAGAGCCTGTAAAATTATTTTTGCAAACTTGAAAAAAAAAGGTTCTAAAATAAGAAAATTGCAAAATCAAAATTAATTAAACTTCAATCAAATGTTTGCAGAGTGTATTGTTTTGCCAACTATTCAACCACAACTCAACTCAGATAGTTAAATATAAATGAGATTCCATGTATTTGTGTACCAATGAGTTCATTTGTAATCTTTGATATGATGTGGGATGCAGTCATCCAAAGTAAGGAGGCACTATGCCAGGGAGGAAAATACACTGGCTTAAACTGAGCCCCTCCCTGCAGTGTCACCCCACATCCAGAACCCTCAGGTCACCAGGGACATGTCAAGGAGCAGGTTGAGGAACCCCTGGAGCCCCTGAGAAAGAGCTATAGAAGGAAGATACACCAATAGAAATTGCCCCTACTTTATGGTTTTCACCACTTAACATTTAGACACATCTACCGTGTCCAAGTGACTGAGTTGACACATTGGGGCATAGTCCTTCCACTTAAAGACTTTATAATCAAAGAGAAAAAAAAAATGTGTGCTCAGATATTTGCAATACAGGCACAGTCAGTGATGTGTGCCTGTGAGTGGCTGAAATATAGAGGAACAGTTTGCTTTAGGCGACAGAGATCAGGAGGTCAGCCAAAGCTAGTCTAAACTCGCCAACCAGTGGCGGCCTGGACAATGCCCATCCCATGACCTCTCTATTGCTCCCAGGGAAGTCCAATGGCTAGAAAACTCTGAAGCTGATGCTGATTCTTTAGTACCAGCTGATTCTTTAGTACACAGCCTGTCAGATCTTTAGATACACTTTGCGCTGAACCCTCCACCCACCCACCCTAGTTCCTTTCTTGTCTTTTATATTCATTCATTTTTTGATTGGTATAACTCATTTATCATAAAAATCACCCCTTTAAAGTGTAGAATTCACTGGTTTTTAGTATGTTCAAGTAGTGCAACTATTAACACTATCTGATTTCAGAACATTTCCATCACTCCAAAAAGAAACCCTGTACCCACAGAATCATTCCTTTTGCCACACTGTCCTCAGTTCCTGGCAACCACTCGTCTACTTTCTGTCTCTATACATTCACCTATTTTGAATATTTTATATAAATGCAATCACATAATATGTGGTCTTTGTGAGCAGTGTCTTTCACTTTGCATAATGTTTTCAAGGTTCATCCATGTTGTGGCATGTATCAGAACCATATTCCCTTTTTATTGACAAATAATATTCCTTTATGTGCATATACTAAATTTTGTTTACCCACTCATCTATTGATAGAGTTTGGGTTGTTTCCAGTTTTTAGCTATTATAAATAATGCTGCTATAAACATTCATGTATAAGTTTTGTGTGGACATATGTTTTCAGTTCTCTTTGAGTGGAATTGCTGGGTCATATGGTAACTCCACATTTAATCTTTGAAGAACTGCCCAACTTTTCCAAAGTGGCTGCACTATTTTACATTCCCACCAGCAATGTATGAGGATTCCCAATTTCTCCACATTTTCACCAGTAATTGTTCGTATCCATTGCTTTTATTAGAGCTATTTAGTGGATGTGAAGTTAGACCTCATTGTAGTTTGACTTGCATTTTCCTAATGACTAATGATCCTGATCATCTTGTCATGTTTATTTACCATTTGAATATCTTCTTTGGATAAATGTCTATTCAGATTCTTTGTCCACTTTAAAATTTGATTATTTGTACTTTTATTGTTGAGTTGTAAGAGTTCTTTATATATATTACAGAATCAAATTCCTTATGAAATACACAATCTGTCAATATTTTCTTCCATTCTGTGGGTTGTATTTTTACTTTCATGATGGTGTTCTTTGAAGCACAAAATTTTTCAATTTTGATGAAGTCCAATGTATCTATTTTTCCTTTCGTTGTTGTACTTTTGGAGTTATATCTAAGAAGCCATTGACTAATACAAGGTCTGAAAGATTTGCACCTATATTTGCTTCTAAGAATTTTATGTTAATGGTTAGCTCTAACATTTAGGCCTTTCATCCCTTTTGAGCTGATTTTTGCCTACGATGTGAGGTAGGGGACTAACTTCATTCTTTTGCTTGTGGGTACCCATTTGTCCCAGCACTATTTTTAATTTTTATTTTAATTAATTAATTTATTTAATTTTGAGGCAGGGTCTCACTCCTGTCATCAAGGCTGGAGTGTATTGGCATGATCTTAGCTCACTGTAGGCTCTGCTTCTGGAGCTCAGGTGATCCTCCCACCTCAGCCTCCCAAGTAGTTGGGACCATAGGTGTGTGCCATCACGCTTGGCTAATTTTTTGTATTTTTAGTAGAGACGGAATTTCACCATGTTGCCCAGGCTGGTCTTGAACTCCTGGACTCAAGCAATCTGCCTGCTTCAACCTCCCAAATTGCTGGGATTGCAGGTGTGTGCCACTGCGTCAGGACATCCAGCACCATTTTTTAAAAGACTATTCTTTCCCCATTGAATCTTGCCACCCCTGTTGAAAATCAACTGACCATAAATGTAAAGGCTGATTTTTGAACTCTCAATTTTATTCTGTTGATACATAGAGCAATGGGCTAGTATCACAGTCTTGATTATCATAGCTTGTAATATGTTTTGAAATTAGAAAGTATGGGTTCTCCAACTTTGTTCTTTTTCATGCTTTGGTTATTCTGGGTCCCTTGCATTTCCATATAAGTTTTAGAATCAGATTGTTGATTTATGCAAAAATATAGCTAGTATTTGGATGGAGACTGTGCTGTATCTGTAGGTTAATGTGGAGAATACTGACATCTTAAAAAGAAGTCTCCTGATCTATGAATATTGGATCTTCCCATTGATTTAGATCTTCTTTAATTTTCTACATTTGTCTTTCACTTTTTTTGGTTAAATTTATTCCTGGGTATTTTATTCTTTTTGATGCTATTGCAAATGGAATTGTTTTCTCAGTATCATTTTTTGATTGTTTATTGCCAGTGTATAGAAATAGAATTTATTTTTATATATTGATTTTGTATTCTACAACTTTACTGAACTCTTTTATTAGTTCTCATAGGGGTTTTTGTAGTTTTATTTTTAGGATTATTATCTATGTACAAAATCATGTCACATGCAAACAGAGATAATTTTAATTCTTTCTTTTCAATCTGATAACTTTTACTTCTTTTCCTTGCCTAACTGCCCTAGCTAGAACCTCTGGTATAACGTGGAATAGAATTGGCAAGAGTAGACATTTTTACTGTATTCCTGATCAGTTTTTTACCATTAAATATAATGTTAACTGTGAGTATTTTGTAGATGCTGTTTATCAGGTTGAGGAAGTTCTAAGTATATTGAGTGTTTCTATCATGAAAGGGTGTTGGATTTTTTGTCAAATGCATCTTCTATAGCTATTGAGATGAGCATGTAGGTTTGGTCCTTTATTCTTTCAATATGGTATACTACATTGATATATTTTCATATGTTTAACCAATCTTGCATATCTGAGATAAATTCCACTTCCAAGTCTTTTTTTTTCCAATGAAATGCATACGGTTCCTTTACTACTTATTGCTAATTTGAGAGCTAGAGTCAGGTCAGGTGAAAAGTAGAGCTCTTTAAAAAATCCAAAGAGAGGTAGAGCCAATGGGAGAGTAGCCTCCTGGTTCTGAGATTTTATTTTGCAAAGGATTTTCACATTGCTAGCTTCTGCTCAGTGGCTCTTTGAATAGAAGTATTATACATATTTAGACAAATGTGCCCCTACTCGTGGATTATTCCTCCCTTATGACAGCAACAGACATACAGATTATATATATATTAATAATATATTTATATAATTTGTTTTTCAAAGTTACGTTGGAAAATCTGAAAATGGAGAAAAGAATCACCCATAATAATCTTACTGTTTCACCAGAACTATGGATAGCTTTCTGGGGTATGGCAGCCAGGTTAGGAGGTATAACTTATGTACAGAAAAACATCACCTTTTTCGAGGAATACGGTTCTATGAATTTTAATAAATTCAGAGTCATGTAGCCAACTCCACAATCAAGAGACAGAACAGCCTCGTCAAAAATGTTTCCTTTTGTGCTCCTTTGCAGTCAATCTTCTTTCTCCACATAAAGCTCCTGACAACACCTTATCTGTCCTCTGTCTCTATAATTTTGCATTTTCCAAAATGTCATATAAATATTTAGAATAATGTAGTATGTAGCCTCTCATGTCCGGCTTCTTTCACTTAGCATAATGCTTTTGGGGTTTATCTATGATGCACGTATCAGTAGTTCATTCCTTTTTATTGCTGACTAACATTCCACCGTATGGATGTACCACAGTTTGATTATCCATTCTTCAGTGGATGAACATTCGAGTTATTTTCATTTTTTGGCAATTATGATTAAGGTGCTATAAGCAGCTTTACACATACACATACAGCCTTTTGGTTGCATGTGAATATTCTCTTTGATAATATTCTCTTTCATGTCTCTTGGGTAAATACTCAGGAGTGGGACTGCTAGGTCATATGGTAAGTTTATGTTTAGCTTCATAGGAAACTGCCCAGTTGCTTTCTGAAGTGGCTGCACCACTTTGTCGTAGTAGCATCATCCCACCAGCAATGCATGGGGCTTCCAGTTGCTCACAAACTTGTGAGTACTTGGTGAGGTCAGTATGTTTCTTTGTTTTTAAAAATTGCATTCATTCTGGTAGATGCACAGTGATCTCAAAGTATTTTTGATGTGTTTCTATTTTTTTTCATATTTGCATGTTTTTCACTGGAAATCCAAGTTTACATCCAATTTTGTATACTAAATTTTCATCTAATAGTAAATGGAGCCCTTTTCCACATGGTCATCATTTTAAGATTGACTAATATTCCACTGAATGGATGTGAGACAAGCACCTCTTGTTGGTGTTGGGTTGTTTCTGATTTTTGTTGCTATAAGCCACACTGCAATAAAAACATTAACTTGTTTTTTTTTTTTTTTTTTTTTTTTATCTTTTAGAGTAGTTCCACAGATTAGAGTCCCAGAAGTGGGATTCCTGGGTCAAAGGGTATAAACATTTTTATGACTTTGGATTGCTTTCTGAAAGGGTCTTATCTTTTTACAAGATCACCAGGAATATTCAACAAATATTCAGGACACTCTTGTTAATATTAAGAATTTTCATTTAAAAAGATTTTTAAAAAAATACACAGAAGGATTACTTCTTTAAATTTTCATTTATTTGTTTAATTTACATTTATTTGATTTCTAGTGAAGCTGAACATCTTTCAATATTTTTGTTTACTGGTTGTGTTTTCTATAAATTATGTTGATGTTCTTAGCTTATTATTGGAACTTGATATTTTCTTGTAAATTAGTATGATCATCTTAAATAACAAAGATTTTAACTCTTTGTCATAGTAGCTACTAATATTTTTTCAATCTCTTGGTTGCCTTTTTTTTTAACATGCAGAAGTGTTTTGTTCTTCTATATTGTCAAATTTGTCACTCTTTTCCTCTGAGGGTTTCTATATTGCTTCTAAGCTTAGAAAAATCATTTTCATCCCTCTCCTGAGGCTTGATAAACGGTCAATTTAATTTTCTTCTAGATTTTCTTGAGGTTTAAAAATAATTATCTCTGTATCATATAGAGTTTATATTGATATATAATGGGATATAAGACCCTAAGAAATATATTTTTCAACATGATATCATAATTTTTTTTTTTTTGAGATGGAGTTTCACTCTTGTTGCCCAGGCTAGAGTGCAATGGTGCCATCTCGGCTCACTGCAATCTCTGCCTCCCAGGTTCAAGCGATTCTCCTGCCTCAGCCTCCCAAGTAGCTGGAATTACAGGCACCCGCCACCAAGCCCAGCTAATTTTTGTATTCTTAGTAGAGACGGAGGCTTCACCATGTTGGCCAGGCTGGTCTCAAACTGTTGACCTCAGGTGATCCACCTGCCTCGGCCTCCCAAAGTGCTGGGATCACAGGCGTGAGCCACTGTGCCTGGCCCATGATATCATAATTTAAGTAAAATAGTCTATAAAGGCACTAAAAGATTGAGCCTAAATTCATCTTAATGTGATGACATGTTAATTTTGTGTTGTTTCCTCTCTCTCAGATATTAGGTGTGCATTTAACAGGGCTTATTAATAAACAATGGCTGAACTCTAAACGTTGACACGGGGGAGGGATATGCAGGAGGCCGATGGGATAACCACAAACCAGGAGGCTAAACAGGTCCCCATTCCAAATCAGGGGCCAAGGGTCACATACTTCTTCCCCTCTCCCTGAGTGTCTATTCCATTTGGCCACATTTTCAAAGCTCCTATCCTCCTCAGTTGTGGACAATTGCAGGCCTGCATCAGCAACTTCTCAGGGAACAGAAAGTTGCTCCTTCTGCACCCAGCTGGAACTCACTTTGGGAACCCTAGTGTTCAGGTTCCCAGTCTGTTAGATCAACCCATAAGGCTGTCAGGGGCAGCCTCCCTGATCTGTTTGGCTCCATAATACACCATAATCTAATCCATTTTTTGATGATGTCAAAAACAGATTATAACTCTCCTGCCTCACATTAATCCAGCAGAGGTAAGCCTTTCCAAATACTGTGCAATTTTATAATTGACTATATCCTTCTTCCACTCTTTAGCAAGATATTGGCAAATAAAACAAATTTTTAAAAACAAAACAAAACAAAAAGCCCATTCCTCAGACAGAGGCCTTCTGAATGACGAGGAGCCTGGCTATTGCCCCCATTTTTGAACAGATAGAAAAAATGTTTCATTTTTCACAGTTATGCTGGGGCGAAGCCATCGAGCAGGAAATCCACTTGGAAGCCCCAGAGAGCATGGGAGTGAGACAGCAGCTCACTGAGCTGAAGCTTCTCTCACCCAGGTCCCAATCAATACGAACATTGGCGGGGCCTCGATCCATGGCTGATGCCCTCATCTCCTCCCTGAGGGTTGAGGCGTGGGCTATGAGGGCAGGGGTGGAAGAGGCCGGGCTCCTCTGTCTAAATGAGGCAGGCTGTCCTCAGGGTCTGTCAGAACACTCTGTGTTTAGTTAAAAACTCTCTCCAAAAGAAAGAGCGTTAAGACGGAGAGCTTGAAGTGGATCCCGAGTAATTAAGTGTATAAATTAATTCTTCCCCTAAGAAATGTTCCTCTTCTATTATTAGATTTGACTCTCAGAGGAGCTACATCCAAGTAGTGGTTTTCCAGTTGTGTGTGTGTGTGTGTGTGTAAGTGTGTGTGTGTGTGTGTGTGCACATGAGCGCACATTTCTGGGCTTTGCTGCCTGAAGCCTACAATTAAAATAAGTGACATGAATGTGTCTTTAAAAGAGAGATCTGTGGAAAACTAACGGATTGTCTGTCAGCAGAAGAAAAAAAATGAAATATGGCTGCCTCCACCAGTGAATGGATGAATAGGAAAGTACTTGTCCATCCAAGTACCCAAAGGGATAAAACCCAATGATAGCCTTCTCAACTGCTTAGCGCATAATGCATGTGCTGTTTGGATGCTAGTAATGTGTTTTTTACTTCTTCCTATCTAAAAGGAATGAATCAAATATGAGGAGATCTGGGACATGATTTTCAACCCATTGCTTTTGATTAAGTGCCCGAACAGGCAGGTCCTGGGACTTGCAGTAATACTAATGGGGCATAAAGTGCTATAAAAAGGACGGGCCCTACTTTTGTCCAAATGCCATTATACTGGAATCAGAGACCCTGGCTGTAATATGTCCACAGTTAACCTTTTTTCTGACAGGAAATTTTCTCCATCCACTCACACCATCAATTATGCTGCATTTGGCCAGAGTGGTGACTGATCACTTTATTTCAAACAAAAGAGGCACACGTGCCAGGCTCCCAAATCTGGAACGTTGACTGCCGACGGCACTGGCCAGGAGAGGGGCTGGCAAGAGGACAGTGTTGACTGCAGGCTGGCAGGGCTTGGACAAAATTGTTCTTTTGTTTTAGGCTGGCTTTTCCGTGTAATCACTCATTTGCTTATTTTTGAAGGAGAGACGAAGTAACTGAAAACAAACTAATTATTATTTTGATCCTAAAAATAGTTAACTGATTGAGACTTTGGCTACCCAAACAGAGCCAATAGCTAACCACTAACCTGGTGAATATGACTGGCAGAAAGAATCTCAGTTGTTGGGATCTGCAACACGCAAGGAGAAGAGCAAAGAGAAGTGGGTTTACCTTTTGGGCTGATCTACCCAGGGGAAGGCTATTTGTTCACTGTCCTCAGGAAGCCAGGCCCACGGCTCTTGTCCCAGCCCTGCTCCAAGGACACCATTTCCCCAGAGCTCCCCTAGCTGCCACTGCACCATTCCAAACATTGTGATACATTTTTTGCAATCAGCAAGTTGCAGATTGTCCAACTGTTCTGTCATTTATTGTAAATGGCTGCAAAAAGAAAAAAAAAAAAAAGAAAAGAAAAAGGAAAAGGAAAAGAAAAAAATTCCACGATGCTATAACATAGTCCTGAGTGTAAATCAAACATTCCCTGTCATGTTGATAGCTTGTGTTAGTCTAATGTATTTTATATTACTCAAAAGCTTTGAAACCCTGCAGCTTTCTTCATATAGGCCATTATGCGGTTATCATTAGATTGTCTTGCAA
This sequence comes from Homo sapiens, assembly GCF_000001405.40. Lineage (NCBI taxonomy): Eukaryota > Metazoa > Chordata > Mammalia > Primates > Hominidae > Homo > Homo sapiens. The sequence continues at coordinate 47,511,523 of NC_000018.10, read as the reverse complement.
AGAACATTATCGGTAATTATAGCAGACACTAAAATCAAATGATCAGAGTGGGACCTTTAACACCAAGAGGAACCATTAGAAGTTAATCAAATAAAAGGATGAGAATAATTATGTTAGGATTAAGCAGTAATATGCCAGAAGTTATATAGTTTGCTGACTATATATCTTTACTCCCAGCTTCCTGAATTTCCTTTTCGTTGATGTGTTTTTATATAATACTTTGGCACAGAATGTAAACGACAATATTTTTGTCATGGCACAATTGGGCTTGAAGGTTCATAGGCGGTTCATATCTAAATGCCATCAGAGGCATGGAGGTAATGATGAAGATAGAAATAATAGTAATAAAAAAGTGCAAAGCTGGAAAAAAATCCATCGGTCAATGGAGCGTGGCAAAATGATAAAAATGGTTGCAACAGGCACAGGTGCAAGGAAAGTCGTTATTGGCTGGTTGCTCTGTCTTGGAGCATAAGGATTTCTCCTGCAGGCCTTGCTGCAAACCAGCATTAAAAAGCCAGCATCTTGCAGGCTCTCAAACTGCCCCTGCCAGAGCAGATATGTAGGATTATTCATGAGATGGGGACACTCACGGTGCCAGGCAGGAGAGGTGCTTGGTTCTCTCAGGCTGAGGGGGCCACTCCTGTCCCTCTCCAATCCCCCAAAACACACACCTCTGGCACCTTGCAGATATCCATGTGTACATTGCAATGGGTTGGCAGGAACACGTGGCCTAGAGGACTGAGAGTGGTGGCTCTAGCGGAAAAGAGGGTGACTCTCCCAAGGCGTGACTCATCTTATCTTCCAAATTAAACCTGAGCCACGGCTGGGCGCTGTGGCTCACACCTGTAATCTTAGCACTTTGGGAGGCCGAGGAGGGTGGATCACCTGAAGTCAGAAGTTTGAGACCAGCCTAGCCAACATGGCGAAACCCCATCTCTACTAAAAATACAAAAAAATTAGCCAGGTGTGGTGGTGATGCTTGCCTGTAATCCCAGCTACTCGGGAGGCTGAGGCAGGAGAATTGCTTGAACCCAGGAGGCAGAGGTTGCAGTGAGCCGAGATCGCACCACTGCACTCCAGCCTAGGCAACAAGAGCAAAACTCTGTCTCAAACAACAACAACAACAACAACAACAACAACAACAACAACAAAAACCTGAGCCACAGGACAAACGATGCCATTGTAAGAAGCTGGGAGGCAGAGAGAGTCTCTATGGTATGACCTTTTAAAAAAATTAAAATGTCCACTCCACTTTTTCCCCTTTCCCTTATAAATAAAGACCAGTTCAAAATAACAGGTTTGCCTTTGTGTCCCAGATTTGTGCTGGGGACTGGAGTACATGGATGAATAAGAACATAAAACTTTTTGCTTGAAATACTGCTCTTATGGCATACAAATACAAACAGCAAAATAATTTAAATGGTAGTACCTAGGCTAAACATTTCTATACTTTTCATGGTTTAATAATTTTGGGCACTTCATGATATTTAAAAATAAAGGCATTTCTCTGTTTCACTGAGGTCAAAACTGAGGCCCATCAGAAGTGAGGGAAGTTGAGGGGTAGAAGTCAGAACAGGCCTCTTTTGAATGTCCAGATGGCCTCCTCTGCTACTCTCACAGTGGCCCTGCTGGGGCATCAATTCCCATTGTCTTTCCCCTGGACTAACATGTTACCATCCATACCTCATAAGGAAACGAAGAAGCGATAAGGTCAAGGGTATGGAAAGGCTTTGAAAGGTTAAAAGTAGGCTTACAGAGCACAACTGGGGCTGCTTTTCCCCTGGCGAAAATTGTCTTTTATTGCTTCATGTGTTTTCAGATGGTAAAGACTTGCCTCCATTTGGGGACTTGGAAGGGGTCCCTCCAGGACAGAAGGCAGAGCCTGCGCTAAGTGATAAAGCAGAGGATAAACCTTGGGAGATGAATGGCTGGTGAACCCTAAACAGGCAGGGTTTGGGCTCAAAATATGTTAATTATTATCTGCTTGTCCAGTGAGCTCTAAACAGAAGGCCTCTCAGACCAGAAATAGGAACTTGAGAGAGATTTTGAAAGCAGAAGAGGCAGCTATCTGTTAGAGCTGGTTAAGAGCCCCAGGTCACATAGACAAGCCTGAGGAAGATGGCACACTCCCTCTCCCCCATCAGACCACATGGCTCCTAGAAAGACCAGGTCTAGAAGCCCATTTAGGTCCATGGGTCCAAAAAGCCAGGCTTCACCTACAGGTAGAAACAGTCCTAACAACAAGCTTGTTAATACACTTTAAATACAACTAAACCAACAAACCAACCAACCAAGCAAGCAAACAAACAAAAAAAACCAGTCTGGAGAGGATATCTTTTTCAGGGATTATAATTATGGGGCAAGAGGAAGAGTCTTGGGGGGACTGCACAAATACTAAATTGGACAGCAGGGCTCAGAAAAGACTGAGAATCTCTCCAGCCCTAGCAGCTATTCCAAACTAATTCCACCACTAACCTCAATCTGAGCATTGAATCTACTCAGAACTGAGAGGGCAGATCTGCGAGGCAAGAACATGAGAATTCACAGGCCCAGGGAAAGAGTGGCCAGGGAGGAGGCAATGAAAAGGTTGGCCTGGCCCCACTGAACAGATCCAAACAGATAAGGGACAATTTCAGCTAGGACATGTCATTTGAATTTTGTTGTTTGTTTTCGTCTTGTTTTTGTTGTGCTATTTTGTTGTTTTCTTGGTGACTCGCAATTAAATTCCCATTTCTGTGTTTGTTGAAGAGGATGCAAAGATGGTGACTGGGAAAATGGCAAGCACTTCTTGAAAGAAAGAAAAGAAACCCCAGAGAGGAAGTGAAGCCCACAGTGGGGCAGGATTGGGGGATGGGAACAAATAAGCAAGTTTCCTGGAACCTAGGGGACAAAAGAGAATCCTGCTTGAGGATTGGTTTTACATAAAGATCTGTGCCTTGGGACTTGGTTGGGAAAAACCAGTGTTTTCCCTCTCCACACTGTTAGTGAGTTCCTGTAACTGAAACCAGAAGAGAGGGAGGTAAAGATCAACCATAGTATCTTACAAAGCTCAATAAATGTTTGTGGATTGATTGATGTGGGCGTGTCCTTAAGATATTAGGAGAGAACATCTCAACTTCCATGTCATGATTTGGAACCTCCCCTTCTACTTGGCAGATGGGATGAACACAGTTGATATTCTCCCTATATACCTACTTTTACACTTACACAGTGTTTTACAAAAAAAAAGTTTCTGTTCCATTATTTCACCTGTGATTTCCAATAACCATGTTGGATAGAAACAGTGACATTTTTATCCCATTTTATTGATGAAGAAACCAAACTTAGTGAGGTAGGGGGTCTTTCTCAAGGTGACAGCTAATTGCAACAAAACAGGGACTGAATTCAGCCCTTCTAACCTGACTCTGACCACCAGCTCTGTCTTCAGTGTGCACACTCCTTTGGGGACAGTCCAAACAGGGACCAGCTTTGGGCATGTCATGAATTTTTGGAGTTTTTTCAAATGTAAAGCAGTCTTAAGCCTTTTTCTGATAATGAATGCATAGGTGTGGATGTGTGTGCCTTTGACCACCAAAGACAGAAGCAATCTTAGGAGACATTTGGCTAGCCACAAACCTCTGGCTATTTCCCAGGACTAATAGTGAGGTGACACGTAAGTCTGGTTGCGCAGTGAACATGTCACCCCCTCCTTGTGTTGTTTTCAAGGACAGACTGGATGAGTCTCGGAATAACTGCCCTGTTATTCAGCAGGCTTTAGAGGCAAGCAAGGTCTCCAGCAAATGTGGTCAAGCAGTGTCAGCCATGAGGGAGGGATGGAGCCAGAGGAATCCTTTCACACCCCCTCCCCACCCTCCTTCTATAGAGCTCTTAAATTAGCCCTGAAAACCCAGGTGTCAGCCATCCCCACCCCCGCCCTAAACAACCCAGATGAGCCACTAAAAATGCCAAGTAGAAATGAATGCCTAAATCACCCTGTCTCTCCGAAGGTAGAGTCTTGCCTAATCACACGTCAAATCATATTTTTTCTTCTGCAGACTTCTTTCAAAGTCTGATGGTCACAGAGACAAAGGTATCGCTTCAGCCTTAAGTAACTATTGAAGTTTTACCCCGATAGATTATTTGCTAGGAGTAACTAATGTAAAAAATGCCCTGTCAGACAACAGCTTGCTTTCATTTTTTTAAAGGGTAATATTTGGTTTCATCTTGCAACTACTTGGGAAAATTTAGCACTGAGTCAGAAAGGTTGGCCAACAAGTAGCACTTCATAAATTGCTGGAGCCCTAATCAATACATATTGTCATCCACTCTAGTCCTTCGGGCAGATTTCTCTCTGCCTTGAGTCGTTGGTGTATTTTATGAGGTTGTTACAGGCTGGGCTTGCATGGCCTGGGCCTAATGAACCTGTCACCGCTGCTATTGATTGACATGCCAGTGTAAGTGAGACAGGCGATTCCGATTGACTTCCTAATTACTGCTGCTGGGCTGCCTCGCCAACTGCTCAGGCTAGAGGTTAATAGTTTTGATGTTCAGCTGCTCCTAGCTGTGGAGGCCAGAGTGAAACTGGCTCCTCAGAAGTCAATACCTGAATCAAGTTCTCAAGGCTACTGCCGTGCCTGATCAATTAAGGCCTTCGTGTTCCTACTGGTGGTGGCTGACAAGAGGCTGATGAGTGGAGTTCAAAAGCAAATGGTTTAAGGGAGTTTAGGAGGCTCTAAAAGCACTACCCCATGGTCAAGGATTGTCAATGAAGAAGAATGGAATTGTGGGGGAGGAACACTGCACTAGGGTGTTGGCGATTGGTTTGGTTTTGGTTTTCTATCCTGACAATTGAAAATTGTTTCTTTTATTCCTCCAATGTCCAGAATTCTGCCACATGCTATGGACTCTGGAGAGTGTCTTAGTCTGTTTGGGCTTCTATAACAAAATACTCTAAACTAGGTAGCTTATAAGCAAGAGAAATCTATTTCTCACCGTTCTAGAAGCTGGGAAGTCCAAGATTAAGGCACTGTCAGATTCCTTGTCAGGTGAGGGCCTGCTTTCATTCATAGATGGTGCCTTCTAGCTGTGTCCTCATATGGTGGAAGGGGGAAGACAGCTCTGTGGAGACTCTTTTATAAGGGCACTAATCCCTTCCATGAGGGTGGAACCTAATAACCTAATGACCTAATAACCTCCCAAAGGCCCCATCTAACATTATGACATTGGTGATTAGGTTTCAACATATAGATTTTGGGAGTACAAAAACCATAGCAGAGAAAAGAATGAGATCACTTGCATTGATTTATCTATTCAGCGGAAACTAACAGAATGTTTACCTTATCCAAGGCATGGTATGAGTGTATGGATTTATGGTCATCTTTCATTGAGATTATGCCTTAAGAGTTGGGAATATTTTCACACCCATCATTTTATTTGAATCTCACAATACACTATGAAGTAGGTGGGGGATGATCACTATATCCATTCTCAATGAGAAAACTAAGGAGTACTCAACAAAGACAATTGACTCCCCTAATGCCATACAGCCAGGAAGTAGAGAAACAGAGCTTCAAAGACAGATGTTCTGGTTCTTAGTCTGATATTCTTGTCAGGATGCTGAGATGCCTGATGCTCGCAGTGCAAAAGCTTAAAAAGCAGTTGAGATAAGTAAGACCAGTATACCAATGTGTTAGGGATCTCTAAGAACACTGCCAGGCTCAGTGATTCACAAGGAGGACTCACAGGACCCAGGATGTAGTCATATTCATGGCTTATTACACTGAAAAGACACAAAGCAAAATCAGCAAAGGGAAAAGATGCATGGGGTCAAGGGCAAGGGAAACTGGATGCAAGCTTCCAAGAGTCCTTTCCCCAAGAGTGTCATACAGGACACACTTAATTCCTCCAGCAGTGAGTTGTGACAACACTTGTGAAATGTTGGCTATCAGGCAAGTGCAGTAGGGACTTAGTTCCCAAGGTTTTTTGGGGGGCTGGTCACATAGACATCCTCTGCCTGGCACATGCTGTAATTCCAGACCCAGAAGGAAAGCAGGTATTTAGTACAACCACATTATTTGTATAAACCATTTAGGCAGAGTTTAGGAATGGTTAAGAACACTCCTGAAATCCAAATTGCAAGACACCAGACAAGGGCTATTTTTACAGGCAAAAGATACAAGTCTCTGGCCTGCCATGTCAACTGTTTTATGAACAACCAAGAACACCAATGCAAGGCAAGAAATGGAAGAGCCTGTGAGGGGTGCAGAACAGCACATACAGTGCCAAGACAACTCAGAGGAGGAGGACTATGCTTCAGCAAAGACTTGAGATCCCGCCACTAAATCCACCATCCCAACTGCATTAATCATGCTTTTTATTTTCCGTATTTCTGATGCTTTGACATCTGAGGCCTTGCTGTGAGAACACAGCTGCCTAGCTGGGTCCTATTTTCTCAGCTAGTCCCTGCTATTCCCATTTCCCAAGGGCTCGACCCCATCTTCCTCCTTCTGTTAGTAGGAGGAGTTCCTGGGATGAGTAAGCATCTACCTGATTATGCTTTGGTCTCTGCTCTGCACTGTCTAAGTCATGCCCTCATATATCCTCCCCAGGTTGCAGACCCCATGAGTCCAAGTGGCCTGGCCTCAGATGGACTAGCATCATCATGGCCCTGTTTGGACTTCCTCTCTGAGAAAGGGGCTTCTTCTGCCTCTATTTTTCTCCTTGTCTGTCTTAGTTTTCTATTAAGTTCTCTTTTCCTGTGGCTCAATCCCTTTCTGTTCCTAGTGTGCACAATCACCTGGTCTGTTTCAAGCTCCTCTGGAGAATCAATGTTAAGGATTTTCCAACCGCAGTGGTGGAGGCCTGCTCACAGGCTTCCTTCCCTGAGTCAAAGAGGAAAGCTGCCAGATGGCCTGCAGGCTGCAAAGTGCTCATTTAGGAAGGCTAGATCCACAGTGACGGTGTAACATGTTCATCTCACTTGCATCATACCAAAATATGAAGCAGATGAAAAATTGAGGGCTGGAGAAGTTATTTGCTTCAGACCATCACTATAAAGCAGCCAGGCCAAAAGTGGGAAAACTAATTTATCCCAGTAGTAATTTGTTCATTTCCATTGCTGTATAATATTCTATGGTATGAATACATCACAGTGTATTCATTCTATTGTTGATGGACATTTGGGTTGTTTCCAGTATTTGGCTGATACACTGGAATGGTGCTACGAGCATGACTATAGATATTTCCCGAGGTGTATTTTCCTAAGAATGGAAGTACTGAGTGGCAGGATATGCATACCTTTAACTTTATTAGATGCCAAACTTTCTCCAAATAATTTGTAATATTTTATACTGTCACTGGGAATTTTTATCATTCTTTTTCCTTGCTTGCACTTTTTTCCACTTCACATTTTTAAATTTTTGCCAATTCTATGAATGTGTAGTGGTATTTTATTGTGGTTTTAATTTTCATTCCCTCAGCATCCTCTGGGTAATCACAGGGACATTATAAATCAGTCACAAGCAAAGGGAATGAAATTACGTGGATAGGATTTAGGGCAATGTTGATTTATTCCCCTGGGGCTGGGGAGGAGTTGTCCTCCTGAGGCACTTGGGAAGAGGCATACTGGATCAAGATGGTGCTTCCACCCCTAGAAAAGCAGGAGGAGGAGGAAATCATTGTAGATGGGTTCTCTCAGTGCCTGCCCTACCCAGGACTGACTTCAAGAGGGGGCAACCTGTGCAGTCACTCAGGCCTGCCCTCAGCTTGGTTTAATTCTCTGCTGCCACCATCTTAAATTATTTTATCTGTCTTTTATTTTATTTTTTTTTTTTGTGAGACAGGGTCTCACTCCATTATCCAGGCTGGAGTGCAATGATGCAATCTCTGCTTACTGCAACCTAGAATTCCTGGGCTCAAGCAATCTTCCTGCCTCAGCCTCCCGAGTAGCTGGGACCACAGGCGTGTGCCACCATGACTAGCATTTAAATTTCTTGGTAGCATTTGAAAAAGGAGCCCTGATTTTCATTTTTACACTTTGGCCATCACATACCTGGGCACGCCTGCCATGACCCTCACTCTGTGCTTGGCCACAGTGAATTTCCCATGGTCCTCAACACACAGCACAGCAAACACACTCGTCCCTCTGTCTAAGTCAGTGCTAACCAGTCTGACTCTGAAAATCAGTAGTGACTAGCTATTCAACACTTGAAATGTAGCTAGTCGAAATTGAGATGCACTATAAGGATAAAATCAAAACTGGATTTTGAAGGCTTAGTATGAAAAGTGTAAAATAGCTCATTAATGATTTGTATAGTGATTATATGTTGACATAATATTTTGGATATACCTGGTTAAAATCAAATAACGCTATTAAAATTAATTTTACCTTTTAGTTTTTAAAAATGGTGCTATGTGTATTAGAAAATGTCAAAAGATATATGTAGCTCCCTTATATTTTAGTGGCCAGCACTGGCCTAGAACACTCTGTGTTCACCCTGCCTCTCTTCCTCCTTTAGATTCTGGTTTCTCATCATAAATAATCAGGAACTTTTCTGTGCACCCTTGGCACCCTGTTGAGATCAGCTACTTGTATCCTCCAGGAAATGGTGACTCACTGTCTCATTCCAGCTGTAGCCCTAGTAGCACCTAGTCCAGTGCCTGGCACATAGTGGGTCTCAAAATCATGTTGAGAAAATTGCTTGCAGGGCTCTCCCCAGTCCTGACTTTTTTCTTCCTTATTCCCTTTCTTTGTACCCGCCTCAGTGAAGAAATTCAAGATCACTGTTTCCAAGTGAGTGATGATGAAACCCCTTCCCACTGTGGTGGCTCTTAACCTTAGCTGCATGTTGGAAACACTTGGGGAGCTGTAAAAATACTGACACCCAGGTCCCACCCTCAGAGATTCAGATGTAATTAATCTTGGGTGAAGCAAAAAGAGGTCGAAAAGATCCTCAGCTAACCCTAATGTGCAGCAAAAGCTGAGAACCACTTAGAGTCCGCCATGGACTTGTGGGTGTCACATCACCAAATCTTCCAGCAATTGTTGTTGGTCCTCACATCATGGAAAGTGGAAAGGAGGCAACACACTAGCAACATCACCTCTTAAAGGACACATTAGTTCAGGGCAAACTCTCCTCGCCATCAACGGAGCTAAGGAAGCTGTCTGTCTATGAGGTCTCTCCCAAGAACCCTCTCTCATCACATATTAAGAACTCCATTGGGTCCCACTTTAGTTCACAGATGCCACCAAGCAGCCATCAGCTGGTAATGATTTCTGGTCAGATGCAAACAATTAAGTCAGGGAGAAAAGAATCCACATTCCATTACCAATCCCCTATACGGCTCACTCCCTGGCCTAATTGCCTTCTGAGTTCCCCAGACAGCTGCGGCTAATAAGGCTAACGCCCTGAAGAGCCAAAACTTGAACCCAGAAGGAAAAGACTTGGGAGTAGATTCAAATGCTCAGCCCATCCCAGGGTCAGCCGTGAGAACTGCTGACCCAACAGCCAGGAAGCGATCGCCCATGTTACTGAAGCACCCTCTCTCCCCACCTCTCTGCCTCCCCTTTTTTGTAGACTCTTTCCAAAAATCTCAAGGCAACTGCAGCCTGATTTTTGATGGATTGGCCACTGTGTTTTATTCGACAATGTATATCACTCTGCCAATATGAATTTGCAAGATGGTAAAAATACAACCCCCCGAAAAGATTACATGAAAGGGGAAAAAAATCATTAGGCAATTAAGAATGGCAATAATTCACCCATATCTATGCTTTGGGAAGAAATATTGCCCTGGGGAATTAGTTCTGCTTATCACTTTGTCATCTGTCTGGAGTATGAGTGAGCAGAGGTTTCATGTGCATTGCTGATGATATCCCGCAGTATTTCTAAGCATGATCAAAACGAATGCCAGGCTTTTAATAGAACTGGGTCTCTCTTGGGGTAGCCGTAATTTGTACATAGGAAGCCAAGTTATGAAATTAACTAAACATATGCATTCCTTAAGCACCTTCACATAACTTCCTTTCAGAGAAACCATCTGACAATAGAATTTTTGAGCTCGATGTGACCTTAGAGGTCATTGGCCATTTTTATGAAGGAGGACATTTAAGGCCCAGAGAGGGAAAGTAATTTTTCTAAGGTAACACAGCTCATAGAGACAAAGATATACCTAAGATTCCAGGCTTCCCAATTCACAATCTGGCAGGACTCTTTCTACTCCACTATAGTGCCTACTCCTTGGCCAACTCATTATCCATCAAGGAGCTAGAGGAGAAGTTGGGACCTAGTCCCTCAAAACACTCACTTAGAAATCCCCCTTTCTGGGGCACCTTCCTTGGCCTCCATCCCACACTAGGCTGCAGTGAGTGCTCTATCTCCACCTTATGCCTGCCTCACCATCACACCCCTCACACTATGACATCATAGTGACAGCCCAACTTCTGCCATGCGTGACTCAGTAGACTAGAAGGTCTTTGAGGTCAGATCAGGGATATTTTACGTTCACTTTAATGTCCTCAGTGCCTAAAACATACTAGTGTATCTGTAAATGGGATTTGGATAAATAAATAAGGTATGGTTGCTCTTGTCTTGAGGAAGAAGGGAACTATTCTTTGTTCACTCCTTGTGCTTCAAGATGACAGACCGACTTCCCTTATCTCTTTGAAGGGACACAGAGAGAGGGTCTTTGGACATCTGATGCTATAAGAAATTTCTTATCTATAATCCTGCTGTCTCCACTGACCTCCTCCCCCTTCATCCTTGTTTCCCTGCTCCCCTAAAAGAGTGCACCATCTAATCAGCCCAGTTGCCTCCACGTCCATGAACACACCAAATTCATTCTCACTTCTATGCTGGGTTCCTGTTGAGACCCTTACCTGAAAGTCCTCCTTCTCCTTCCCCCCTCTGTACACTCCATGGAGCTGTCCCTGATTAGCCTCACGCCACACTGATTGTTACACTGTATTATCATCTATAGCACTTGATCCGCTTCACCCCTTCTAAAACCATGTTACTCACCATTGCATGTTGTTTGCTAATTGTGTTGTGTGTAAATACTGATATTCTAAGAAGACTGTAAATACTCTTAGGAGTCACAACTTCTTTTATACCTGTCACAAAACACTTTCTATATGTGAACAGATGAAATGTTAAGATGCATATCTAATGATCAGGACTTGAAAGCATCTTCACACCTTAGGATGCTCTCCTTTAAGTAGCCATCCATAATCTGCTGTAGGTGGTTTGAGAACCAGTAGCACTGTAGACCTCACACGGCAAACCAGAGACAGGTAGGAAAGTGTGAAGTGGTCACAGGGAACACATGGCAGTCATGCCTGCTCAGTCAGTGTTGGAATCCGCTGCATGCAACAGAAACCTGATAAGAGTGCTGTGGCAGATTGTGTTTTACAAAAATGGCCATAGCCACACTTCTGGTGATGGAGGCAACACTGCATGATGTACAAGACTAGGTAGTGAAGGATAACCCGTCTTGTGCCTGGATCTTACTCTCTTGGGATGTTTGACCTTGGAACCCAACCACTATGTTGTAAGGAAGCCCAAGCCACAAGGAGAAGCCACATGCAGGAATTCTAGCTGGAGTCCCAGCTTAGATCTCAGTCACCGGTCAATGTCACCCACCAGACATGAGAGGGAACAAGCCTTCAGATAACTCCAACCCCTCTAATCTCCCAACTGACCTCAGGTAGAGCAGAGATTGGTTGCCCTCACCTACCCAGACTGCAGGTTCATGAGCAAAATAACTGTTGTTGTTTCAAGTCATGAAGATGTGGGTGGTTGGTTACAGATTAGACAACCTGAATGAGTGCTTAACCAAATTAGATGTTACTTTTCTCTTGTAACAGAGTTTAGGAATAGGTAGCCCAGGTGCAGAATTCAAGGAACAGGCTCCTTCTCTCTTCCTGGTTCACCATCCTTAGCATGTGACTTTGGTTTTTAAACTTGCAAGGTGACTGCTCCACCAATGGGCACCAGATCCAAGTTCCAGGCCAGAAGAATGGGAGAGGGAATGGGGGAATAAAAAGTATAATGCCCTTTAGCAGCTGAGTCTGCCCTCTTTTACAAGCTCTCCTTAAACACTTCATCAGAAACTTCCTGGATCATCTCAAGTCTCATTGGCCTGGGGAAGCTGAGGATGTGTGAGTGTGCATGAGTATGTGTGTGTGTGTTTATGCGGATAACATCTAACTTACAGGATTCCATTAAAATGATATGAGATATGAGCATAGTGCCTTGTATAAAATGACTCAATAAATGCCAGTCATTTGTTGTTAATATTCTTACCTACCCAGTTGCTGTGTCACATTACTTTGTGTGGACTGTAGCAAACATTAAGCCATGACTGATAACAGCTCCATTCCTTCCAGGCACACCTCTGTTCCTTGCACACTAAAATAACAGGAGCACAGACCGTTCCTTGTTTTAAAACTTAGTGCATGATGTCAGATACACTCTCTAATAACTTTTTCTCAATTGTTTTATTCTGTTAGGTATTAATATGCCAATGTGTTCCTTTAGTCACATATTAAGCAATAAAACTTACATCTTAATATTCCTTATGCCCCATCTCTCTGAGACAAATAGAACAGTTATTTCCAAGATTTGGCTAGTGTTTATTGATTTGGAAATACTCTGATTGAGGTGAGTGTTTTTAACTAGACACATTGCCATGCTGAATAAATTTAAATTTGATAAATGATAAAGAATGGGAGGATGGACATTGAATAGGCACCAAGCAGGGTCTGCTGTAACCAGTGAGCTTAGCAGTAAGCTCCGGAAAATCTGAGCCATGTTCTTTCTTTTGGAAAACAGTCCCCAGTAGGGGACTTAATGTGGCTCCAAAACCATTTTCTACTTCTTCAGGGAGGTGGGATGTTTATGGACCTAGGTGATCTTTTTCTTTGTTTTGTTTTAGCATAAAATTCCTTTCCAATGCATCCACTTAGCAGCACTAACAATGTGCAGGAATAAAGTGACCCTTTTATAAATGCCAGTGAGAAGAATGTCTTGTGACCACACAGCAATACACAGGGCTGCCACAGCACTCCACTAAAATCAAATTTCACCACCTATGCTGCAGTTAAGGGCTGTTTTCCACTGTCTTCCCTCGTAGACTGTGAGATCTGCAAGGATTTGTGTGGCCGGTGCGCAGCACATAGAGGGCACTCAGTAAATGCTGGCTGAGTGAGTGAGTGAATAAACCTTACTGGAACAAACAGGTGTAGAAAAATTTCGAGGGCTATACCTCGCACTTAGACCAGAGGCTTGGTTTTTGAAGGAACTTTCCTCAGGATGACATGAATTTGTAATCTGAGTTTCCCCAGGCCTCGCCAGCCTGTGGGTGTAAATGGAGTAACATGAACAGCAATTACTCAAATTCCTCCTTCCACTGCATGATGCAGACACTCCGGCTGCCTTCAAAGTGGCTCCCAGATCTTTTTGGGATCTCCTGGGGTTGTCCCACATGAGCTCATGTTCTGTCATCCACTCCTTTTCTCGTCTCTGCATGTGCTCCCCAAGAAGCCATTAGAGGCAGAATCTCTGTGACATTTACTGCTGAAGCTCTGTGTTGGGTAGCTGGTACATCCATGCCCAAAGGGCTGTCTCTTAGGGCTTCCAGAGCTGCAGACCCTCAGGTAGGGTGACCAACTTATCTTGATTTTCTCAGGACTTTCCTGATTCTGGAACTGAGAGTCTTATTAGGCTGATGCAAAAGTAATGGCAGTTTTGCCATTACTTTAAATGGACAGTTGGTCACCCTGCAGGGAACCCACTGGTGCTGCATGCCACCCCCACCCGCCCCACCGAGAAAACTGGTCCTCTCAGTCTCACTCTGGGTTCCATGATGAAGTGGGAAAGGGCTGCTGCCCCCAATTCTGTGTCTCGGTTTGTCACTTGGGACACAGCAACACCGTGAGGTCTCATCAAGACCCTTATGCAAACAGCTCTTCATTTCCCTCCTTCCACAAAGCTCACACCTGCCTCAGTAAGGAGAGAGAGCTGCTGCTTTTCCCTTTCCAGGCTTTTCCATAACTCTTCTCTGGCCAAAGACCCTCATTCAATTCAAATTATAGTGGGCCCATTACAGGCATCACACGTGCTCAACCCTGTATGACTCTCCTGAGGCTAGAGCTGGGTCCCCTGCTCCAAACACATCCCCAATTAAAGGAAGTGAACCTCCCATATTATTCTAGTAGTTAATCTTATGTGTCAATTTGGCTACACCACAGCGCCCAGATATTTGGTCAAACATTATTCTGGATGTTCCTGTGAACATATTTTTCTTGACGAGATGAACTTTAAGATGGTGCTTCAAAGAAAACAGATTTACCCTCCATATTGCAGATGGGCCTTGTCCAATCAGTTGAAGTCCTGAGTAGAATAAAGACTGACCTCCTCTGAGCAAGGAGTTGGGCCAGCAGACAGCCTTTGGACATGAACTGCAGCCCTCCCCTGAGTCACCAGCCTACTGCCTATCCTGCAAATTTTGGATTTACCAAGACTTCCCAATCTTATGAGCCAATTACTTAAAATCTTTATCTCTCTCTCTCTCTCGTGTGTGTGTGTGTATGTGTGTGTGTGTGTGTGTGTGTGTGTGTGTGTGCACGTGCACATTTCCTTTTGGTTCTATTTCTCTGAAGAAATCTAATATATGTATCAAAACCTCTTAAAATCACCTCTTACTTGACATGCCCAAGGAAAATAGAAGTAATTTTCTTCCTTAATTTTGCTATTGCAGGGAACTGCATTAGAAGGACAGGGAACTGCCAAGGGGGAAAAGATGGACACAACCCAGGCCCTGCTCTTGAGGTGCACACGTGCTAGTTGGGTCACATGGCACGCCAGCATTTCTCAAACTGTGATTCACGTAATAGTACCCTGAGATATGCTCCTTGACAAAAGGATCCTTGGTCTGAGGAGTTTGGGAAACACCACTTGGAGAGATTTTAATTAGGGTAACAATATGTCCTAATTTACTTGGGGTAGTCCCAGTTTTCGTTGATCGTCCTGATATCACTTGTAGTGGCACCCCCTTCTAGATATGGTCACCTGGTAATAAGTGCAGATATGGGCATATTAAAGGCTCTGAGTCATCCTGCTTTAAAGAAGCCCATTTACCTTTGTTAAACCTGATGTTTTCCCAAATGCATCTGAGAATGGGGTATTTTACACTGATGTCTATTGACGCTTCCAAGGATCAGTGTTCAAAAGAACACTGACATAGACAGAAGTAACAATTGAGTAACAATCCACACACGCCCAGTAAATTAGAAGGGCGAGAGGGCCAGGAAAGTCCTCTTGACAGAGGGGACTTGCACTGGGCCTTGAACAATGAGCAAGATGTTGACAGGGAGAAAGGAGATAGGCGTTGACTTCATGTGGAGAAGCAGCATTGGCCCAAGTTTGCTGTTCTCAATTTGAGGAAGACAGGGCCTTGGAACAACAAATCAGCTAGAAGAAAAGGTTTCTCTCAATTATTTCCATTCTTTTTATTATTTCTTTTAAGGACAGGGTGTCACTCCCATCGCCCAGGCTGTAGTGCAGTGGTGCGACCACGGCTCACTGCAGCCTCGACTCCCTGAGCTCAGGTGTTCCAACCACCTCAGTCTCCCAAGTAGCTGGGACCACAGGCACGCCACCACACTCAGCTAATTTTTGGTAAGTTTAGTAGAGATGGGGCTTTTCCATGCTGCCCAGGCTGGTCTTAGACTCCTGGGCTCAAGCAATCTGCCCGCTTGGCCTCCCAAAGTGTTAGGATTACAAGCATGAGCCACCACACTCAGCCTAATTATTTCCATTCTAATGTTTCCATTCAAACTACCTGTTTGAATCACGGCTGTTAACACAGTCTCATCACCTCACCCTAGTGGACAACAGAGAGCCCTCCCCACGGAGTAGGAAGCCAACACATAGTCACCAATTGATAAGTTGACTAAGGAAAGAAACTGTGGTTGAATTAGTTAACATAGTTGTACAGAATTCATCAGCATCCCAGAAGTCAGGACCCATTAGTCTCAGCTTCTGAAATATCTCTATCTAATTGTAGGCTTATAGGCCACATTAAGCTAGGAATGGCCACGTCAGCAAGTAGTTGAATCTAGTGCAGTGGTTAAAAACCATCAACTTTACTCATTTGGGCATAGCAGAGGCTCCACTCTGGGGTTTGAAGGTAGCTGTTGTTGAGCACCTGATTCTTAGCGAACACAAGAAAAGGTACAGGCAGCAGGCTATGAGATTGACAGGTCCCCAAATGATGTCAGCAAGCCAGAGTGCACATTTGATTTTGCCCTAGCCCATTAGGCAGGATGTAAGGGCAGGGTCGGGGCATAAGTGCCTTAAAATGTCACTCACAGTCTAAGTCTAGCACCCCACAGGCACTTAGCAAAATATTCTGTAAGGTGAAAGAAATAAGTGTTGAATTTATACAGCTGCTCTGAGCACTATTTCCTCATCCACCAAGATAGGTTAATGAATCCTTTCTTCATGTGTTCAGTAACTGAGATATCATTTGAGGCCCCCATCTCTCTTAGGGTCATGGTAAGACTAACTCAGGTTTTCTTTCCATAGGCTAGGGAAAGGCCAACCCTTTCCCAAGATTTCTGCAAACCCCCATCTCTGAGCCCCAAATACTTTGAATTTGTTTCATTTGTAGAACACTTTGCTGTCCCAAGCCAGCTATCTCCATTGGATATAGAGTTTACCTGGCTCAGAACTCAGAATAAAATTTCCATTAATTTCCAGGCATACCCATGAACACAAGGCATTTAGCGTGTAGTAGACTTTACTGAGTATTTGAAGAGGTGGAAGGAATTCTACGAAAACAAGCTACTCGGAAATTAATACCAGACATCCTTCTACATTAAGAAGAAAATAGTAACTACAAAAGGACCTAGGCCATCTCTACAACTCAGGCTCCAGAGTAGCGCTGCACTCTTCCCCCTTCACCTTGTTCTTTCTATTGGCTTTCTCTCACCAGAGCAAAAAATCCATTTCTCTAACTTCTTTATGTAGAGATGCTCTGTTTGTTACCCCAAACTCCCACCCAGACCTGCTTTGCACAGTCAAGGATTCCCTTGAAGCCAGGAAAAGAAATCTTAGAGATCTTAACTACACTTTTCAGCCAAGGGTCAAGGCCTTTCTCTTCTCTAGTCTTCAGGAGATGGACAGGGTAGGTTGATCCCCAGTTTTCCTTACAACATTGAATCAGATAGCTAGCTTCAGTTACCTCCCAAATAACTACTTGCAAATAACTGTAAATTTGCTCTGACAAGTTAAACCTCAAATGGACATCCTTACTTCCCTTTCCCAGTCTTCCCCTTGACCTCAGCATCAGAGAATGTAAACTTGTTTTGATATAGGACTAAATTAATTCTGCTGTTTCCTCTCTTTTCCAACAATGCTTCTTCACCCCCTACACTTTTTGAGCAGATATATGCAATCCTTTTCCCTCTGAAGACTTGTTATTTTAGGAAGGGTTCTCCCAAAAGTACAGCCTGAGACAAAAACTTGGGTACAGGTT
Organism: Homo sapiens; assembly: GCF_000001405.40. Classification (NCBI taxonomy): domain Eukaryota; kingdom Metazoa; phylum Chordata; class Mammalia; order Primates; family Hominidae; genus Homo; species Homo sapiens. Next base: position 47,494,006 of record NC_000018.10, on the reverse strand, counting down.
ATTTATTTGGGAGGTGATCCAAGGAGTGAAGGATCAGGAAGAGTGGGACAGGAAAGGAGAAAAAGCCAGCGTAAGGGGTCATGGTCAAGGCTGCAGCCATAGGCAGTAGGCATTGTAGCCCACAAGTCTGCTGAGAATCATAGAGAATTCCATCTGAAGGATAGAAGGCTGGAATATTTATCTACTGGCTCCCATCATTGATTGAGTGTCATCTCAGAGATAACACCCCTGCATTTCTGTGATGCACTTTTTAATTGATTGAGAAAATTCCTGCTGGAGAAGGCCCAGGGGTGGAAACCATTGTGTGCTTGAGGTGTGTATTAGTCTGTTCTCAGCTGCTAATAAAGACATACCCGAGACTGGATACTTTATAAAGGAAAGAGGTTTAATGGACTCACAGTTCCACATGTCTGGGGAGGCCTCACAATCATGGCAGAAGGCAAAGGAGAAACAAAGGCACGTCTTACATGGTAGCAGGCAAAAGAGCTTGTATAGGGGAACTACCCCTTATAAAAGCATCAGACATCATAAGACTTATTCACTATCACGGGGCAGCACAGGAAAGACCCATCTCCATGATTCAATTACCTCCCACTAGGTCCCTCCCATGACATGTGGGAATTATGGGAGCTACAACTCACGATGGGATTAGGGTGGGGACATAGGAAAACCATATCAAGATGGAACTAGGCCAGCACGTGTCTGAGCTCACCTGGAACTGCCTCTCAAAGTAGCATCTGTATTGGAAATAAGCCAACAGGATCTGACATGAGGCACCCAAAGGGTCTTCTGCAAATAGTAAGACCTCTATTTGCCAAAAGTCAAAGGAAAGAAGCTTAATCATGGTTTACTCTTCTTCAGAGGCTCTGACCAAGATTTCAGAAATTTTACACAGTTGAAATTATGCTCCCAAGTGTAACCACTATGTACCTGGGTTCCAACAGTTGTCACTTGGTCTTATGTTTGTTCCTCTTGTCTTAAGTACATAGTAGAATAGCAGTTCTTTGCCACATGGACTTAGTCATGGTTGTATGACTTGCTTTGGCCAAGAAACTATAGGAGTAAGTAACACTTCTGGACAGTAGCTTTAACAGCTAGTATGTGATTCACTCTCTCTCTTTTCCCTGGCTCTGCAATCATGCAAACATGTGTTGAATTAGCGACTCCATCAGTCTGGGACCCGCCATGACTATGAAGCATAGAACCCGTTGTTCACCCCTGTTGAACACATGGCTGAGCAAGAAATAATAAACAGAGTTTGCAGGGGCTGTTTCTTAATGTAACATCACCAGGCCTACCCTGACTCACATGGTTTCTGTCTGAAAGCATGTATACAGTTTACCTCTTGTATAATTTAGAGATAAAATGTTTATAGATGGAGTGGTAATTATTAGAAAAGAAGTATTAAAAAGTAAATTTGCATATGGCTAGCCAGTTTTCCCAAAACCATTTATTAAATAGGAAATCCTTTCCCCATTGCTTGTTTTTGTCAGGTTTGTCAAAGATCAGACAGTTGTAGATGTATGGCGTTATTTCTGAGGCCTCTGTTCTGTTCCTTTGGTCTATATATCTGTTTTGGTACCGGAAGACAGTGAGGTGGTTCCTCAAGAATCTAGAACCAGAAATACCATTTGACCCAGGAATCCCATTACTGGGTATATACCCAAAGGATTATAAATCATGCTACTATAAAGACACATGCACACATATGCTTATTGCAGCACTGTTCACAATAGCACGGACTTGGAACCAACCCAAATGCCCATCAATGATAGACTAGATAAAGAAATTGCTGCACATACACACCATGGAATACTATGCAGCCATAAAAAAGGATGAGTTCATGTCCCTTTGCAGGGACATGGATAAAGCTGGAAACCATCATTCTCAGCAAACTAACACAGGAACAGAAAACTAAACACTGTATGTTCTCACTCATAAGTGGGAGTTGAACAATGAGAACACATGGACATAGGGAGGGGAACATTACACACCGGGGTCTGTCGGGGGTTGGGGGCTAGGGGAGGGATAGCATTAGGAGAAATACCTAATGTAGATGACGGGTTGATGGGTGCAGCAAACCACCATGGCACATGTATACCTACGTAACAAACCTGCACGTTCTGTACATGTATCCCAGAACTTAAAGTATAATAAAAAATAAAAATAAAAAAATTTAAAACGTGAATGTATCTCAATAAAAATAAAATAGCATTATGCAGCTGAAAGTTAGCTAAATTATTTTATCTACTGCTTTGGATCATCTGAGCCACTATTTTCTTCCATTACCATAAACATATATCCATCTTTCTCCTTACTCTTAGGAAAGCAATCCCGAAGAGAAGGACATCATACATGTGAAAAGTTATATATGCCAATCATCTGGGGAGGAGGAAAAAAAGAAAGAAAAGATTTACTATCATTACACTGTATATTTTGATATATAGCACCATTAGTCCACACAATCACCTCTGAAGCTTCACTATACAAATGAGAAAGTGGAGGCTCAGAAAGGCGACATGCCTTGCCCACAGCTAGTTGCAGAGACTTAAAGTCCAAGTCTTCTCTCCCAGTCTAGTACTTTTCCAACTGGACCACACTGCCTTTAAACATCTGGCTCAAAACTTATAATGGCTTGTTTTTCCTTTTTAAAACAGGATGTATGAATAGGACCAAGACCTCGTGGGCCCTGTGCCTCCTGCACCAAGTCTAAACTCCCCTCCCCTTCGTAGCTGTACACTCTTCACTATTATCTCCTCCAGCTCAAGATTGGCTGAAAAAGCCCCAGAGCTGCTTGTGCCTCTTACCTCCTTTATGCCATACCCGTTTCCTGGAATGCCTTTCCCAGGCCTCAATCTAGTCAGTGTCACTCATGTGTTAAAGTTGGCAGGAGCTCAGCTGAGCTGGGAGAGGGTGCTGAGCTGTCAGGTGTCAGAGAGGCTGATTAAAATGACAAGCCAAAAATGAAAGGGTTAAGCCTTGAATCACTTCCTGCAGTGGTAAAAGCAAGAGTCTAAAACTGGAGGAAATACCAGCTCTCTCTGTTCTGTTTTCCCTCGGAACGGCACAGACGTGGGGCTGATCTCACTGTTGAGGAGCCTCAGACCAAAAGCTCTGTTAGTTTTAGGGACGCTGGGGGTGGAGGATGTCAAGGGGGAAGGCTAGGAGTGGAAAATCCTGGGTAGTGGGGAAGTGTCTTCAAGGTTTCCTTCCCTTCCCTCCATAAGAAGTCTTAGCAGAGGTCTCTAAAGAAAACCTCAGCCCAAGGCCTCAAAAACCTAGGAAAGAAGGTGTCCATGCTAGGGATACAAATATGCCAAGAGCACAACCAACCAGGGGCCTGAGATCTTAAATGCAACTTCATCTTGAGTCTGCAATGCCCTGTCCATGCACTAAGTCCAGTGTGGAGGTCAGTGTTCTGGTCCCAGCCAGTGCTTCAAAGCAGGAACACATGAAAAACCAAGGATTGGGAACAGAGGTTAGAGACCTCCTTTTTACCTAGAGCCAGAAGTAAGACACAAACTGGTCAGCCAAGGGGTCAGTCAACACCAGGAGTTAATGCCAAGGATCCAGAAACCAAGAAGCCAAATGGTCAGCATCCCACACGCACTGTAGGACAAGAACCAAGGCTGAGCCTACTCCGAGGATGAACATCATTTGGATGAGGGGTGGGTGTCTGCATGAGGACTACTCTGGGTCTATTGAGGAATTTAGAGATTTGCACTGGTGGAGTAATGAGAAGACTGTGACTGCCGGCATGCCCTTATTCAGGTTCAGAGGAGGGTTCGGGGTGGGGGTTTTGGAGATGCTGGAATGAGCTTCTCTAACAGCAGTAAAGTCAAAGGAAAGCCAACCTCCATAGTGACCTAGCACATCCATTATAGACTAAATGGCCAAATGTGAGAAACAAACTTAACCAAAACCAGCCAATTGCCACCTCTCATTGTGCTCTGCCCCTCTAGTGCCAATATCTTCCCAGCAAACAGAGGCCATTGGATACCGTCAACTTTGCTGGGTGCTATTTGTGTGTCAGCTTCCGGTCCTTGCACACCAGGTTCTTGTATCTTTCCTCCCAAGTGGAGCTCCACCCACCGGCTCTGGATGGCGGCTCAGCTGGAAAACAGCTGCCCAGCCCTGGTTCCATTGAAGGTAGGAGAGCCCAACAGCCTGCCTGTGGTGACCCCACACGTTGCTGGTCTGGGCTGAGTACCACAGTGAAAGAGATCTAAGCCTCCCCTCTTCTGTGACCTCACCCTCCCCCCTTTTCTCCATCCCCCCCAAAAAGAGGGGAAAATCAATTTCAATCAACGTGGAATGTAATATTATCAAATGTCAGCTGCTGAGGTCATGTGCTTTGAAAATTATCTTTGACAGCTTCTGGTCGACTTAATTAAGTGCTCCCCAAAAAGGGGGGAGGGAGGCAAAAATACCCTGATTGCTAGCTGCTATGCCTTTGTGCTTTAGAGCTTCTATTGACAACTCTAAGCAAGATTGCCTTGGGGGTTTTATTGATAGATTCTCGCGTGATATTGGAATGATTCTTGCACAGATAAATCACATTTAGATTTGTTGGTAATTGAGGAGAATTGATTGGAGCAGGAGGGGAGCCCCCAAGGGGTGGTCTCCTTGTCCTCATTGTAGGAAGCTTGAGGGGAAAGAGGGGAGGGGTGTCCTCAAAGAGCTGAGAGCCTGCAGGGGGATCCAGGCTCTATTGTTTACCTGTCAATTCTACTTTCCTCTGAACCCCGATCCACCTCATCACCTCCCAAAGGAGAGGCATGGAGAGAAAGATGGAGGCAGAGGCTAGGGAAAAGTTTGTTCCAGATACATTTTGGAGGCGCTGTTTCAGGAGTGTCCTGGGCCATGTGACCATACCTCAGGCTTGATCTTTCTTAGTTCCAAATCTGACTGTGCCTCCTTGTTTAAAACACTTCAAAGACTTCCTGATCAAGATACAGTTCAAACTCCACCATGTGGCCTGTGTTTGCTGCCTGTGTCTCCAACTGTCTCCCCTGCTACTTCTGTAAACTCTAAACTTCTGACATCTCTCTCACTTCCTTTGGGTCACCTTCCTGGGGGTCAAGATGGTAGGAGCTCTTTCTCTGTTAGGACTTTCCCATAAACTTTCCCACATGGGAGCCAAGAGAGCACCAACCAGATAGAATGGTGGCCAAACTTGTCCAAGCAATAGAACCCTTTGCCAAAGCAAATCTCCTTTGGCAGCCCAATGCACAAAATGCAGAAAAGTAAGGCTGTTCTGGTTGAAACAACTTGGGCAACCACCTCCCTGTCACCTGGGCCTTTCTCCTTCCCTCACCTCCTGCCTATGGTGGGGCTCCGGGATTGTCAGTGAACACAGTTTGAAAACCACTGATGCCCTTGCACTCCATGAGTGGGAAAGTGATTTGTCCAACACCTCACAGCCAAGAGCAAGGTTAGCATCAGAACCAGTAGCCAGGACTTCTGGCTCCAGGCTTGTCCTTTATCACCACACATTTTTGCCTCTCTCTTGGAGTTGTGGGTGGTAGGACCAATTCTTAGCACCACTGTGAATGAGGCCACGTTGGTCTTTAATTGCCTCAAGCTCCTGTTTTCTTCCTCTCTCTCTAATATCCTGGCAACTGACTATTCATGCCTGACTTTCAGGGAGTGACTGGAGTAGGAACATTTTAGAGAAAAGGACTGGTGGCCTGTAGTAAATTTAAAACTGTGGAACAATGAGCTATGTTATTATGGCTTTTTGGTAGTCTGCATTATGTGGTTCTCCTGCCTGTAGGAGGGCTATAAATCCCATGAGCTCAGGCTTGGCCATATGGCTTGCACCAGCCACTAATATGAGAGGGGACATAATGAGTGTTGCTTCTGGGCTGACATTTCAAGAACCAGTGTGTGGTGTGCCATGCTTCCTTTCTCCTGCCCCTGCCAGGGGACCATGGATTTGTGTGTCAAGATGAAGCCTCTGTCAGTCTGGGTCCCTGAGTAATTAAGAGGAGTAGAGACACAGACACTAACTTTGTTGTTTTAAGAACACTTGTTACAGCAGCATAGCCTAGCCTGGCTTGACTGTTAGCAGGTAGCTGTTCTTTTTGAGGACGGAAAGCATAACTTTACTCCTGAACTCCAAAGGCATTCATTACAGACATGGCAAATTCTGAAGACTCCAGAAGCCAACAGATACATGAATATGCTACTATACATGGATAGAGCAGGTCTGCAGTGAAGGTGCATGCAGGTTGGGGCACACAGGAGGCCACAGCTTCCTTCCGCAAGGAAGCCCCTCCTGAACCCAGCCAGTTTTCAATACATGGAGTGTAGGCCCATTGTCACTGTATTATATATCTTAATTTTCCAAGAAATCTACAATTTTTAACACTATGTCCCCCTCTGTTAAATGTTGACTCAAATTTTCTTTAAGACACTGTATAAACTACAGAAAAAGCACATCTATAGGTTGTCCCCAGATCCAGGCTGTATCTAGACTGGATCTGTAGGCTGTATCCAGACCTACATAAGCAAACTCTGGTTTTTGGTCCTGCCTCTGACATGGTACATATCAACTACGCCTGATGGGGTTGGGACTAACAGCAGCAACAATAGTAATAACAATAATAACAGTTAATGTACAAGATGCTTCTCCTGCATCATTTCGTTGAGTCCTAACTCCAACCCCGTGAAGGAACTGGGATGATGACTCTCACTTTATAGATGAGAAGTTTTCTAGACATCTCTCCAACTCAACCATAAGATCTGGGGAGACCTTGATCACCACTTCTCGAAGCACCTCACAAAGCATATTTATTTCTCTTTGATCTCTTCTCCTCTAGTCATTTGCTTTTTATTCATGCCATGCCATCCCTCATTTTAAAATTGAGAAAATTGAGGTTCAAAGGCATGAAGTGATATGTTCAAGGTCACACAGAAAGGCATGGATATAAGCAGAAGTCAGACTGATGCCTAAGTCCTGGCTGAAGATGTGAAGAATGAGCCAATATCCCACTTGGTCCTATTCCTATGGATGTAGCCCAACCACTGCCTTCTGGGTTAATGCCTTGAAATGCTGAGGCTCTCTTCTCTCCACTGACCCCTGCCCTCCCTCTGCCATCACAGTGGACTGTAGCATTTGGCTTTTCAGACTCTCTCATGTTCAACTTTTTTTTTTTTTTTTCTTTGAGACAGAGTCTTGCTCTGTCACCCAGGCTGGAATGCAGTGGCATGATCTCAGCTCACTGCAACCTCCGCCTCCCAGGTTGAAGTGATTTTCCTGCCTCAGCCTGCCTAGTAGCTGGGGTTATAGGTGACTGCCATCATGCCCAGCTAAGTTTTGTATTTTTAGTAGAGACAGCGTTTCACCATGTTGGCCCAGCTGGTCTCCAACTCCTGATCTCGAGTGATCCGCCTCCCTTGGCATTCCAAAGTGCTGAGATTACAGGTGTGAGCCACTGCGCCCAGCCTCTAATGCTCATCTTTATGCTGCCTGCTGTGTTCTTAAATTTCTCACTCCTCACCAGTCTCTGTCTCAACTGCAACAGGGAATTGTAGCAAACAAAAAAAGTGCTCAAAGAAACTGGGCACAGAAGCACAAGCACCTGTACCTGGAAAAGTCTCATAGCCGCAGGGTCCCTGCAGAGGAAACAAGGGGATGGCTTGAGCACCAGGAAGAGGTTTGGAGCTGAGTCCAGGGTGATGGGCAATGACTGCCAGAGGACCTGAAGGTGCAGAGAGGTAGGGATCTTTGTGAAAGACTGTGCAGTGGTGGCTACAGACCTCTTTTCTCTTTTTCAAATTTGACTGTCTTTAGTCAGGATGTGCTTCCCTAGTATGCCATGACCCCCTCCACTCCCTCCTGTGACACTCAGTGCCCACCTGCATGGTTCCTGTAGCCATGTGAGTTGATGATGCCTGGAGAGGGGATGCAGTGCAGGTTCCCAAAGGGAACACACCTTTTGTCTGTATGCAAGGGAGCTGTCCGTGGGTATTGATGAGGCAGCTCTTTTGTTTAAGGGTGAATTAGTACCCTCTATTGATTTGCATTTTGCCACTTTAAAGTTCTGGAGGGGGTCATTATCTCCTTGGAAGTGGGAGTAGCTTAGGCTCAGAGGTAGACTGGCTTGCCAGAGGTCATGGAGCTCATCAGTACTTGCTCAAGCTTGGACTCCAGGCTCCTGGTTGATTGGCCCTTTTCACACCTCTAAGCCTCAAGAGAATTGTTTACTATCAGTCCCAGAACATCAGAATGGCTGGGCTGGAAAGAGGTCTCAATCACCCCAATCAGTCAGTCCCTGAAGAAAACAGTGACACAGGTTGTCCATCCCAGGACAACAATCCCAGAGTCACTGCAATGACCAGGCAGATGGCCAGTCTCCCAGGGATGCAGCCAGGAGTGGAGGAGGTGACAGCTGGAAGCTGATACTGAAGGACCCAAAGCTCAGACACACACTTGGCCCAGGACCCAAAGGCCTTCCTTAGTATCACCTCCTCCCTCCCCATGCTGTGCAGTAACGCCATTCCGCTAGCCCCCAAACAAGGTTATTTGCTGTTTGCAGGGTTGGAGTTTCAGAAGAGATACAGGATGAGATACCTGAGCTGGCCCTGCAGAGGGCTGTGTTTTCCCTTTTCCTATTCTGCCTCCAAGCTCTCCAGGGCAGCAGTCTAGGGTTACCCGGATGGTGCCATGAACTAGGGCACCTGGTGAGGGAGCCCAAATGGGGCTGAAATCAGTGCATGCTCTGCTGCTCAACGGAGTCTCCTGGGCTCAGGATATGTCAGTTCAGGGCAACGGGCCACTTTTCCAATGAGTCTGCCTTGGTGGGGTGGGAGGGGGTGCTTTTATCACAAAACCTTCCTATGAGTTAGCTTTGGTCCTGATTTGACACAGATCTTCTTCCATATCCTCAAAGAAGAGTCCCCCTCCAGAGGGGTAGCGCTCAGCCTCCTGGACTCTGCCCGCTTCCTACCTGCCTGCCTGCCTGCCTGCCGGCCCTCCACCTGGAAGCCGGTTCCTCCTCTTTGCCATGCTGCTCTTGCATGGCTCTCTGAGCTAGACTGTTGGTAAAAATGCACATGTGAAAATGTCTTAATATTAAATTAGATATTATACCACATGCAGGGCTGTATGATTAGTGAAATATATGATCATTAGTTATTAGATTAATGTGTCTACTAGTGTAACTGAAAGCCATTTGCAAGCCGAAATGAAATAGCTCAATTGGCTGTAATTGACTGATCTCCCAGAGAGAGAGAGTTGTACATTTGCTTATGTACAAGGCGATTTCTTCAGATGTCGCCCCAGATGCAAGACAAAGAACAGTCTCTCTCTACATCCTGAACCATGGGGCTAGCTCTGAACTAACTAACTGGATGGCAGTAGCCAGGTCACCTGCAGGTACATTTAGGTGTTCCCACTGAATAGAGATCCCCAAGTTGGGTTCCAGATTTTCTTCTGGCCAAAGAAAATTTTACCTTACCTTAGTCTAACTTCTCCAAGTGCCCCCAAGGGAACATTGGCATCCTGCTGGTCAAAGACAAATTGAGCTGCCTGGTAGACACTTTACCCTAACCCCCACCCCATTTTTCTTTCTGTTTGTGTGTATATTGGTTTCTAGGACAACTGAACTGCAACTAACTAACAAAAATGATTGCAAAGCACTCTGCAAATAGAAGACACAAGTGGAATACTTATTATTGTGGTTATGGTCTAATAATAACCAGATGCTAATGAGGACGGCATGAGATTAAATTAAAAATAGGCAAGCTGTTAGGCAGAGTTGGTTCACAGGGAGAATGCCTTCTCCCCGACCTCCCTTCTCCCTGATAGCAGGTACTTCCTGACTGCACAGGGGAGGCAAGTCTTCATTTTCCAACAGGGAAGGAGGCAGATGAGTGTGAGGGAATGTGTTCTGTGGACCAGGAGCCCTCTGTCCCTGCAGCAACAAAGGGAGAAGTCACAACCAGGAAATGAACAATTACACTAAGCTGAAGTCTTTCCTTTAAAAATCCCTCCACTTCTCACTTGACCCTCAGAATATCTTTTGAAATAAATGATCTAGGTGGTACTTCACCCCATTTTACAGATAAGAACATCGAGTCAGCAAAAAGCCTTACTGTAGGCATGGCCAAATTATTTTCCTCTTGGGTGAACTGTTTTCCTCTCTAGATCCTGGTTTCCTTGGGGAAAAGATGGTGTGTTCATGTTTCTGATTTTATCATCAGACCCAGAATAGTTAGTACCCTAATTTCTCTTCTAAAGATGTTTTCCCCTTTGTAAAATGTTTAGTAATCAGTGCCTTGAAAAAACTCCTTAAGAGACTTTAACTGGAGGTTTCACTTGCAATTTATGAATCATGCAATCAATCAAATTAACAAGTATTTATTGAATATTTAATAGGAGCTGAGCATGAAGCTGCAAGAGAGCAGGAAATAGAAGTCTGGAATGTGGGCCCTGTCCGCAGGGAGCTTCTGACTGAGCATAGGAGACTCTCCTACACACCAGAGGAACCGTGCAATGACGCAAAGCGGTGTGTGACCACTGTCAAGTGGACAGCCAGGGCCTTCAGTGCCCTGCAGTCTCTTTAAATTAGAGCAAAGACAACGTAGGCAAGAGAGGACAGAAAAGGCTTCGGGGAAAGCCACGGTGGGTGGGAGGCTTGAAGGGGTTTGTATAACAGTTCACTGAGCCGTGCACTTGAGCTCTGGGCAGCACGCCTGCTTTCCCTGCCCCAACTTCTCCACAGCACTTAGCACCATCTGACAGGCTATACATTTTATTTATCCATCTCGTTGTTCTCCTCAACTAAAAATGTCACCTCCACGGGGTAGAGATTTGAGGCTGTTTTGTTCACTGATGTGTGCTCAGAGCCTGATACATAGTAGGTGTTTTATCAATGGTTGCTGGATGATTGAGGAAATAGAATTTCCCCAGTGTCTTTCTTTGCAATCCCAGATCTGGTCCTCACCATTTCTTGCCCAGATAACTACATAAATCTCCTAACAGATCTCTCTGTTCAGAAATCCTAGACCCATTCACGTGCCCCTGGCTTGTATTTTTATTTATTATATTTCATATTGTATTTCTCAATTTTATTCCAAATTCCTTGAGAGTAAGGCTTAGTCTTCTCACTCAACTAACATTTGTTAGATACTTAGTAGGTATCAGGTGCTGAGCCAGGTACTGGACACCAAAAATGTGGTGTTTAAGAATAGCCACAGCCAGGTGTGGTAGCTCACACCTGCCTGTAATCCCAGCACTTTGGGAGGCTGAGGCGGGTGGATCACAAGGTCAAGAGATGGAGACCATCCTGGGCAACATGGTGAAACCCCGTCTCTACTAAAAATACAAAAATTAGCTGAGCGTGGTGGCACATGCCTGCAGTCCCAGCTACTTGGGAGGCTGAGGCAGGAGAATCACTTGAACCCAGGAGGCAGAGGCTGCAGTGAGCTGAGATCATGCCACTGCACTCCAGCCTGGTGACAGAGCGAGACTCCGTCTCAAAAAAAAAAAAAAAAGAATAGCGACTGACTGCCCTCCAACCAGTCAAGTTTAGTGATGGGGAAAGCAAATGAAAAGACAACTGCCCCACAAAATAAGAAATGTGGAAGTACGTGGGGCTGAGATAAGATGTCACAGAGAAGTGGCACCTGAACTGAGGTATAAAGGTGAGTGAAAATTAGGAAAAATTGTAATTAGGAATTTAGGGACAAAATGATCCACTCTGGGAGACCATCATGAGCAGAGACCATCATGAGCTACACCCAGCAGGGCTGCAGTGTACTTCAAGAGCAGGAGCCCAAAGGCCAGGAAGGAGGTGAGAGCTGAGCCTGCAGAGGTAGACAGGTGTGCCAGGTCTGACCTGGGCTTTGGGAGGGGAGGGAAAGGGAGAACCTTGACTGTGAAGGGGAGGAGATCACCAGGTGAAGAAGGAAGTAAGTCATGGGGTCAGGAGAGGAAACATTTTTATGGCTCCTTGTTTTGTTGGGAAAGGATGAAGCCCTTCATATTGCTGAAGCGGGAGCGATGTGGCCAGGGCCAGGGTCTGATACATGTTTGCCTCTTCCCTGCTTAGCACAGTGCCTAGCAGTGGTGCCACAGCTCCACTCCCCATTCCTACCTCACCACAAGCGTGTCCTTGACCCGGAAGGGAAAGGAACGCACCCCAGTCCCATATGAAGCCTTTGGCCTGTCTGCCTAAATGGGTGTTTCTGCCTAGGTGAAGGGAGAGCAGTCTCAAGCCCTCCTCTCTACTCAAATGTTCTTCAGCCCCAGGAGCTCAAGAAGCAGCAGAGAAAACAGCACAAGCTATTCTGCAGGTTATCTTTGAAAACTAACTCCACAGAGAAGATATTTGGGGTAATAGAGAACCCAATTAATTGTTTTTCAGAGTGAAAAACTGTCCCCAGAAGTGTCCCATCTGACTCCCACCTTGGCCAGACTGGCCCACACAGCCATCCCCAACATAAAAGAGACTGGGAAGGCAGAGGTGGGCTGTGGCTGGCTTAGCTAAGCACAATCTGCCACGGGAGAACTGAGGTTCTGCTTAGCAAGGAAGGAAGAGTGAAATGGCTCTTCACAGGGCTTTGTTGCCCAACTATATAGAGATATGTTAACCAATATAAAAAAAATTTGAGTTAATTAACAAGCATATGAATGGGAACGATTTTGAACCGTCTTCCCTCATTGCAATTCCACACTAGAAAAGTGGTAGTGACAGAGGCAGCACCAAGCCCTAAGCCGCCGGTTTCCTGGCTGTCCCACTGACAAGTGGTGGGGCCCTGAGCAAGTTAGTCAGCCTCTCTGCACCTCAATGTCCTCATCTGAAAACAGGGATAATAATAGTGTCTTCCTGAAAGGGTTACTGTGAGAATTAATTGAGTTCAGTCACGTAAAGCATTTAGCACAGAACATGGTACACAGAAGGATTTGCAAAATGTTAGGCACTTTTTACCTTTTGTTGAGCTCCTGTAATGAACTAGGCACTTTACATGCATGGATTATACTTCTTAAAATAACCCTGAAAGGTAGATAGTCTTAGATCCATTTTACACATGAGAAAACTGAGGTTCAGAGAGGTCGAGTAACTCATCAAAGTTCATGAAGCCAGGAAGCAGCAGAGCAGAGATTTGAACCTGTCTGAATCCCAAACCCCACTCTTTCTCAGACGCTGTGTTCTCCTGTCATCAAACAGTGACAAGTTCAGCTACAGGCTTCAGCCCCACAGAACATCCTTCTGACTCTGAGTTCACAGCTAATGAGAAGAGTTGGCAGCCCCAGAAGCCACAACTACCTCGAATGGACCTTGAGAGTCCGACATGATCTTTACCCCAGTCCTCATTCTTTGCCTCATGTGGCGTAGTTTCCAGCCCTGCACTGTCCTAGCCAACCCCTGTGCACACAGTGGACAGCATTTGCTGTCTCTGCCAGCATCCTCTTTTGTGGAAAGGTTCTTTATGAGCTATGGATGTGGGTGTCATGTTGACCTCTTTGGTCTCAGAATCTAATTATCCTCAGATTGTGTGTGTCTGTACGTATGTGTGTGCACACAAGCCTCGCTCATGTCCAAAAAAGATCTCAGGTGACTTGTCAGAGATCCACAGGTACTCCTGGCACCCCCACGTCCCCCACCCCACATCCACTGCAGCCCCATCACCTCCCCTCCACCTACCCAAACAACCATGGAAGTTCAGCCCCAATCCTACCTGGTCTAGCAATGGTCTTGAGCCATTCCAGATCAGGCCCCTTCTGTCTCATCCTGTCCCCCAACATGGGCAGAGACCATGCTGGATTCCTCTGCCTTGGACTGGAAAGCACGGCTTTCTTCCAGGCCCCCCTCTAGAAGCAACTGTTGCTAAAACACTGCATTTCTCTCGCACCTTCTCTAGATGCAGAGTAAGTAGAGGGAATTGATATGTCAAAAACAAAAGTCTGTAATACATAAAATAATCTTTTATATAATGGGTACTGATTATAATGTAAACTGAACAAGATGTGATATTCTGAAGCCACAGCCAGGACTTTCACTGAGCAGGCCCAGCAAATGCCTCCAAGCCAAGCCAGGGGGCTTCATTTCCAGGGAAAGGCAAGGAAGAGCCTCTTCTCTCCTCGTGAAATCCAGCTCCAGTTCATCTCTAATAGGCTGGGCTCAATACCTGACAATTATGGGTGGAGGGCTTCCAGTGTTAACCATCCCTACCATGTGGTGACAGTTTATACTCTTCTGAAAACTACACATCCCACACCTTGGAGTGATTAGTTTAACAGCCCTGGAGGTGGGTGGGAAGCATTTCCATCTCAGATTTACTCATGGAATGCTCACAGCCAGGGAGGCAAAGGGAACCATATACGCACACACTGCAAATGTATAATAACAACACATATCGGGCATCCTCTGCCTGCCAAGCATGGTGCCAAGCACTTCATTCATCCTGACAGGGATATTATTATCCCCAATTCACAGATGAGGAGAATGAGGAAACTGAGGCACAGGATATTTAAGTAACTACCTCAAGGTCAAACAGCTAGAAAGGGTGAAGGAGAGAACCAAATCCTTATAGTCTGACCCTAGAGGCCCCACTCAACTGCGATGGTGGTAAAGGCACCTCTAACCCAGGATTCTGAATTGCTGTTGAGTATCGTTCACAGCATTTTCTTCTGCAACAGACATATTTCAGTGTTTGCTAAATTATGAAGGTTTGGTTCCTAAAGAACTATTTGGTTCATAAAGAACTGGATGTGATCAAATCATCCCTTTTCTACAAAGATGGTCCTTGTTGCCGTCCTGCCTCTCTCGCTCTCTATACATCCTGGTGCCTGCCTTTCCTGCCTGTCGCCATTGTGCATTCCATACTCATTCTGCCCACAAACTCTCCTTGACATCGACAGGAACAAATGCAGCATACCCAATAAGCATCCGCAGTGCAGCACCCTCTACCAGTGAAGGGAGGCCTGGGTGGGTATGAGGATGCAGGAAGCTTGCGCAGGGCCACGGTGGCTTCCAGCAGGCCCCAGCCGACCCTGAGCCTTAAAAACTTTACTTGCAGCACAATTTCTGGTGGCTTTTCATTTTTCTGAAGAAAAAGATATCTGTGTGAGTACACCCATCTATACGTATATATACATGTTAGCCATGGCAACTAAGAAAGCCATTCAAATTGCAGCACCGAAATGAACAGAGCTGAACAATAAGCTAAAACATGCCTAGAACAAGTTGAGCAATAAACAGGTTTTTAATTTTTTCCCCTTCCGTCTCTTGAGTGTCTGTCTCTGATGGATGATGTGACAGAGGAAGGCGGCTCCATAAATTCTGAATTCTGAATACTAAATCAGCAAATGGCAGCCGGGTGCTGGGAGCTGGTTCCCCTCTTCCTGGAGCTGCTATTTTATGGGGACTCTGTGACCCAGCCCTGTTCCTCCCGAGGTCCAGCTCCTAACACAACCTACCGACAGGCAGTAGGTTCACATGCTATCATACTAGCTCACAAGGGGCAGCATCTGAACCCACAACTCTGGGAAATAGAATTCAGAAGGGCAAGGTCACATACAGATGCAGAAATGAGTTTGCAGTACCAGCGTGGGTCTTTGGGTCTTAGTCCAATCCTGGAAGTCGAGGTCATTTCCCATTTTGCAGATGAGAAAACTGAGGTTCAGGTCAGTTAAGTGGCTTAAAGTTACACAGCCAGCACGTGGCGGAGATGGGATTTGAGCCCTAGCTGGTTTGCCTCCAGAATTCACATTCCTTGCAGCAGAGCAGTGTTTCCCAAACCTCTTTCCATTGTGGCACATACACAAAATAATGAAACTGTGCTGCACATTGGAATAAAACTGAAAGAGATTTGGGAGTCTTCCTATGGGACTTGATGGAAATTTTTTATTACCTTTTCTTTACATTATATAATGACAATAAGGAAAACAAGTATTGGGGAAGATACTAAATATTGAATATGTATAAAATTTTCTAATTTTTTTGAAATTTGTAATGAAAAACGTGAACTTGCTTCCATGAACAAAATGTTTTATGTTTGAAATGACTACACACCTATTCCTTATCAATACTTTATAAAAAATGGTTTCCTCAAATTCTCAATAACCACCACCCACAAGAAACTTTGTTCACACAAGTAGGTAGTAAAAAATTTAAATCATTTTTTAACAGAGAGTTAAAAATATATAACAGTTGAAATTCTATTTTAAGACTCTAACAGCGTTGCCTTTTTTTCACTGACAATTGTACTGTTGAGTTTTCTGTACTGTTGAATTGTACTGTTGAAATTTCTTGTGATATTACATTTGGACTTCTAATTGAGCTGAAATTTTAGATGTCAAATGTTTCAGCATAATGATGAAGTTTGATTGAGGGATGCATATGCAACATTAGAGTAGTCACCCACTCAGCAGTCAGCTTACACCTCCCTAAAAGAGCTATCGGTTGCAAATGGAAGGGAGAATCAATAAATGTAAAGCAGAGACTTAGGGATCTCCCTCAAAGCTGAGGCTTCATCCTGTGCTCCCTGGGTGCCTGGAGAAGTCCTCCAGCAGCTCCCCATGCCCCTTGCATACAAAAGGTGACTGCCTGCAAAAATTGACAGGCAGGTAGCAGAGCACCTCTTGCTGCACTCAGCATAACCTAGAGGGATAGAGCATCATTCCTGTGCTTGCTGCAAGTGAGGACCTGTGGCAGGTCCTTTGAAACCTATTCCCTTTTGGCTACTTTCAGCCAATGCTGATAGCTCCAAGGGCTCTGGGTATCTCAGGAGCCTCCAGAGCTGAAGGCATCACTATGTCTCTGCCTACTTATAAACCATTTGTAGCTGGAGACCTGTTGAGAAGCTGTGTTCCAGATTATGCTTCCTACTACAATGATTGAATATGGTAGATAATACTTTGAGGCAACAACTGAGGGCTCCTTTCTTGGTGCTTTCTTCATGTTACCTTTCTTTACCACTTAGGCAGCTCTCCAGGTGCCCTGCCCTCCCGGGTCAGTGGTAGGGGCGGGGTGGGGGGAGGGCATGGATATAGCCAGGAACATGGTGCCTTGCCCAGTTTGGAATTTCAGAGCAAGACTTTAAAAGTCCTTAGCAAAAATGAAGGCATGAAAGCAAGGTGTTTTGCAAGAGAAAATTCTGTGGCACTTTAAGGAGGCTTGGGGGTCTCAGAGCATAGGTCTTAAACACAGAGTAGAGAACAATACAAGGTGAAAGCCATTTTCTTACCCACCTGCTCTTCCCAAATGCCAGGGTCAGACACAGGGAAGCAAGTGAGAAAGAAAATCAGTGGAAATGGGCCTGGGATTTAAATGAGTAGGTCCCAGACATGGAGCCCAATAGGACTGCCCCATTAGAGCTGGGAGGTAGCGGGTAGGTAAAAGGGGACTTCAGGATGACTGAAACCCTGATGAGAGATCTCAGATGGACATAGGAGATCTGAAAGCTGAAGGGAACAGGGAATATTGTTCACCTTCTGAAGGGTAGCTAGGAGACCAGGGGTCTCTTGCCCAACATGGTACCTAAGCAGAAGACCTGCAATGGCAGAGAGTACATGTCTAGGTGGCCAGATCAGCCTGGGGAGACTGTTCACCCTGGCATGCAGAGAAGAAATGTAGGTGTAGCCCAGAGGGCAGCTGGAAAAGAGGCAAAGAGGCTTTGCAGGTGGGACAAGGTGAAAGCAAAAAGCATTGACCTTGCAACTGCAAGCCCCAGTGGAGACCAAGGTCACTTCCTACTAGTGCAGCAGGGCAGAGTCAATAGTCCAGAACTCACAGGACAAGAGACACCTCAACAGAGTCAACAAGGTGCCCCTCCCATAGGGCCAGAGGTACCCAAGACCTAGAAATTAGATTATTCCCAACGAAGAGAGCAAGACAGAGGTCAAATCTGAACTGACTATGTTTAAATGAAAAGTGGCTTGTTATCTCAAACTGGGAAGTTTGTTTTCCACATTTGGAGGAAATGAGGGGTAGAGAATAAAGGTGAATTCTGTTCTACAGAAACATAGAAAGTTATAGTTTTACACATCTAAAATCACAACTGCATAAATAACTTATACCTATTGCAGAATTTATAAACAAATTCATAACTGTTTACTTTTGAATCTAACCAAGATGTGTAACAGGCAAATCTTCCATTTATGAAGCAAACCACTGCTAAATCTCAATGGGTAAAAGAGGTGATTATTCACCTCATGAAATGGTTCCTTCATTTTATAAAACATTGCCTCTAAAATCCTTTAATTGGTCAGACAGCTCAATGTAGTTAAAATATATCTGATTTTGTACAACTCATGTTTCTAGACAATCACCCAGTATTGTGTTGAAATGTGCCCTGATTTGCTTTAATACAAACCTTAGCCTGCTGCATTCATGCTAAAACTCTGAAGAGGGTGCAAGGATTGGCATGGATAAACAGGGGGAAGTGGGACTATGGTGACACAAAGTCACATGACTTGAGTTTCAGCCTCTGCTGTACACCTAACCAGCTTTGGGGCCCTTCACAAAGTCCTCTCCTCTCGGGGCTTCTTCTAGAAATGAAGGATCAGATTCACATGGCTCTGTGGCTTCTTCTAACACTAATCCTATGGCTTTGTATTAAGGAATGAGCTTGGTTTACAAGCTGACCTGTTTGTGTTCTTGTAGGTAAGACCAGGGAACTTAGAAGTATAATACATAATGTGACCATATCTGGGACTATGGTTACATGCTAAGTAGCATCTAATGAGGTATGGGTTAAGTGCCCACTGTATACCAACCCCTAGCTAGACACTATTAGAGAAACACAGGAATGCCTCTATTTCCTGCCCTGGGAAGAGAGGACCCCTTCAATGAAGCAAGACAAGGGCCAAACAAGACACCACAAAGTTGACGGACCATGGGTCCAGGTGGGACAGGGCTTCGTATGAGCTGCAGCAGTCAGGAGCAGATAACTAAGCTGGACCTCCCAGCACAGATAGAATTTCCAGAAAGAAGAGGAGCCACTCTAGGAGAGGCAGGAGTGAGGACAGAGCTTCTCAGACTTCAACACAGCCAATAAAGACCATAGCAGTGTGAAAAGCAAAGTGAGGGATACAGTTGCTTGACTAGTGACTGAATGACAGGCGTTGACAGAGGGGGAAAGGGGAATAGAGTGGGTTGTGGAAAATGTCAATTATCAAACATATGCAAGGCTTTTTCTCTGTTTCTGTGTTTTCTCCTTTCTCACCCAGCCATGGTGGTGTGAATATCGCCACAGTACAGACACAGGTGGCAAATCCCCTAAATTTTATTTAATAAAGGAAAAAAACTGAAACCAGGTTCTTACCATTAAGCAAAACTCTTTCACTCCCTTAGACAAGATCACTCCCTTAGCAGATTTCAGACTCCTAATGGTTTGGTTTTACGTATAATTTTCACCTTGCTATTTCAAAAAATATATATGAGAAACTGAAAAATAAAAGTCAAAAATAAAATAAAAACATTAAAGCTGAAATAGCAAATTAGGAGCCATAGAGAGATTAGAGGAAATAAGGAAAGCCAAACCAAAGTTAGTTTTTGCCACTGAACTGCATTTAGCTGAGCTTCCTGAAAGCCAAAGAGAAGAGGAAAAGTCA
Organism: Homo sapiens; assembly: GCF_000001405.40. Lineage (NCBI taxonomy): Eukaryota > Metazoa > Chordata > Mammalia > Primates > Hominidae > Homo > Homo sapiens. The sequence continues at coordinate 47,474,439 of NC_000018.10, read as the reverse complement.
TTCTACTGTATAGCTAATAAAAGTATATAAAAATCGACTATTTAGAATAGACACACTCTTCCCAAATACTCAGAGAATGTGACAGGATTTTGAGGGTGCTGTGGAAGGTTTGCCAGAAACTTCCTTTAATTGCCCCAGTAAATGGAATATATAGTGAAGTAATTTATATATTTATCAAGCACTCACAGCTATATGGACACTTTGCTAAGCACTGGAGGGTATGAGCAGAAATAGGACACAATCCTTGCCCACTTTGAGCTATTAGCCTAGTAAGGAAGATGAAACATGTAGTCAGATAAGTATTTACTCCACAACAAATATTTAAAGTCTTCTTTGTGCTGGTCACATAGCAGACTGATAATTTCCATAAGGGAGGCAGATTTTTAAAAATTTGAAAGAAATTTGAATGAAGGGTCTGAACAGAACCTGGATGTATCATTTTTAAAAATCCAGAGCTTAGCTTGTATCTCTTTTTCAAGAAAATGTAGAAGAGAGGTTAGGTTAGGAATGTGGTTAGCTGTAAGCAACAGAAACCTTGACTAGACAGTGCTTCTCAAACTTCAATGTGAGTGTAACTCACCAGGGGATGGTTGTTAAAGTGCAGGTTCTTACACAGTAGGTCTGGGGTGGGACCTGACAGTCCTCATTTCTAACAAGCTCCCTGGTGAGACTGATGCTGCTAGTTCACAGGCAGCACTTGGAGTAGGTAGGGACTCTAGGGATAGTGACAAAGACTTTGTTGAATTGTCACACTCTCTTGTAACAAGCATCCCAGGCAAAGGCAGTGGGGCTGTGTGGAAGCCCATTGATGCCACTAGGAAACCATTCTTTTCCCATCTCTCCACTCTATTTTTTTTCTTTTATTTTAATCCTCATGCTTATTGCCCCATGTTGCAATAGGGCTATTTCTGTATGGTGTTTGTTTCAGATCCAGAAGAGGGAGTGGCCCCTATGTTGGGAAAGCATAGGTTTCCCAAAAATTACCCCAACCTCATCCCCTTCCAAAAACAGCTTAAATCTAATTGGACAGAATGTGGGTAATTTATAAAGAAAAGAAATTTATTTCTAACATTTCTGGAGGCTGGGAAGTCCAAAGTCAAGGAGATGCATCTTGTCAGGGCCTTCTCGCTGTGTTATAACATGGCAAAAGGCCTCTCATGGTAAGAAAGAGGAGACATGCCAACTCAGGTCTCTCTTCTTATAAAGCCACTAATCCCATCATGAGGGCCCTACCTTTATGACCTCAACTAGCCCTAATTACCTCCCAAAGGCCCTACCTCCAAATATTACCAACGTATGAATTTGAGAATTAAGTTTCCAACACATCAGTTTGGGGGGAACACATCCAACCATAGCAGTGTTCCATGGCCACTTCTAGCTGCAAGGGACCATGGAAGGAGTGTAGCTCTAGCTGGGCATGACCCTGAACAAAATCAGGCCTTGTTTAGTAATACTTGTATTTTTTTTGCATAAACATTCATTTAGCGCCTAATATGTACCAAGTCCTCCAGTAGGCCCTCATGCAGTGAGACGTGTTAGATGTGTCTTATTACTTCCATGTTAACAGATGGGAAAATGAGGCTCCAAAGACTTAGACATTCATTTTGGCATCAAGTGTCTAGTCAAGGATGGAGGGAGGCCTGGGATCCCCGGATCCCAGCCATTTTGTGAGCATGCATGTATATGTTTAAAAATAGTGCTGCAAAAAAAGAAAAGAAAAGAAAGCAGATTTAAATGCAAGTGAATGAGAGACACTGATTAAGTGAGGCAAGTTGGGCCACCCATGTGCCACTTTAGCACTGGCTTCCTTGCAAGAGTTTTATTGTTTATGTTGTTGTTTTCTCATTGTCACTATAGTTTAGGTTTGTCAGCATTTGTTGAGTGTAAACATAGAGTAAATGGCAATTTGGAATCACCTTTAAAAAAATTAAAACATAAAAATAAAAATAATGATGCATTTAGTTGAGTCCATTGAGGCCTGTGCATCACCTTTTCCAAAAACTTAAAATGGAAGTTACCTCCCAGGCAAGCCAAGGATGCAGCATTAAGAAGAACTCTTTGTAGTCTGAGGACAGACTCACAGTCAGTAAATAGCAGGACTTGATGTGGTGCAAGTCATGCCAGACAAACTTAATTGCTTTTTTTTTCTAATTTATAGAAATGCCAGATGAGGAGATAAAAGGAAGGGGTGAATATCATGCTCTCAATTTTAGGAAAGTGCTTGAGGATAGTAACTTGGGCAAGGTTCTGAGTAAAAACTAAATAATAACCATTCAAATGGGCCTGGTCGGGGGTCCTGGCCTGGAGACCCCCACTGCAGGGGTGCCCCCACATTGCCCAGAGCCCAATTTTTAATGAGGTTTCAGTAAAGTCTGCTAAAAACCTTCCACTCTGAATGGTTCAGACAGCAGCAGCATGGGCAAGGCTGGGAGCTTGCCAGAAATGCAGAATTTCAAGCCCCACCCCAGATGTCCTGTATCTACATCTGCTAGTGACAAGACCTCCAGGGAAGTCATATACACATTCCAGAACTAGATTCTGATGTCCCAGAAACAGCTCCAAAACCCTGCAAAGTTGGAGGGTCTCCCGCAACCCTCTAATCAGGTGCTGTCTCTCCCTCACCTTTACCCTGTTCCCCAGCAACACTGTCATCCAGGAAGGACTGTGGTCCCCCAAAATACTGTGCTCCAAAATTCATAAACTATTTGAATCCCCATCATAAACTATTACTGTTACCAGAAAGGGGTCCCAATGCAGACCTCAAGAGTGAGAGGAGGTTGGACCTCGCGTAAGAAGGAATTTGAGGCAAATCCATAGGGTAAAATAAAAGCGAATTTACTTAAAAAGTAAAGGAATAAAGAATTATGCTTCTCCATAGGCAAAGCAGCAGAATGGGCTGCTTGACTGAGTATACTTATAGTTATTTCTTGATTATATACTGAACAAAGGATGGATTATTCATAAGTTTTCCAGGAAATGGGCAAGGATTTCCCAGAACTGAGGATTCCTCCCCTTTTTAGGTTATATAAGGTAACTTTCTGACATTGTCGTGGCATTTATAAACTCATAATGCTGGTGGGATTGTCTTTCAGCATGCTAATGCATTACAATTAGTGTATAATGAGCAGTGAGAATGACCAGAGGTCACTTTCATCACCATCTTGGTTTTGGTGGGTTTTGGCAGGCTTCTTTACCGCATCCTGTTTTATCAGCAGGATCTTTGTGACCTTAATCTTGTGCCTATCTCCAATCTCATCCCATGACTAGGAATGCCTAACCTCCTGGGAATGCAGTCTAGTAAGTCTCAGCCTTATTTTACCCAGCCCCTATTTACTGGAGTCACACTGCTTCAAACGGCTCTGACATTACCTTGATACCCTACTGACAGCTTGTTCTTCCAGGGAGTCTCAGCCAGACTGAGGTATAAATACCAAAGGGATGTTTTGTCTGACAGTAAAAGTCAATGAGACTGTAACTGTGGAATTTAAGGCCATACAAGATCCAGGGGGACATATCTATGGGCAGGGGACACCTCTAAGAAACCAAGGATAGAAAGTTGAATGGAGCACCCCCACCCTTACCTTGGACATCAGGTACTGTGATCGACCCTTTTCTGTACTTTGTTTTGTTTGTTTCTCACAACCCTGGAAAGTTTCATTATTCACTTCTTTTTGGTGAAGAGTCCCAAACTCAGAAAGGTTAATTGGTCTGAAGTTACAGAACCAGAAGGAACAGAATTGAGCCTGATGCTGACACCTGCTATCTCCCAAAGTCAGGATCTTTTCCCCCTCATTACCCCACTTCCTCCATCTACCTGTGCAGATCACCTACTGCGTCCCTTATCAAGGCCACTGACAAATAACTGTCATTGAGGGTGATGGTGAGGGGCAGGGAGGCAACCCAGACTCAGAAGCTCATCCACACTATCTTCTACTCATGGTCAGAAGGCCAAGGAAAAGGGACTAGGGATAAAAAGAGGAAAGAAAAAAAAAGTATATGAACTGCCCAGTTAATAAATGTATTCTTTAGACTCTACTTATTTCCAAAAATATTTAAACTTAAAACGTCTTTATATTTCACAAACTTATGAACAAACCCATATATGTTAGTCTCTTTATAGTAATAATTTATGAAAGAATGCCACATAATAAGAGGAAAATTGAATTTCACAGAGTCTCGAGAGAAAGACACTTGCTGCCACCAAAAGTAAAACTTAGCTTTAAGTTTTCTGATAGTTGAGGCCAAAAAGTATGCTGAGATTGTGTAATAGAAGCAAGTATGATTGGGAGAGACCCATTTTTTTCTTAGCGTTTATAAGAAACTGTCTCATGAAACTGACAGCCACTCCTGTCTGGGAAGGGGTAAAGAAAAATATCCTGTGACCTGGAGAAGAGATGAGTTTGGGTAAGATGCCCTAAATGAGACTCTGCTTGGAAAGGCATAAGCATTAGCACAGGAAGGAAAAAAATAACCATAAAGACACAGATGAATTCAATAAGTGGGGGGAACCCCAAAAGTGGGCACCCACAGAGAACGACACAGCCCCAGAGCAAAGTGCAAATTGGATGAGTTTGCAATGGGAAGTTGCAGTGAAATAAATTTTTCAAAAAAGTCAAGTTGATTTGGATGTGCATATGCAGGGGCCAGGACACAAAGCCAGGAGGAAATCATCTCTGGGGGTGGTGAGAGGGAGCCTGGGATATTGCAGCCAGCTGTGGACATCTCATTACCCGACAGGGGTAGGCAAAGTAGAGAGTGTTCAGAAAAGGGCACCAGGCATGATTAGGTAGCAAGAGAGATTAATTTATGAGGAAAGATTAAAAGCTGAAGTAGGAATGCCAGGCTAAGGAAAAGCTGGCTCCCTGTCATGTGGAGGGAACTTGAGAGGCACTCGGGCAGGCAAGAAGGGAGGAAGGAGGAGGCCTGGCCTGGCCTGGCCCAGGCCCATTAAGGGGGTGAAATGGACTGGGCAAGAGGGGATGGTGGAAACATCCACCTAAGGAGACCTGAAGGGTCAAAATTAGAAACTAATAGCAAAGCTGCCATCACCTCTGCCATATATAGAAGCTGAAGTGCCAAGAGCTCTGCAACAGAGTTCTTCTCAGAGGTGGGAATGGTTTGCAAGAGCCATCAACATGTCCTCTCCAGCCCACTCCTCACTGTGGTCATTGAGGCACAGTAGGGGCTTATGCTCATTCATTCAACACATACCGGGCATCTACTAAGTGCTATGCGTTGTGCTAAGGATTGAGGGGACAGTCATATAAGACACAGTCCCTGACCCCAAGGGGCTTGAGAGCACAGATAAATCAACTCATAAGTCAGTGTCATACATGCTTCTATCTGGAAAAATATTAACAGAGATAACAGGGATCTAGAAAGGAAGGCCAAGGGAAGGCTTCTCCTAAGAGGGGCATATGAGCCAAGATTGGAAGGATGATAGACATCAGCTAGCTAAGGATGTGGGTAGATGGGGTACCAGGCAGAGGGAACAGAAAATGCAAATATATGGAGGTTTAAAGCATCATGCCATGTTCAAGGAAATTGAAAAATTCCAATTTGGCTGGAGAAAAGTGGGCAGAAGAGTGAAGAGATAAGGTTAATGAGCTGGTCAAGGGGCAGACCACAAAAGACCTTGTAGCATGAAGCTCAGGAATTTGAACTTCAAGTTGAAAGCTTTTGGAGTTAGCAATTGAAGGCTTTTAAGAAAAGGCATGACAAAATCTGGTGTGGAATTTTAAAAGATTACAGATGGCCCCTGATGGTTCAACTTACACAAACATTATACACATTCAGTAGAAACCATACTCTTAAGTACCTACCCATCCACCATTCTTTATTTCACTTTCAGTACAGTATTCAACAAATTGCATGAGATATTCAAAACTTTATTGTAAAATAGGCTTTGCGTTAGATGGTTTTGCCCAACGGTAGGCTAATGTAAGTGTTCTGAGCACACTTAAGGTACGCTAGACTAAGCTATGATGTTTGTAGATTAGGTGTATTCAATGCATTTTTTGTTTGAAATATGTTCAACTTACAATGGGTTTATTGGGACATGACCACATCATAAGTCAAGGAGCATCTGTACTTCGGTGGCAGTGGAAATAAGAATTAAAGGGAAAGTATAGTCTGGAGACAAAGTAATCAGTTGACAATTATTGCCATGATCCAGGTACAAGAGCCTGAACTAAGGTAGTGATCACAGAGAAATAGAGGCTGCAGACTTTTCTGAATGCTTAGCAAGGGGAGCTGAAAAGGAAGGTAGAGTCTAGCAAAAAAAAGGTCCTGGGCTTAGATTCTTCACTGGATGGTGGTGTTCAGGTAGGCAAGGGTCAGACAGGCTTCAGGGAGAAGTGAGAATCCTGTTTGGACAAGTTGGGCTTGATAGGCTTGGGGTACATCTGCAGGCAGGTGAGTGATAGGTTGGTGCTCAGTTTGGACTCAGAGATTCAGGACCTATTCAACATATCTGTGATAACTAAGGCCACAATGTGAAAGAGATAACCAAAGGTTACATGGAAAATGGTGCACAGAGCACCAAGAACAAGTCTTGGGGAACGCCAACAGCTCAGGTGTGAGTGGAGGAAGCAAGGCTGCAAAGGAAGATGAGAATGAGCTGCCTGAGAGGTAGTTGGGAAACAGAGAGATCGTGGAATCACACAAATTAAGAGAGGAAGAGTTTCAAAAAGGATGGAATGCTTAAAAGGGTAGGATGACAACAGAATTCAAGCAAGTAAAGTAAGAACAAATATCTCCACTGGATTCAATGGTGACCAGCAAGGAGAGGCTCAATGGATTAGATGGGGTATAAGACAGACTGCAATAAGTTGCGAGGAATTTGGGCAGTGATGAGGGGATGAGGGAAAGAGATCTTGCAAATCCTCGGCTGTGGAGGGCAAGAGTGAGATAGCATAAAACCTAGAAGGAGGATGTGTGGTTGAGTGAGGGTTTGGTTCAGTCTGGTTGGTTGTTAAATGAGAATGACATGAACATGTCTTCCAACTGTGGAGGTGAAGAGGTAGAAGATTTGGGGGAAATGAGAGAGAGAGAGAGAGAGAGCTATACAGAGATTGTAGTCTGAGAATGGGCTGTAGGCACCTGAGATTTCAGAGCGGGATCAGTATGGGTCATTCCAAGCCCCAGGTAAGTGGACTTTGCTGTATTCACACTGGGCTCAGACCTGCTGATTTGAATAATCACAGATGAGGCCAATTAAACCATCAGCAAACTCTAGGTCCACCATTTTGCCAAGAAACATGACAGGCAAGAGCAAGTATAGCCTCCTGCCTCCTCCAAAGAGATTATCCTCTAGTTAGGCAAAAAGACACGTGCCTTGTAAAAGATCACTAAACAAATCTTATATTAAGACTCTTGCCTTAGCCAGAGTAATCTAGAAAACAGAACTGGAGGCAAAGGCTTGATTGCTACGGTTTTACTGGAGGGTGCAATCCCAGGGAAGGGCAAGTGAGGGAGAGCCAAGTGAAGTGGGAGCAGGGAGTATAAAATGAGAGGGGCGTGACTGAGCCAGCCACTCCAGGCATACAACAAGCAGTTTGCTGCTCGGTCTCGCAAGACATTTCCAGAGAAGCCATATGAAACAACTGCCTCTAGGAACATCCAAGAGAATGTGAGAAAAGAAAGAGCAGGTGCCCTATCTTGTCTTCTTTGTCTCTGTCTGTCTTGTCTCTTTTCTCTCTGTCATCCAAGCCCACCCCATGAGGCATGACCTTGTCGTGTCCCCTGGCCAGAACCTCTGCGGGTCCTGCTGGTCAGTGCAGATGCTGTGGTCTCTCCTCATCACTTGGCACTGCGTGCAGAAGCTCCTTGGGCTATGGCAAAGGAAGTAGTTGGGGCTTTTCAACCACAGGAATAGTGTAAAGCTTCCCCAGGGTCACCATGGTCAGGAAAGAAGGCAAGTGGCCAACACCTGGGTTGTAGGGAGGCAGGCGTTAGGTGAGTGTTGAGGTCAGGTCTGGGGCAGATTCAGTGTCCCCTCTCATAATAATAACATTAAGCACTGCTCCTTGCACCTGTGTGAATGAACTCTCAGTACACCCATTTAGAGACGGGAAAACTGAAGCAGAGAAGGCTTTAGGAACTTGCCTAACACCACACAGCTAGCAAGTGGCAGAGCAAGGATCGAAACCCATGGATTCAGACTCCAGAGCCTGTGTGCCCAACCATTCTGCCACAGCACCAACTCCAGAACCACGGGAGGAAGAAGCTCCCAAAGTAAACATCTCAGAGTAGAAGGAGAACCTGAGATGGATCCAATGCACACAGTATAGCAAGGTGAACATTCTCACTGGGAGGAACAGAATGAACAAAACCGAGAGTTGGAAAATATTAATGACCCAGAACGTGGCCCAGCCAAGCAGGAGCTGCATACATGATGGCTTTTGGCCACACACGGGAATGCACTAAGAACCTGGGGCAACGCCCCGCCTCAACAAATCCTGCCGACTGCACCCATACACTTGTGAGCCAGGTCTGGGGCAGGTTCATCGTGTCCCCTCTAATAATAATAATATTAAGCACCAACCCTCCACACAGGGGAAGCAGGACTGGAGGACAGAAAACAGCCTCAGCCCTGGAGAGCCAGGGCACCCTCAGGCCTGCAGCAGCCTCCCACTCTCTGTCCCCTGGAGCCCACTAGCCTAGCCCCTTGGGGCCTAATGGGTCCCTTCCTCACCCATTCCAACTCTGAGCTCACCCAGAATCTCTTCCAAATCCTTCTAGGGGGGAAGTATTCAATATTTATGGAGTGCCTGCTGTGAGAGAGACTCATCTTTCTCATTTAATTCCAGGTGCCCCACAAAGTGAAGGACAGCCCCCTGCCTGTTGATGAGGGCACCCCTTGCCCTTGCTCTGGCCCAGTGTTGGAGGAAGGAGCTGGGTGAGGCTCCATATTGTTGAGCATTGACAGTTGCTTTCTAATCACTTTATGACTTCTGTGAAAGCCCCTGTGAGGGATAGAGGGGATAGCTCATTTCATTTTCTAGAGGAGAAAACTGAGGCCTGTACAAAGCCCCAGAGGTTACCCAATGGCTGCTTCTCCAAGTAACCACATATGGCAGCTATGGCAATAAGCCTTAGCTCCTGGAAGGTGGGATGGGGGTGAGAAGTAAAAAGAAACACCACAGGAAACCAGGCAATGGGTGGAGGATGCAATTCATCTCCATAGGACTCCACTTTCTAGACAGTTTATTTGGTTTTCATTTTGTTTATGCCCTGACATGCCAAGGATGCAGTTTCAGGGGCCATAGTTAACTGTTCCTGAAGAGGCGCCTCTGTCTTGCCTGACTCAGGTCCTAGCAGCCTTCCAGCCCACATGGCTAGAGCCTCTTGCTCCCAACCCATCTCTGCTTCCGCTGACCCTTTTGGGTTCTAAAGTCAACTCTGCCCTGGGTCTAGGGGAATCGGTGCAGGCGAACATCAGGCAATGCCCACTTTCTGCTCCTCTGACCCTGTGCCCCACTTTCCATAACGGTGTCCTTGCCTCATACTGCAGGCCCACAGCTGTTCCCTGCTTGTCCTCTGAGCCTGTGCCTGAGCATTCAGCAGGTACCTGTTCCTCCGAGGCTGGGTCCTCCCTTGCTCCTGCCATCCTCCGAGGAATTGAAGACAAGCTCAGTGAACTCTGACCTTCAGACTGGGGGGATTCTTGAAATCCCATGTGTGGACAATGTTTATGGATGTGATGTGTCACATTCCATCACTAGGAGCAGGACCCCAGGCAGGGAGGTGCTAAAAATTGATCCCAACTATGTTCTTGTTCTCTTTGCCCACCTCCTCAAAATGCCAAGAAGTTCAGATGGCCCACAGGCCACCCAATCGATGCTCTCTGGTCCCTTGGGGATCCCCGCCATGAGCAAGAGCCAGAAAGGGAGTTAGAATCATTCCTGCTGCCCTCGCATTTCGACTACCTGCACTCTCCAGGAATGACCAACACCAGCTTTCCCAACTTGGATACCACCAGGCACTTCAGCCAAAGTCAGCGGGGACTACTAACTCAGGACCTTTGAAAACGGGCAGAGATTGTGTTCCCTTTGCTCTCAGACCCTCAAACACTAGCATATAGTGGGTGCTCAATAAAAGGAGACCCAGAAGTTTGAAATAATTGGCAGATCCATGAAGGCCTTACTAAGCATCAGTGTGCACCAAATCCACACTGAGCCTGAACACAATAACTCTCCCAATCGCCTGAGCCAAACCTAGTTCCATTCCAGTCATCTCTTTCTGAGTCATGATGCTACCATCCACCTTATTGTATGAGGCAGCAACCTAGCATCATTCATTCTTTCATTCATTCCTTTTTCAGAAGCTGCCATGTGCCAGGCAACATTCCAGGCATGGGGGGCACAGATTCATGACCTCATGATGTTCACATTCCACCAGAGAGAACAGGCAACAAACAAATCAATATTTAATAGAATGTCTTCAAAATTCCCATGAAAATAACTAAGCAGAATCAGGAGAGGGAGAGTGGCAGGGAAAGACGGTTGAGTAGAGCTCAAATCGAGTGCAAGTGTGGGCCACGGGGTGACAACAGAAGAGCAGCCAGACAGCAGCACCACTGGAGGGAGTTTCATCAGTGAACTTGGTGGGAGTTTGATCAGTGAACTTGCTGGAGGCCATTTTTGACATCTCTCTTCCCTTGCTGCCTTTCATCTCCAATCCTTCATCCATTCTTTGTTATGATTACTCAATTCTGTGAGAGTAGGTACTGTATCCGTTTTTAATCACTCTGGTAACTACAGCATCTAACACAGTGCTGGCATACGGTAGGCACTCCATTCATAGTTACTGGTGAATGAATAAATGAATGGATAGATGGCAGTTGTTTATGAGGGAAGGAAGGCACATAGCCTCTCCCCTTACGGTGAGACAGAACGAGCCTGTGGATCTGGAAATGGCAAGTATTGTGAGTAAATGAGCTCTAGGTCCCAGCCCAGAGACAAGAATGGCAGAGCTACCCACAACCTCAGACTACACAGAGAAAGGGGCACTCTTCTGAGAGCAATTCAGCCAGGCACCAGAAGCCAACTTCATTTAAAGAGGCATAACACTTTAATTATTGTGGCACTCCAAAGGGCTAATACAGCTGAGAACTAATTGCTGGTAAAGGCTGCCTGGGTGAGGTCAGTAAGCGCTCAGGAGAGCTAACCTGCGAGTACAAGGAGACAATGACACTTTGAATTAGTATGCTGGAAGCATCCGAAACATATTTGTTGTGTTAATAGAAATGCCTAAGTATATTAGACATTTTGGGCTTATTATTCATATTAGTTATAATGCGGAAATCAAATTTTATTTCTAAATTGCAATCAAATGATATTTTCTATTAAAACTTTCATAGCAAGCCAAATTAAGCAATGCTACAGATTACATACTAGTAATCCAGTTTGGTTATAACTTATTTTTTTATTTTGTTATGAATCATAATGAGAATGAAGTAAAATAAGATATTTTACAAAATGAACTGAAAAGACTTTGCTTTGGTGGAACACAGAAGCTGCTTAAGAGTTCAAATTATTAATACTGTCTTAGTGAAATAAACAAAGATAAGCAAAGCTGGCAAAGCTTCACATTCATGAAAATAATTTACCTTCCTCTCCTATCACACTGTACTGCAGAACAAACAGCTGGAAGAGTCCTTAAGAGGTCAATTAATCAAGTCTTTTTTGTCAAGACAAAACTGCATAAAATCCTTCTTTGAAGGCTGACACCCCATTTAGAACCAACCTTGCCTTATTTCTTTGTTTACATTGCAATGGGCTTCTCTTAAAATGTATTTGGATTCCCCACTACCTCTTGCACATAGCAGGTGCTCAATAAATGCTTGACAATTTTAAAAAATAAATCAACCACAAGTTAACCACTCAAAAATGTCTGTTGATAGTATGTAAACATGTAAATCACCCAAACAATGCTTGACATAGAAGGCGCTTAATTAACATGAGGTCTTTCCTAATAGGTACAGTTCAGGATTGCAGTAATTTCCCTGGCCTTCATTGTATTGATGAAAAGTAGTATTGATTGAGTGATCAACATGCGCCAAGATCTTTACATATATTATCACATTTATTGCTTACAGCAATCATGGAAGCAAGTGCTATTATTGCCCCCATTTTATAGATACAGAAAATGAGGCACTGAAAGGAAAGTAATTTGCCCAAGGCTACAAAGCTTCTAATGGTAGAGTCAGACTGAGCCCAGCAGGTGGACACCAGCACTGGTGCTCTAACCGCTGGTTCTCTAACCACTGGGCAACATTGCCTCACACACAAGAAAGGCTTTAGCAGCACCTTGGCCTTCCCTCTAGCACTCTGCCCAAGGCCCTTCTGGACACTCTGGGTATGAAGAGTGATGGGTTTTGCTTCAGGCTCCACTTGCTCACTCTTCTCTGTATCCTCAGAAGCTGTGAGAGAGAACGCCCTGGGTACCACAGGGATTCCCTTCTTGCCCCTGTAAATAGCTTCCTCAGGCCACCAGGGCCCAGGGGCATAAAGATGGCCACGATCAAAGTCAGCCAGCCAGGACTCCCTTGCCCTGTAGGGATCCAGGAATAATTAATTGGCCTAGACCTTTTCCAAATCCCATGTCCAAAGCCATCCCCTGATTTATGCCATGTCATGGTGCTTCCAGCATCTGAGTCTGTGTGTGCTGTCTGTATTGAGTTGAATAGTAATCCCCCATCCCTGCCCCCTGCCAAGATTCTTGTTCACTTGGAACCTCAGAACGTGACCTCATTTGAAAATAAGGTCTTTGCAGATGTAATCAAATGACGATGAGGTCATATTGGATTAGGGTGGGTCCTAAATCTAATGACTGGTGTCCTCATAAGGAGAGGGAGATTTGAGGACACGCAGACACAGAGAGAGATGACAGCCATGTGAAGATGAAGTGAGAGACTGGAGTCATGTGGCCGATGATTGCCTGAGGCCACCAGAAGATAGGAAGGGACATGGGAAGAGTCTCCCTGGAGCCTTCAGCAAGAGCACGGCCCTGCTGATACCTTAATTTGGGACTTCTGGTCTTCAGAACTGTGAGAGAATATATTTCTGTTGCTTCAAGCCACTCAGTGTGGCAACCATAGGACATTAACACAGTCTTCCCACTTCCTTAGTCTTGAGGCAGATAGCCCTTAACTGCTGATCCCAACATCAGTGTCTCCATGAGATCAGATCCCATGTGACTCACAGTGATTGATCCTAGATTGATCAGGGCAGGCCCTGAACTTTTGATACCAGTCCATGAAGAAATAAGTCCAGAAATTGAGATTAGGCATTTACAAACTCACAGCAGTTTGATGGGGTAATTTTATGTCTGTGGATTCTAATAATTTGAAAAATTGGGGCTTGTAGTTTGTACATTTTTTTAATTTCATGTTTCTAATGATTCATTTTTGTTGATTCTCCAAAAGTATCAGTATATGACAAATTGAAAAATTTTTTAAATAAAACTACTCCTTCAGCACCAAGAGCTTGAGAAACTTCACAGGAGTTAACTGGCCTTTTCTGAAATAGGCCCCCCATCTCCTTAGACGGCAGGTGCCATCATAAACAGCATTTTAGGTTTTTCCTTTTATTACAACAAGCTCACCTTTTTTCTAGGATTGATCCTACTCACTCTACGGCAACTGCTGCCACCTCCAATTTTTGCCAAGGAGTCCTGGGGATGTCTCCCAGTTACCACGAGATTTGGTCTTTAGTCTTCTCTTCTGCCCAGCTCAGGCCTCGGGGTACAGCGTCAGGCGCAGTTGCTCAGACTCTCCCTGCAGGTTTTCCCCATGCTCACTTCTACTGACCCTGAGCAGAGGCTGCTGCCTGGTGTTCTCTGTGCCTTACACAAATGCTTGTTGTCAGCTCCTATCAATTTTGCTTGTTCGTTCCTTCCCTGCAGCCTCTAGCCTCTCTAGGAACCAGGCCTGGGTCTTGAGGACCAGGAGGGGGTCAGTCTGAAAACCAGTCATTGTACAGAATCACACTCCTTTGACAGACCTGGACCTACAATACATGCTCTACCTCAGAAGGGCTTCATCCCCAGGAGTTCCTCAGTGCCCATGCAGGTAGACTAAGGACAGCCCCTGTCTTCCATGCATGCATCAACAGACCTGAACTCACATTGCATACCAGCTTAGGCCAGCCCAAGCCCCACTGCACTCAGAGACAAAAAGCTACAATTTCGTCAACTCTCCTAATGGCTAATGAACATATAGCATGTTCCATGTGCCAGCTGATGTTCTAAGTGCATGTACCCTTTTGACTCCTTTAATGCTTACAACATCCCTGTGAGGTGGATGCTACTATTACTCCCACCTTACAGACGAGAAAACTGATGTCCAAAGTGCTTGAGTAACTTGCCCAAGGTTACTAGAAAGCAAGTGACAAAACTGTAATTCAAATCTGGGCCCTCTGCCTCCAGCGCCCACCTATGTGACCACCCAAGTCATCCTGTAGTTCTGTCTCTCCAGGGGCAGAAACTGTCCAAATCCTGCCAATGCAGAGCAGGCACTCATTTCGGGTAGAATGTTTCTTCCACAGCTTTGTAGAATTCACATCTGTCACAGTTAAGAAGCCATAGCTGCTCTTTGTCTTGCGGGGAGACTTTCAATCCCTCGCAAAAATCCAGATTCTACAAGGGCTTCAGGAGGCGTTTCTTGGCTCTCTCCCCATTTGCCCCACCCAGTTTACTTCCCCCTTCTCTGGCCTTGTTGACCAACCTCCTGTCTTCACAGGTCAGCCCAGGAGCAGCTCCCATGCCAGGCAGGTGACTTCAGAGGGTTGGGACTGTCAAGGAGAAGAATGGCTAACTGCCTCTGGCTGATGCCTTAAATGTCCTCTTTAGGCTGCTTGTTCATCTACTTGAGATAGGAGACCATGATAATAAAAATCATGCATCTTCACTGGAAAAAATGTCAAACTATACAAAGACATAGAAAGGAAATAACTAAAGCTCCTTCCCATTCCTTCTTCCTTCCCGGTTCTAGGCCCCAAAAGTAAGTTGTTTGATTATACAAGTTGATCTCTGTTGAGGTACAAATACCCCTGAAAAAAGAAGCCCTGTTGCATTGCCCTGGGTCATTTACCCTCATGTGAATGAAATAAATCATGTGACCCCTGCAAACACACACATGCACACATGCATGCACATACATGCACGCACACATTTCCTGAGATGAGGTTTTGAAGGGAGTGGGGAAGATAATCATGGGCCTGGTTGGAGATAATGGGGTCTCAGATGGAGGAGATGGTAAAGCAGGGAGGCAGGAGCACTGTAGATGAAATATGCAAACTTTACACTTTGGCTCAGGTCCGGGCCCAGGAAGGAAAAGGGGAGGGAAGGAAGCTTGCTAGAAGTCCAGGTATGGTCAGAACTGGAAGGAAACTCAGAGGGTGCCCAGGGGGCTAGAATCTGGCTGATAAATACATACGGAACAGCTGGAAGTCCCAACAAATAGCCCTTTCCATGTGTCCTCTCTCCTGGAGTAACCACAGTGGTAACAATATACACTGAAAATCAATCTCTCTCTCTCTCCTTCCCTCTCCCTCTCTTTACCTCTCTAATCCATCCCTCTTTCCTCTCTCCCTCTTTCTTTTCCCTCTGTCATTTCTCTCTTCCTCTTCCTCTCTTCCCTCTCATCTCATTCTTCTCCCCCTCTCTTTCCTCTCTCCCTTTTCCTGTCTTCCCTCTTCATTTCTCATTTTTCTCTCCCTCTCCTCCTTTCCTCTCTCTTTCCTCTCTTTTCTCCCTTTCCTCTCTCCTCCTCTCATCCCTCTCTTCTCTCTCTCTCCCTCTTTCCCCTCTCATCCCTCTTCTCTCTCTTTCTCATCCCTCTCTCTTTTCTTTCCTACTCTTTCCTCTCTTCCTCTCATCCCTCTCTCTCCTTCTCTTTTCTCTGTCTCCCTCTTTCCTTTCCTCTCTCTCCCTCTTTCCTGACTCTCCCTGTCTCTTCTCTCTCTCCTTGCTCTCCCTCTCTCTTCTGTCTCCCCTTCTCTCTTCTCTCTTCCTCCATCTCTCTCTAATACTGATGACTTCCTAGTCCTAAAACCAGATTGCAATTGGAATCTAAAAATCATTCTGTCTTTGCAGCTGTCCACCTTTGCACTTTCATGGGTGAACAATACTGGCTGAGGCAGCACTGCAGAGCAGTGGAAAGAATGCTTGGCTAATTCTCTATTAGCCTACCAGTGAAAAATCCCATATAATAACCTCCCCTTCTCTTCTACTCCCCTCAAACAAATAAAAAAAAAAACCTTGTCATTTTCTCCTCCCCTGGGGTCCCCTGTGTTTCCCCTTCAGAATCAGGAGTAAATTTTCTCCAAAGAAGTGTTCATTAAGAATAAATAATAATTTGCACTTCTAGTGCACCTTTTGTCTAAGCATCTCAAAGCGCTTTACTTAATTAATTAAGAGAATTAATTTGGGAAACACTCCTGGAGGGAGGGAAGGCATACTTAATGACACCCGATTTCCAGATGAGTAAACTGAGGCCCAAAGCAATGGGCTCAAGGTCCCAACAGGAAAAGTGGCCACATGGGATTGGGGGATGGGGGTGAGACTAACTTCAATCCAACATATTGAGGCTCAGGCAACAAAAGGGCAGGGCAGGGCAGGCCCAGGAGGAAGGAAGCAGGAAGTTGGTGAGAGAGAAGCTGAAGTAGGGTGAGAGGAGCCCAAGATGCAGGAATTAAACTAAGGCTGTAGGCACAAGTCCTTCCCTTCCAAGACCAAGAGGTCAGGTGCTAAGACCAAGAGGTCAGGCACCCTAGATCCAGAAAAGGCTGGGTAGGCTTCTGACAGAGGGTCTGAGCCCCTCACAGGACAGGCACCCACACTGGAGTCTGCTGGGTTTGAATGACAGGCACTCAGCTGTCAACTGATCAGCTGGTGGTCGGCACACAATGAAATGCCCCTGAGCCATCAGCACTTACTGGGTGCTCCCTATTGGAACCACAGCTAATCAGAACATGGGGCTCTTTGTCTGCAGGTGGGGACAGGAAGGCTCACCTGGCCAAACACAGTGAGTGAGACGCAGACAACTGGGCACTCCCTGAGCCCAACCCCTGGGCTGCCCCTCATCCCCCCACCACCCAGATCCTGATCTGGGACTCAAGCCCCAACACTGCCTGGCTTACCTTTGGCCAAGCAGAAAACAGGGCTGCAGGTACTTCCCAACAGTCCCCAATCCCTCTCCATGCCCCTTTGGGACAGGCTATTCCAATCCATTGCCTCAAACCCTCTAGCCCTTGGTCCCTGCTACTCCCTGCAAAGCTAATGAAGCCACATGTACCTCACACCCACATGTATGCATGCATACAGACCCCCATAAACACACACAGTGCTACAAATTAACAGCCCAAGCTTGTCATTTTCATTGTGTTTTTATTATGATGCTCCTCAATGATGTTTTTAAATGAATTCTGAATAGTCTCCGTAATTTGGTTTGTTCTACATTTTGATGCAAGTGTGAAGGCCCCGCAGGAATTGCTGCGAGGAATACAATATTATGTGAGCATGGCTTCTGCTTGCCTTCCTTTCTCATAATTAAGTTTTATTGAGTTGTAAAATGAATAACAATTTTAAAAACCTGTTTATTGATCCAGGTGCCTCATGCAGATATATAAGAAAACTTTCTCCAACTCCTGGACCTCACCAAGTAGTACTAGACTCAGTAACACTGGTCTCTCTCCTTTCTATTTTGACTATGAGCAATGGGCCATTGAGCTACAGGTGGAGCTTTATTTGACACCACGAAGCAAACTGATGGTGTCTGCACTGGGAAGGAAACACTAACTAGGACTTGTCTGAAAGGCATAAAACGTCTGCCAAGATTCTAGGGACTCCTGACTTACCACTTCTTAATGCCTAAAATTCTGTTACTTGGGAAGTCTGCCTTTTTGGTTAAGACCTTGCCCCTATCAATATGTAATTAACCACAGGAAGGAATTGCATGTTACAACCTCATAAAATTTTACAGCATAACAGGACTTATGTTTCTTAGGTTCTTTCAAAGATAAGTCCAGCTGGAAGTTCTCTGTAGAAGTTAAACTCTAGTAATCTGGGACATTGATGGTAAAGGTGTGGTTCAGAGTGTGCGAAACAAACTTACCCATCCAAACCCAAAGAATGGACTTAGAGACCTGGAGAACAGTGAAAGTGAGACTTTTAATGATGGTCTTGCAAGTTCGGGGGTCTGATGGGCAGGCACACCCAGCATGGCCACAACAAGCAATTTATCCCCTAGTGCGCAGGTCCCTCCCTCGGTTCCTCATAGGCTGAGTACTACTGGGTTACAATCTTTCCTACTGATTGTTAGGTAGGGGCTTTATGTGTTTTTCTTAGGGTTATCTTGCTGCATTTTATTGCAGTCCACAATGCATTGCAATCCCAGTTAACTTAGGGGCTCTTCAAGTATTTGACTTATGACCTAAGTAGCTAAGCAGGCTGATAAGAACAGAAAAAACGAGCTATTTTGCAGGCTAGTAAACTTTCATTTTAGACTAAACTTCTTTGCTTCAGGTGAGAGCAACTAAGTTGGGGGCAGAGTGGTGGGGCAGGGGAGGTCGACAAGTAGGCATCTGCTATCCAAGCAGGGGCCTAGTACATCCTGTTTCTTCTCCAGTTTACTGACCTAAGCTGATTCAAGGTGCTTTGTCTTGGAAATGAACCACTGTATACATTATTTCCTTCAAGAGCACAGGACTAAGATCAGACTTCAGGGGATCTGACAAGCAGGAGGGCAAAAAAAAGAAAAAAGAAAAAGGCAGGGGGGCGGCAAACCCACTAAAGGGCTGCAAAGAGAAGTGGGAAGGGTCCAAGGTACACCTCACTTGTTCTGTCTTCTTTCTTGTCAATGGTTTCCATGAACGCCAACCAGCTCAGTCAGTTGGGGGATCCAGATAGAGATTTCTGTTATTACAGGGCTAGAAACTAGTTGTCCTAATCCCCAAGTCTAAACTAAGTTTCCAGACTGGCCTCAACACAACAACTACCTTGTTAATAAGCAACAGCAGATTTCAGGGGCTTCTGCCAGTGAAACTCCATGGAAGAAAGAGCTCCTGTTTATAAGGGCAGGAAGCACTCCCACAGACCTCTCACACCTGCGCAATTAGAGATGGATGTGGCCGGGCACAGAGGCAAGGGCTCAGCCTACTATAATATCACATCAACAAGTCCTGGCCAGGAAGAGAAGTCTTCTTCTATGCCATATGGCTCTGGGCAGTCCCCATCTGTGCAATGGGATCCAAATCTTTGTCCCCTGACCACCCTCCAAAGGCAAAGCTGCCTACACTGAGGGCTGAAGGCTTTGCTCCAGGTTCGGTTCCCACCTGCTCTTGGGATATTTTGGAGGCTCTCTCCAGACGACAATGCTTTGAGCAGACACTCTGGGCCAGAGATTGCTGCTTTGAGGCTTGTGGGCCCTTGGTTGCTGAAAGACAAAGCTTCTGACAGAGGAGCGAGAGGCTCGAAGAGAAGGTTGCAGCTAGTGCTGGCCATGGCTGATGTATATACACACCTGTCTTAGTCATCTCGGGCTATAACAGAATAGCATAGACCAGGGATCCCCAATCACCAGCCCATGGACCTGTAGCGGTCTGTGGCTTGTTAGGAACTGGGCCACACAGCAGGAGGTGAGTGCCATGCAAGAGAGCATTACCACATTACCACCTGAGCCCTGCCTGCCGTCAGATCAGCGGTGGCATTAGATTCTCACAGGAGCATGCACCCTATTGTGAACTATGCATTTGAGGGATCTAGGTTGTGCACTCCTTATGAAAATCTAATGCCTAATAATGAGGTGGAACAGTTTCATCCCAAAACCATCCCTCCCACCACCTCCACCACCCCTGACTGGAAAAATTGACTTCTATGAAACCAGTCCCTGGTGCCAAAAATGTTGGGGACTGCTGCCATAGACTGGGTGGTCAAAACAACAAACAAACATTTGTTTGTCACACTTCTAGAAGCTGGAGGTCTGAGATGAGGGTGCCAGCATGGTTAGGTTCTGGTGAGAGCCCTCTTCTTGGCCTGCAGATGATACCTTCTCACTGTATCTTCATGTGGCAGACTGAGAAGTGCTGATCCCTTCATCTCCTTATAAGGAAACTAATCCCATCATGGGGGCCCCACCCTCATGACCTCTTCTAACCCTAATTACCTCCCAAAGGCCCCACACCTCCAAATACCATCACACTGGGGTCTAGGGTTGCAACATAGAAATTTAGGGGGAAACAAACATTCAATTCATAGCAACTCCCATTGTCAGCCCAGGAGCACATCCCCCAAGTCTCTGCCCTGTCATTTCTCATCACCAAGACAAGCTGTTGGAGTAGGTTCGGGACAGGGAGTGGTGGGGAGGGAGATACTGCTTCTCTCCCTCCTCCAATTCTTTCAGAGTGGCCTTTTGCACTTTATGTGCCCCTTGAAGGCTGTCAACGATGTTCATTGTACCCTAAGTAGCAATGTTGGGGTGTGCAGAGAGGTTCACATGGTATGATTAGAGACCCAAGCACTCCCTCCCTAGTGGCCCTGGTCCTGTGTTCTGTAAACTCCCCAGCATTTGCCTTGCTGTGTGAGGTCTGGCTGTGCTCCACTCTGTCATTTTGCTTTTTGGTTGGCTGGCTGGACAGTCTGCCTGTTTAGTAACAAGTTTGACTTTTTGGTCAAGGTCTTGGGTGCTTTTCCCTGGGTTTCACCAAATCCCTATCATCCATCCAAAGCTAGGATTGAGAGTGGAAAAACACAAACTGTACTTTCCTCTGCTCTCACACCACAACAATCAACACAAAAGCCTTGTGTGACCAAATGTGTGTGGTTTTTCTCACCCACACACCAAGCAAGCAACCAGTTCTGCAGGAGATACCAGCTAGGTGCCCTCCAATTCAATTCTGACACTGTCTACCTGCAGATAGTGTCAGATCCCAAAGGTTGAGGGTTTGTTACCAGTGAAAGGTATCTGAGTTCCCGGCAGTGAATCTGTACAGGTCTGCCGCAACTTCAGTTCTCAGAAGAAATAATTTGACTGCGGGGCATAATGCAGAAAACGAGACCAAGGCAAGTTTCAGAGCAGGAGTGGAAGTTTACTAAAAAGCTTTAGAACAGTAAGGAAAGGAAAGAAAGGAAGGAAAGTTCTCTTGGAAGAGAGCCAAGCAGGCAGCTTCAGAAACCAAGTGTGTTGACCACTTGACTTGGGGTTTCATACATTGGCATACTTCTGGGATCTTGCGTAACTTCTCCCCACTCTTGAGATCTTATTGGGAAGCTGCTGATCAGTTTCAGGTGTTTTCTATCTCTAGCTATTAGGAGACTGCCTTTCCCTGGTGCCAGCTGTGATCAATTATTACTTTAGAGGAACAATTAACAATCGCCTGACCATCACCTGATGGCTGCCCAACACTTCCGGTGTGTGTTGGTTGGAGAGCCTTCTCCTGCCCTGCTTATACCTGACTAGCTACCTACTGTAACAGGTTTGGTCCCAAAGACTGCCCCTACTTCAGACACCAGTCTCAAGCCCGGGCCTCCCAGTTTTCTGACCAACTGGCTTCATGATTAATTTGCTAAAGAGGCTCACAGAACTCAAGGAAACACTTACATTTGCTAGTTCATTATAAAGGATATCACAAAGGATACAGATGATGGGATGCATAGGGCGAGGTATCAGGGGAGGGTCAAAGAGTTTCAACGAAGAGTTGCCACGGTCTGGGAACCTCTGCATGTTCGGCTATCCCAGAAACTCTCCAAATCCTGTCCTTTGGGGTTTTTATGAAGGCTTCATTATATAGGCTTGATTGATTGAGTCATTGGCCATTGGTAATCAACTTAACTTTCAGACTCTCACCCGTCCCCTGAAGTTATGGGACGGAGCTGAAAGTCCCAATCCTCTAATCCTGCCTTGGTCTTTCCACTGGCCAACTCCCATCCTGAAACTACTTGAAGGCTGCCAGCCATTAGTGAGCTTATTAGCATACAAAGAATCACTTTGGAGATTCTAAGGATTTTAGGAGTTGTCTGCCAGGAAATGATGTGACAGGCCAAATATATATTTTCCAATATTACAAGTATAAACCTCCCTCAGCATTTTATTCCACATTCTTACAGAGATGGGGAAACTAAGGCAAATTACACTTCCCCAAGTGGACAAATGATGGAAAAATAGGCCTGGAGACCTGTCCTAATGCATGTGGCCTTCGCAGCACCAACAACTCCACTGTTTATCGATGTAGGGAAGGAGGCCTTCGGAGAAGGTTCTAGAAGTCACAGTGGTCTCCAGCTATGATAGCACCCTCCACTGAGGCCTCCCAGCCCAAGGAAATGCCACCAAAGACTTACAAAGTTGTTCCACAGTGAAGACCTTATAACTCAGCCAAAAGAGTAGTCCTTTCAGAAGCCAGTGGGCTGTGGCTAGTACCAGTAAGGGAAGCAGAGAGAGAGAGGCCAAGATCAAGTTGAAGCAACTCGAGAATGCACCAGCTTCTCCCTGCCCTGTAAGGAGTTCACTTGCTCCCTTCTACCTTCTGTGCAGACAGCATATTTTGTGTGTATACTCCATCTGGTAATAATAGCTAACAGTTCTATTAGGCACTTACACCGTGACAGGCCCTCTGCTAACACTTAGCTTATCCTCTTTTGGTCCTCACAACAACACTATGAAGAAGGGCCATCATTGACTCATTTCATAGATGAGGAAACTGAGGCTTGGCAAGGTTGATATGAGCTTGTCCAAGGTCACCGAACTAATCATTACCATTTGACTCAGTCCGACTGCAGAGCTGTGCACTGTCTTGTTGCTATAGTCATGGGTATGCTTGTCTCTCCAGGGGCAGAAAGTGCTTCTTTACCCCTGGCCGCCTCTGATGGCCGAGGCCAGTGTTCAGCTAAGTGGTCAAGCCAAGGACCTGGGCACTTATCACCAACACGCAGTCCTGCAACATTTAGATCTTGGACAGCAGGGCTCCGGATTCAAATTGAAGTTTTATTTTAGCACAAAAGTCCAGGCTTATCTGTAAATACATGCAACAAACGCAAATTGCTGTAAGCAGCCACCTGCAATGCCAGTAATAAAGGAAGGGGTGTGAAAGAGAGTGAAGAAAGGTGGTGTATAAGCTCAGGGTGTGCATACGCATGCACAAGTGCACATCCTCACTCATTGTATCCCACACAGCATGGAGCAAAGTGCCTTACACGTGGAGTCCTGCAGATGTCTAAAGACTGGTGTCTATCTCATGTTTTCCATGATTTTAGGGTGCGTATGCTCATGTGTATGTTGTGTATGTGTGTGCCTATATGTGTATAAAATGTGTGCACACCTGAAGTTTATGGTTGCACAAGCATGTGTTGATTTTACGGGCAATATTTGCAAGCCTTATGTATGTATCAGTGCATGTGTGTTGCAAACGCAGATTCATGTGCATCTGCCTGCCTGTGTGTGTGTGTGTGTGTGTGTGCATGTGTGTGTGTGAATAAGGATAATGTGGCTGTCAGTGAGCAGATAGGTAACCCTTAGAATCGCTGACAGAACGTGAAGACCTGTGTGTCCAGGCAAGTTCCCTTCTGGGAAGGGGAGGTGGTGGAGACTATAGGGGTGCTGCTGGCATCTAGCACTAAAGTAAAAGCCCCAAGGGCACAACAGTGATGGGGACTGACGTCAAGGCCATAGAGGCCCATAACCCTGGAGGAATGGGGCAGCTGGGCTGGGCCCAAGGCAGCTCCCCAGAGGAGCAGAGTCACCGGCATTAAGCACGAGCTGACCCAGGGTTGGAACAGGAGGGAAAGTCAATGCACAAATAGACTTGAGGGTGTGAAGCCCCTGGAGACCCTTTCCCTGCTCACGCTCCAGATTTGCCCCCTGGGAGCTTAAAGGAGGCAGACCCATGGATTTATGTCAGATCTGGAGGAACAACCCAGATGATGTTTCTAAAGCCAGCAATGTAATATTTAATTCATTCTGCTCATGGGGAAACTGAGGCCTCAGAAGGACTTGTCTGAAGTCACACCAGGAACTGATTTAGCGCAGCACATAGTATTCAATGAATATCTAATGAATGAATGTCTAATGAATGAAGAAATAAATGAAATAGATGAATGAAATGGAGGGAAGGAATAGAAGGGATTAATTGAATGAATAATAGGGACCATCTTGAATTTTTACTGTCTACTTATTCCAAAGAGGCGAAACTTAAGAGAAAGCTAGTAAAGATTAAATCATAAGAAATGGGGAACTTGATCTATTTTCTGAGGGTGGAGAGGAGGTATTGAAGGAGAGTATGCGTGAAGTGCATATACAATTATTTTGGGATGTGTGCATTCACATAAAGGGGAGTTTTATACGGATGTGTATTTGGATATATGATTAATACCCTGAGTAAAGATGGATCAAAAAATATTTGCTGTAGTCACAGACCGTCTGAGATAATAGGAGAGATTTAACATAATCATAGATAACCACAATTGATTCATTCACTCCACAAGCATAGTCAACATTGAGCTGGGAGCTATGACGGATGCCACAACGGATCAGACGCAGACTATACCCTGAAGGGACTGAGGGTAAGAAGGCACATTTACCAACATTAGAATCAGGAGAGATTGCAGTGAGCCAAGAGGGAGATACAGGTGAAATGCAAGAGGAGATTGGAGATGGAAGAGTGTGTGTGTGTGTGTGTGTGTGTGCGCACGCGTGCGTGTATGTGGGGGGGGGGGGTGAAGGGCTCCTGGGGTTGAGTGTAGGATTTTGAACGCCTGTATATGGCTGCATTTGGGGTATATGCTATAAGGAGTGTGCTGCTATCATCCCCTCCCCACTTTCTCCATCATTCTAATGCATGTTATTAGAAAGGTGGGGTGACCGTACAATTATAGGTGGGGTGACCCATATTATAGGTGGGGTGACCATACAATTTATCACCCAAATTGGAACACATGAAAGTGAAAGGGGGCACTGTCCACCACTATGCTGGACAAATGGCATAACATGCAACTGTCCTGTGCAAACGGGCTTGCAGCTGCCCTGGCTCTAGAAGTTAGCAGTGGGCTGTCCTTGAGGCCCCACAGCAGCAGCAGTGTAGGCATCCCAATCTACCTTACTGATCCCTCAGTGCCAGCTCCACTCCCATGTTTTCCCCCACTCCAGAATATGGGCCCAACCCCATCTGGCTCAGCAGGGATGCTGACTGTGGGAGCAGGGGCATGCGCTCAGGTAGGCCAAGTGGGAGGAAGGGCTTCCTCAGCCTGAAATTTCTGGTCTATCGACAGCCGGGCTTGGTGCTTAGGGCCCTCTGTGGTCAGGGAGCCTGCCGCTCAGCCTGGGATTTCAGCATTTACTCCATCCACTTTAGCACCCCCATTTTCCCCGGTGCCAGCCCAGGCAGGCGGCTCTAATGGATTACTTGCATTATCTCCCTCATCACTGCTTAAATATTTATCAGACCATTATGTATTTAGTGGCCAGGAGCAGGGAAGAGAAGGGACAGAAGGCAGTACTGCTCTGGCCAGATGCAAGGGTTAATTACAGATGGGATAAATCCCCCTGATTTAAAAATTAAACAAATAAACGGGGTTGGGAGATTAGAAGGGGACCGTTACTTACATGGAAGGAAGTCCAGCACAGCCTAGTCCAGGTTTTAGTATCTTCCAGCGCCTCATTTTATGATCTCTGTTCCCTTCCCCTACCTGCAAACCTGTGGGCTGCCTGAGCCTTAAACCAGCTTCTAATTAAAAACCATACTTACGTTTCTGCTCCTCAAGCAACAACTGCTCCTCAAGTGTGTGGGGAAATTCAAACTCTCCTAGAGCTGGAGTCAACATCGGCCTCATAAAAGAAGTTCTGAAGGTAACTTCAGAGCTGGCACTATGAAATATTGTTCATCATAACGAAGCAGCTGAGATAATGCTGTTTTCTAATTTCCCTTTCTCAGTCAGAAATTAAATAAAAAGTCATGTCTAAATTACAATACTGGATTGAGATCAGACGAGGGCCCCATGCAGCGAGCTCATGATCTATCCTTCCTACATTTTACAGCCATTAAAAAAGATTATTGTCATTCCCCCCACTTTTCTTTGAGGCCATTTACATTTGTTCTGAACTCTGTGTTTTATTCTAATCTGTTAAAAGTGCCAGTGCACATAAGTCAATCACAAACTTAAATTAAGAAAAAATCAAAACAGGCACTCAAGCAACCTAGGATTCTGAACTCCAAGTTCAACTCCTAGAGGGTCCCTAAGGTGGCTGTTAACCATCTCCTTCCTGGTCCTGCAGTTGTACCCCCTTCCTAGTTGGTGAAGTCTTTTCCAGGGAGAGTCAGAGTGGGAGGGCTCCTTTGGTGCAAAAATAGCCTGCATTTTTATAGCCCTCCCTTTTAGCAGAAATGCCTCTTGGAAAAAGTGAAAATGATGAACTAGCTGGTTAAAAAAGTTTTTTAAAAAAATGCCAATGAGCCTGTAATGTTATATTTAATAGCGCATTTGTTTGATATTCCATTAATAAGGGGAGAAGAGAAACATTAGTACATTTTGCCAGTCAGAATTCAAACATTCTTTGCTCTGAGGAGTTGTTGGTATTCCCAGAATCTTGCACAAAACATTGGTGGTAAACATTATTTTTGAAAGAATATATTAAACAGCATCATTATTGTATTAGTTTGTTTTCACACTGCTGATAAAGACATACCTGAGACTTGGTAATTTACAAAAGAAAGAGGTATAATTTGACTCACAGTTCCATGTGGCTGGGGAGGCCTCACAATCATGGTGGAAGGTGAAAGGCATGTCTTACATCACAGCAAGCAAGAGAAAGAATGAGAGTCAAGCAAAACTGGTTTCCCCTTACCAAATCATCAGATCTTTTGAGACTTATTCACTACCACAAGAACAGTATGAGAGAAACTGCCACCATGATTCAATTATCTCCCACCAGGTCCCTCCCATCACACATGGGAATTATGGGAGTACAATTCAAGATGAGATTTGAGTGGAGACATAGAGCCAAACCATGTAATTCCACCCCTGGCCCCTGCCAAATCTCATATTCTCACATTTCAAAACCAATCATGCCTTCCCAACAGTCCCCCAAAGTCTTAACTTATTTCAGCATTAACTCAAAAGTCCACAGTCCAAAGTCTTATCTGAGACAAGGCAAATCCCTTCCACCTATGAGCCTGTAAAAATCAAAAGCAAGTTAGTTACTTCCTAAATACAATGGGAGTATAAGCATGGGGTAAAATAGAGCCATTCCAAATGGGGGAAATTGACCAAAACCAAGGGGCTACAGGTCCATGCAAGTCCAAAATCCAATAGGGCAGTCAAATCTTAAAACTCCAAAATGATCTCCCTTTGACTCCATGTCTTGCATCTGGGTCACGCTGATGCAAGATGTGGGTTCTCATGGTCTTGGGCAGCTCCACCCCTGTGGGTCGGCAGAGTACAGCCTCCCTCTTGGATGCTTTCACGGGCTTGTGCTGAGTGTCTGCAGCTTTTCCAGGCACACGGTGCAAGCTGTTGGTGTATCTACCATTCTGGGGTCTGGAGGATGGTGACCCTCTTCTCACAGCTCCACTAGGTGGTGCCCCAGTAGTGACTTTGTGTGCGGGCTCTGACCCCACATTTCCCTTCCACACTGCCCTAGCAGAGGTTCTCCATGAGAGTCCCACCCCTGCAGAAAACTTCTGCCTGGACATCCAGGCATTTTCATACATCTTCTGAAATCTAGGCAGAGGTTCCCAAACCCCAATTCTTGACTTCTGAGCACTTGTAGGCTCAACACCACATGGAAGCTGCCAAGGCTTAGGGCTCGCACCCTCTGAAGCCATAGCCTGAGCTCTATATTGGCCCCTTTCAGCCACAGCTGGAGCATCTGGGACATAGGGCAACAAGTCCCTAGGCTGCACACAGCACAGGGACCCAGGGCCTGGCCCATGAAACCACTTTTTCCTCCTGGGCCTTCAGGCCTGTGATGGGAGGGGCTGCCATGAAGACCTCTGACATGCCCTGGAGACATTTTCCCCATTGTCTTGGGGATTAACATTCGGGCATTACTTATGCAAATTTCTGTGGCTGGCTTGGATTTCTCCTCAGAAAATGGGATTTTCTTTTCTATTGCATTATCAGGCTGCAAATTTTCCAAGTTTTTATGCTCTGCTTCCCTTTTAGAACTGAATGCCTTTAACAGCACCCATGTCACATTTTGAAAGCTTTGCTGCTAAGAAATTTCTTCCACCAGATACCCTAAATCATCTCTCTCAAGTTCAAAGTTCCACAAAACTCTAGGTCAGGGGCAAAATGCTGCCAGTCTCTTGGCTAAAACCTAACAAGAGTCACCTTTGCTCCAGTTCCCAACAAGTTCCTCATCTCCATCTAAGACCACGTCAGCCTGGACTTCATTGTGCATATCACTATTAGCATTTTGGTCAAAGTCATTCAACAAGTCTCTAGGGAGTTCCAAACTTTCCCACATTTTCCTGTCTTCTTCCGAGCCCTCCAAACTGTGCCAACCTTTGACTGTTCCTCAACTCCAAAGTCGCTTCCACATTTCTGGGTATCTCTTCAGCAGCACCCCACTCTACTGGTACCACTTTACTGTATTAGTTCATTGTCGTGCTGCTGATAAAGACATACCTGCGTTTTCATGCTGCTGATACGGACATACCTGAGACCAGGTAATTTACAAAAGAAAAAGTTTAATGGACTCACATTTCCACATGGCTGGGGAGGCCTCACAATCGTGGTGGAAGCTGAAAGGCACACCTTACATCGCAGCAGGCAAGAGAGAGAATGAGAGTCAAGCAAAACAGGTTTCCCCTTATCAAACCATCAGATCTCATGAGACTTATTCACTACGATGAGAATAGTATGGGGAAACCGCCCCCCAATTCAATTGTCTCCCACCAGGTCCCTCCACACATGGGAATTATGTAAGTACAATTCAAGATGAGATTTGGGTGGGGACATAGAGCCAAACCATATCATTTATGTATGTTTACTGTGTACAAGTTGCTTCCTGTCAATTATTCAGATGATATGAACTGAGCACCTACTATATGCAAGGCACTATGCAGGACTAAGCAAGAGATAAGTCTCTTCCAGAGTCCTGTGAGACAGGGCCCCTGAGGTACTAGCTGCACTTGGGTGCTCACTCTTCAGCCTGGACAAGAGCATATTAGGTTCAAAAATGTATCACAAATCACTGATGTCAGTGCTGCCTGAGGGCTCAGACTCTAGGAGTTCAAGGGAGGCAGGTCTTTTGAGACCACATTAGTCAGATAGAACTTGGCAGAGAAGGTGAGCTGGGCCTTGCAGGCCAGGTAGGACTTAATGATGAGGACAGAAGTTGGGGACACACTCTAGGAAGGAGCAAAGGACTGGGCATAGAATGCACAGGGTGTTTAAGGGCACAGCAAGCCAACAGGGTTGGTGAGAGCCAGGGCCATGTACAGTGGGGGGAAAAGAAGAAAGAGACCGAGGCGTGATTTATCCATCCATTCATTCACTCACTTAACATCAGTTGAAAACCTACTGTGTGTCAGCTACTCTTTCAGGATTCAGTTGAAGCTAGATTACAGAGACTTTGAATGTCTGCCTGAGTTTGAGCTTTTACAAACAGTACGGCAGTGAAAAGGGGGCCAGAAATGAAGAGACAGAGAGAGACCCTATAAAGGAAGAGGCAGCAGGTCCTGGCCACTGTAAATGATTCATGGGATCTCTTTAGGTTTAGATCTTTGAATAGTTGGAACGTTTTAAAAAGTGAAAGACAACATCTCCTCCTCTTAAATATCCTCAAAGAACACGGCACACAGAATAAAACAGGGCCTCCAAAAAACAAGTATATGTCCAATTGCAGGCACCACTTTCATATTGGCCTGGAGTCCTGGCTTTGCCCCTTCATAGCTCTGTGGCTTTGGACAATTTAAATAACATCTCTAAGCCTCAGTGTTCAAATCTGTTAAGTGAAAATAGTACCCACTTTATCAGGAGTTGTGAGGATTCATTAGTTATTAACAATATATATAAATACATGATCACACTACCTGGCACCTAATAGTAGTCAATAAACATGAGTTATGGTGATGTGCAGTTCTCTGCCAACCTCTGCATTGCTCCTGGCTCTTTTCCAACTTTATCCCACTTGGTCCTCTCTTTCTATGATTTCCAGAATCTATTTCTGCTACTTTTTGAAACAATTTAGCCTGTTCCTACCAGCTCCAGGACACTATCCTATGCTTGCTGGGCTGGTATTCCTACCAGGTTTACCAGAACACCCACCACAAAGCTCGTGCCCCCTAGGAAGGGGCCTAGAGATATGATGGTCTTACCCTTGCTCCCTTTTAACACAACTCTATGGACCCCTCCCTGCCTAGCAACTTCCAGACAAGGGCCAAGAACACTTATCTAAATTACTCATTTGTTTACCTAGTTATATTCAACCATATCTGATTTTCTATGTCATGACAGTATTTCTCACTGGAAGCAACCAGTGAAGTCACAGGTGAGAAAATGCAGCTCAGAGAGGAGAAGGGACTTGTCTAACATGTGCTTCCCAGCCAGCATGCCACAAATGAATTACAGTTATGTAAAATCTGACCCTCTCAGCTCCAGAACATTGAGGCAGGACCTGGGGCAGACCGAGTACCTAGGAATGGTCTCCTGCAGCCACAAGTAACCCTATCGGTGGCTCCTCAGAAGGCCACCCAAGGTGAGCAGGGTCTCATGGCATATACTATGGTCCCCAGGGACAGTGTGCATGACTAGTAGTGCCTGATCCATGCTGCTCTGCAGAGCTGCAATAAGAATAACCAAGGAGACCTCTAGACACCTACTCTAGCAGACAGCTGCAAGCCCCACTTGTCACCATGATAGGGACAGGAAGTCTGATGAACTGTTGGAGATGTTCATGTGCCAAGGGTACTGTGTGCAGCTCCAAGTGCACCTATCAGAGGAGAAAAGTGGCAGAAAGACAGGTGGGGTTTAACAGTGGGCATAGTAGAAATGGCTCTAGATTGAGCTTCATATATGCTATATACTTTTATCTGCTTGCAGTGGTTGTACCCTTCAAGTGTCATCCAAGCCAGCTGCAGAGTGAACGTTCCAGCAACACATCCACCAAGTTCCGCAAATGACAGTGCCATCATTCTTCTGATTCCTTGACATGAATAAGTTCTATTGGATTTGAAACCCATCTGCACCATCACAAAAACTTTCAACACTACATTTGTCAATGAAATAAAAGGAAGAGCTGTTAAATTCTTTAAATATAATTTCAACTGTTATGAATCTTTAATGGTTATAAAAGTTGCTTTAAATTTTTTATCACCCACTTGTGCAAAGTTTCTTATCAAGGGTGACTACCAAGAATTTGTAGAGATCATCATTTTAAAAGTCATCGTCAGGCACTATGTATAACCATTTTGAGCATAAACCCTGATATGAAACACTTATATTCATGGAAGGAAGCAAACTCAAGTTTCTCATTAGAACTAGAAAAATGTTTTATACTAATTTAATGTATAATGTTTTTCCTAATATACTGCATTTTAATTTTGTATAATATAAAGAAAATGGAAAGACTTTTTTCCCAAGCCCTGTATAAATGCCTCAAGTCCTCTGCAGTTTACTATAGTGTGCAATATGAATATTCTTATTTTCATGTGTATCATGACTTTAAAAGGCTGGGAAGCTATCCTCTCAAATACTATGCTTGATCTTCAGGGACCTGTGGAGGTGTATGAATCTGACTGGCACCCAGTTGTCCCTTTGCCATTGTATGTATATCAGTGTGGCCATGAGCTTACCCCAGACTCAAGGGAAGGGCCTGGAGAGGCCAAAGATGGCACTGTTATGTCCCTGAAGAGGTTCCCCTTGGAGTTGTTCCACTGGCACCCTCCTTTTGTGAGTGCTTTCCAGGACTGAATTCCCAATGGTAGCAAAAAACCTGTCATTGTGAAGAAGGAAAGAATGTGTGTGGTGTGGGGGTAGGCACAGTTCTCAAATAGCAAAGACATGCCCCCTGTCTTACTCAATTCTACTCTTCATGTTTGGTTCTTCTAGGAGGCTATCTTCTCCAACTCTTGATTTTAAATAACTTCCTGAACTATAAATGCAAAGAGTTTCAAATGAAAACTGACTGATAGCCTTGTATAATTATATAATAAAAACACACTGATATGCATATACATTATGTGTGGGCTCGTATGTCTATATGCATCTGTATCTATTCCAGAGGGAGGAATATGCAGTGATGTCTTCTGAAACAAATTGTCAAGGTGTCAATAAGGAATCTCATAATGAATGTGTGGGTGTGATCTGGGGTAATTTCACAGCAATTACGTTGCTCAGGCTGATTTCCCAAGGCAGGTCTTAAAGGCACAAGCCCCTTTCCCAAGCGGAAAGCCGGCTGTTTTGCTTTCTATGGAGTCTTGAAAGCATCACATTTTCAGGGCAAAATGCCTTCCCTGGAGCAGGCCAGACCCACTGGAGGAAATTAGGTAACTAAGGAGAGTGTTAAGAGCTTCAGGCTACAGCTACCAGCTTTTTAAACCTGTGAACGTTTTCTGGTCTGCCCCTCAAGAATCTTAGCAAACGTTTGTGGTGAAGAAATAAACAACAGCATTGCCCCACCAAAGAAGTTAGAAGTCCCAGTTGTGAGTACTAACTGTATCAAACACTTTCAAAATGCTGAGAGATGAGGAAGAGCAAAGATGGGATGTGCTGGAGGGGGAAAGCAGACTGTGTTTGTCCCTTGCCCCTAAGGAATTTCCAGCCTAGCAGAAGGAATAGATGTATGAAGAAATACTGATAATTTGATGTGAAATTGAATGGAATAGAGGGTTAAACCATGGGAACCCAGGGTTGCAGGGGGATGAGGAGTCTTAAGAAAGACTTTGTAGGACAGGTGCCATGTAAGCTGGATCTTGAAAGCAGAATAAAAAATACAATCAGTATCTAAGAGATTGTTTTTGCATAGCACCCTGCTCTATGCTGAGCACAAAGCAGGCCCTCCCTCAACAACATTTTGTTAAATGAAGTATAAACTCCATTCAGGAAGCTTCTCAGCTGGGTCAAATGTCTGTAGTTGCCCATTCCTGAGACTACGCTGCAGAACTTGCTGTCAGGAAACCCATTTGTGGGCCAGGAAATTGTGGGGATGCTGGGCCGTGGCCACAGGGCTGTGTTTGAGCCATGAGCTGAAGCTACTTCCGAAGAGCTCCAGGAGACAGACTAGAAGAGAAAAGGAAACAGAGGAGAGCTGAATGCTGAGGTGGGCTTCCATAGGAAATGGGGAAAGAGTGGAAATAATTTTCTCTGCCTTCCCCCAGAACTTCTAGATCTAGACTGGCCAGCTCATGCCAAGAACCTATGAGTTTCTGCAGAAGCCTCCTTGGGGCTGATGCCTCCTTGCTCCCCATTCCTGCAATGACCCCATTACCCTCCCCACCCCACACACTCCTGACCAGTCCCTGGGTCCTGACAACTTGGCCTTGGTAACATCTCTTGACTCTATTCCCTCTCCTTTGCCCCCATATCTTATTCCAGCTCCTTGTTGGGATAATTATCACTTCTCATCTGTATCACTGCAGTCATGTCCCAACTGGCCTTAAGCTTCCAATCCATCCATCTCCCTGATTGTACTCTGATTTTTCAAAAATACTTAAATCTTTTCTCCCTTAAACCTTTCAATGCCCCCGAACTTGCCTCTCAGATAGAGCTTGGACTCCTAGGAATGACCAATAAGAACTTCACCCCCTGCCCCACTCTGCCCTTCAAGGCTCTTATTTTTCCCTTGACCCCTCAAACTCCACAGTCATGTGGAACTGTATACATTTCCTCTAACGCTGCATGCTTCCTCTCAATCTTGGGTCTTTAAACATCTCTCTCTCCTCTCTCTCTCTCATCCTCCCTCCCTCACTCTCCTTCTTCTCTCTCTCTCTCTCTCTTTCAGTAAAATACCTTATGCCCCTTTCCCCTTATTCCTAGGTTAACTCACAGTTAAGTCTGAAAACCCTTCTCAGGTTCTACCTCCAGAATCCACCATCTGAGGGGAGTACACCCCCTCCCTTACCCCATGCTCCAGATTCTGTGTGTTGACCTCTAGAAGAAACAGTTAACTGCCTCTTTACTAGTCCATCATGCCCCTGAACTGTGAGTAATTTTGTGGTAGGGAACATGCCTATTACTTGTGCAAATCTAGCACCCAACACTCAGCACAGTCTCTGGCATATAGCATGTGCTCAATCACTACTGGGTGGGAAAGAGGGAGAGATGTTTGAATGGATGTTTGGATGGATGGATGGATGGATGGATGGACATTTGGATAGATGGATGGGTGGATGGATGGATGGATGGATGAATGGGTTCACAGTGCTTAAATAACCTGAGGAGCAATAAAGCATGGTTCCTTCTTCCAGTGTGTACCTCACTGGCTGGTTCAGTCTCTTGCATAGTGTATCAAGCTCTCCAAAGACATTCAGGATCTGAGAGGTGAGCAGAATAATGATAGAAGCTGCAGCATGGTATGGGAAACAGAGGTCTTCATAGAAGAAGCTTAGATTAAAATAAAAGATCACAGGTGGAGGTCCATCGGGTAAGGTAGAGCATCCCCTACCAATGGAAAGAAATCTACTTACCACATTCCAGCAGGCATCAAATCAATTATCAACCTGTAAGTCAGGCAAGTGAGAAGGAGCTGTATAAATCTCACTTCTCTTTATGGGCTGCCTTCTAGACACTGAATAAGTGAGAATTAGCCAGTTAATTCACCACCATACTAAGATATGCGTCCTCATATGTAATCTATGTGTGAAGCTTTGATAACTTTCTTAGGATAAAAGCCTAGAAGCAGAATTACAGATTTTAAAAGTTTGAACATTTTAAAGACTTAATAAAAATTGCCAAATTTATCATCAGGAAAGTTGTACCCATGTGCTGTCCCACCTTGTATCATATGAGTAGCTGTTTCACCATTGTCTTACTAACACTACAGAATCTATTTTTCAATCTTACCCAATTTGATAAGCAACAGTTTAATAAAATTGTTTTAATTTGCATCTCTTTGATAACTGCTAAAGTTGATCTTTTGATAAGTATGGGTTGTTCAGTGAATTTCATGTTAATTTTCTTGGCCTACTTCCCAATTGGATTTCTTGTCCTTTATTATTGATTTGTAAAGCCTTATTTTACTATATTAACATTAATAATCCTTTACTATATATTGTAAATACTTTTTCCATCTCTTAAGAAATATAACTCTCCTACCCCAAGATTGGAAGTGAATTAATGAAACTGTATTAAGAACTTAGTTCAAGGTCCTGAGCCAAATGCTCCTGGGTATGCAAGGATGTATAAAGCATGCCACCTGTTCTCAAGAAATCTGCAACCTAGTATATCTAATTGAGATGATTAGGTACTTTTTTAGCCCATTCTCACATTGCTATAAATAAATACCCAAGGCTGGGTAATGTATAAAGAAAAGAGGTTTAATTGGATCATGGTTCTGCAGGCTGACAAGAAAGTATGGTGCTGGCATCTGCTCAGCTTCTGAGGAGGCCTCAAGAAACTTACAATCATGGAAGAAGGCAAAGGGCGAGCAGGCACATCATATGGCAAAAGCAGGAGCAGGAGAGTGAGGCAGGAGGTCCACACGCTTTTAAATGACCAGATCTTGTGAGAAGTTACCATCATGAGGATAGCACCAAGAGGATGGTGCTAAATCATTCATAAGAAACCTCCCCCATGATCCAATCACCTCCCACCAGGCCCCACCTCCAACACTGGGAATTGCATTTCAACATGAGATTTGGGCAGGG
The DNA here is from genome assembly GCF_000001405.40 of Homo sapiens. Classification (NCBI taxonomy): domain Eukaryota; kingdom Metazoa; phylum Chordata; class Mammalia; order Primates; family Hominidae; genus Homo; species Homo sapiens. The sequence continues at coordinate 47,438,641 of NC_000018.10, read as the reverse complement.
ACACGCACTCAAACTATATCAGTCACAAACACATCCATGGAGCATTAACAACACTCCAAGTCTTTAGGAAGAGGGGGGACTTGAGCTGGACCTTGAGGATTGGGTCCAAAAGAAGGGAGGGGATAGGGTAGCCCAGGAAGAAGGGAGGAAGTGAGCAGAGGTACAGAGGTGGGAAAGCTCAAGGAGTCTAATGTAGCCTGAAGAGTTCAGTGTGAGTGGTGCAGAGATCTGTGTGGGTGAGTGGTGGAAGGTAAGGTCAGCCAGAGAGGGTCTGGGATGCCCAGACATTCCCACACCATTGTCTCAAAGAGGCTGTTTCTCTCTCCTGGTTAGGCCAAGCAAGAGGCTTTTTCTCTGAGCTGCTCAGATGAGTGTGCATGCTGGGTATGTTCCACTCTTTTATGATGGCTGTTGTATGTCTGAATTGATTAGCCTTTCTGTGTGGGAGCCATCTGCTGTCTGTCAGGCTCCTTGTCTCACCAGCATGTTGATTTCAGTAAAATATTATGGCACTTGGAGTCTGCTGGGGAGTTTGATACTGTGAATCCCACACATTCAAATTAGAATTAGATTGAAAGCCACTTAATGTTCTTCCCCCATTGCTTTCTCTCTTGGTCAATACCATCTAAAGTGAAGCATTATAGGTATTATCTTGGGCTGCCCAGTGCATTCTGCCCCACCTCCTTTCTTCTGACCACAGCATTTAGTATTTGATTCTGGCTTGGCCACCATAATATCTCATCTCCCTGGTTACAGGGATTGGTCTAGAATGAACCTACGATTCAAGCAGGCTTATGGGTAAGAAAAGTTGCCTTTCCACTCCAATGATTGGGGATGCATATTTAAAGTTATTGGTGGTCATCGTTGCTGGCATACAGAAAACGCCAAGCAGATATAAGCAAAGACGAGAGACAAATAACTCCCTACAAGTCTTGGGACCTTGGTTCCTACATCTCTTCCTTCAGCTCTAGGAGCTACCTCAAGACAACTTTCTTTTTGATTAAGCCAATTCACGAATATACTGTACCATAATCCACCCAGTTGCTCAATCCAGGCATGTGGGAGTCATCTTCAAATCTTTTTCTTTCACCCCAAAATCTAATCAATCTACCAAATTCTCTTGATTCTAGCTCCAAAAAGGTCTCCTGTCTCTCACCTGGATCGTACAACAGCTTTCTAACTGGCCTCCCCAGGATCTTGAATCCTTCAAATTCATCTTCCAAAATGCTACCAAGGTGGTCTTTGCTTTGAAAACTTTGCTTCAAAGACAAGTCTAAACTTCTAAACACAAGGTACTAGCCTATCTCCATCTGGCCCCACCCCACATTTTCAGTCCCAACTCTTAATGTATTCCATCTTCCAGCTCTTTTAGGCTCTGAGCTTTTGCACATGTTCTTCCCTGTGGCTAGGTCTTTCACACTCTGTTCATCTGGTTACTCCTCCAACCCTCCAAACTGCAGCTTACACTGCACTTGTTTTGCAGAATGGTCATAGCCCTACCCTTGACAACATGAGCATAACCCTCCTCTGGGGATTCGTGGCACTTTGGTGTTTGAGTCAACAACAAAGAGATGACATAGCAAAGCAGTGATGAGCATGGGCTCTGAGTCAGCAGACCTTAGATTGAGTCCTAGCTCTCACACTTACTAGCCATGAGAACTTGAACAAGGCACCTAATCCTTCTGAGGCTCACTTCACTCAATGGCAAATGGGAGAAATCAGGGTAACTGTAAAAATTAAATGTAAAACTAGGTAAAGTTCTGAGGTATAATATAGCAGATACTCAATAAATGACAGCTTTAATTGTTATATTTATAATTATATATTATCAGTGTATCTATTTATCCTTTCACCTATCTCCTCACCTCAACCTTCGTTGTGAACTCTTTGGGGGCAACAGGTGAGTACTGTATCTTATTCTGCTCTATATCCATGGCACCTAGCACTATGTCTGACACATCATAGGCATGCAATGAATATTTATGTAGTAACTATTCATCTCCCTTCACCCACTGTTTTACTAGGGAAGAGTGAGGAGGGTACTGCTATCTATGACCCCTCAAATACTGCTGGAACACTACATGGTTCAAAACTGATTAATGATAAGATCTCCATATGAAATAATTTAGAAGTGACCATGCATGAATCAACTAGCCTCACAGGAAACACAAATAATAAATCTCTAATATAAAAAATGCAATTGATTATGTATCCAACATCCCTTTCCCCATTTTTCTTTGCTTATCTATGATTTTGATCAGTTCCAATGCTCAGGGAAGGTGAGCCTATTTTCAATCCATAAATAAGTCCTAAAACATCTCAGCCAGTCATGGTAATGCCATCGCCCTCTCTGGAGCTCGCTTTGGGGCTAAGCCTGTGACTCAGCAAGTGCTGAGAAGCAGAATGTCCTCTGAGGAGCTTTTGGGAAAGGTTTCTTTGCTCTTGAAAAGAGACATAAGGAAGAGGAAGTCCCTTTTGTTCCACCCGACATTGTTCTGTCTACAAAAGATGCCTTGCACAGTGGTACTGCCATCTGGTAACCATGAAGGAAGCCCCATAGGATGACAAGGCAGAAAAATGGAAAGAACCTGGATCCTAAATGCCATTGTCAAGCCATAGAGTTAGCCGACCCTGGAGCAGCTCAACTTCTGAACTTCTTGCTTAATGAGATAACAAGTTTGTCTTATTATTTAAATTAGTTGAGTCAGAGTTTTCTACTTTTCAAAGCCAAAAACAGTCTAACAGATTCATTTAAGTGTATAGCCTTTCTCCCAACATGTCACTGCTGAGCCCTTTCTTTGAGGTCACGTAACACTGTCAGTTCATGACCACTTTACACATGCTGTTCTCTCTCCTTGAGTGCACAACCCATCTTTTACTCCTTTTCCCCATAGCTAACTTTTACTTACCATCTGAGGCTTGATTCATCCTCTTTGAGGGTTGGCTATCTGAACATAAGCATGGTTCCTTTTAGAAGCATTCCATGTTCTTACAAGGACAACTTGGATAAACCTCCCTTATGCTCCTTTTATGAACCCCATAACACTTTGTGCACATTTAAAGTCACATTTAGTTATAATCATTGATCTTTTTTGCTCTCTCCAACTACAATGAAAACCCCTTGAGGATCAGCACTGCATATTTTTCTCCTGTATGCCTTTGCCCTAGCACAGTGCCTGGACGAAAACATAATAAGCACTCAATAAATGATGGACAGATGGATATATACATGGATGATTCACAGTCTCTACCACTGATAGGCTTACAAACCCATCAGGGAAAACAGAATAATATGAGCATACTATAGAATCACAAATAGTGTTGTCACATTATGCAATGCGCAGACTTCCTAACAATTAAAGAAATGCATATTAACACAACCATAGGGTATCATTGCACAATATTAAATTGACCAAAATAAATAAAACATAGAAAATCCAACTGGGTCAACTGTGGGAAAATAGCATGCGTAGGTACTGTCAGTAGCATTGTAAATTGGCTCAATCTGTCTGGAGAGCAATAGGGCAATATGTAACAAAAGCTATAAAATTGTTTGTACCTTTTGACATAATAATTCCATTTTAAGGAAATACACCCTAAGGAAATAACCCAAACCAAAAAAAAAAAAAAGCAATTTCTCTAAAGACATTTATAGCAACAGTATTTAGAATACAGAAAAACCAGTAACAACCCAAGCTCTAATGGGGCAGCAAAGCTAAGCAGATGATGGCATTTTAGGTAGAGGTGAAAACTCACAATGTTCACACATAAATATATATATATAATTATTGTAAGTGAAAAAACATAAAATAGAAACAACAAATTATAACTATATAAAATTTTATTTAGAAATCTATGCTTGTATATTGCAAAATACCAAACAGAAATAAGAAATTGTTTAATGACCATTAGGTGCCTGTATTTTCATATAATTCAACCTCTATCCTCTGCCATTGATGTATCTTATTCAGATATCTATAGTACATCTATCTCCTGCTCTCCAAGTCCTTTCAGCATGTTATCAATATGCTAAACCAGCCTGATTTCTTGTAGGTTAAAGAGATGATTAAATATCTCTGTGGACTAAATTATGACATAGAGATGGGGAGCCAGAGCAATAAAGTATATTGCAATCCTTGCCAGGTGAAAGCAAATTGTCTTTCTATTGAAACTATATTTTTAAAAAAACCACTTGCCATATAAATAGCTGCAGCGTAAGTGTCAAGAGCTGAGTTATTTGCTCCAGTAAAGTGGCTATATCTGGAGTAGCTGTCATTGGAGGCCACTTCATCACATTTATAATAATCTACTACCATTTTTCAGGATATCTCCACTTTCTGCAAGGGACAAATAAGTGATCAAAATGGGGTTGTGATAAAAATCACAATATCTGCACCTTCCAAGTCTCTGATGGCTTCAGTGATATCCCCTGGAGACAAGGTATTGCCTTTGGTTTACTACTTTAAGTCTTTCATTTGGCACTTTCTAACATAGAAATCTTTTAGAAAATCAGGGAGACAATTCTGCCTTGTACTGAACATATCCATTCCAACCATATAGTCAGGAACTGAGAAAAATAACATAGAATGGCTTGGAGACTACTAGGCCAACTATGATTTCAAAATTTATCATCTGACCCCTACAAGGTTCCCCTCCTGATCAGTGAACCAAAGTGGTATACTGGATCCAACCAAAGTCAATGAAAGATCTAAAAGGTATAGATCCTATTTCCCCCAAGCCATTGTTACCTTGGTAAATTGCCCCAGATCTCTTTAAAGACAGTCAGGAGTAGGATTTGCAGTATATACATTTGATTTAATTTCAGGGTTCTTCCCCAAAAGTATCTAGCCTCTCCTTTTTCCTGTGGGCTCTGGGTCTATGGCTTCAGTTTAGAAATTGAACAAGGAGCAATTATTCTCTATACTTGGTGACTCAAAGACGGCTTTGTCCTCTAGGTCTAGTGTTTGTTGTTTGTTTGTTTGTTTTGACTCTATGGACCAAGAATGATCTTAGGAGACTGTCCATATATTTCAGTGCAAAGACCTCATAATCAATTAGCCATCCCTAAGATCCCTATGGATCCAGACCATTCTAATTAGCAAACTAGTCTGCTGCTTATTATGGAACCATGAAGTATTGGGCATTCTTAGCTGCTTACCCAATGGCCATTCCCCACTTTTTCCTTGTTAACCGAAATGCATTTTTTTTTGTAGTGCAGTAAAATGCCTAGCTAAAAGTTCTCATATTCCCTTGCAATTAGGTTATAGGTATGTGACTTAGATTCTGAAAAATCAGACACATCTATGTGAAAATCAGACTTGGAAGTGAGCAAGATGAAGAGGAAGCTAAACGCAGTGGAACTGATACCTAGCAAGCACAGTGGTAGAGACCGCCAGCTATGTAAGGGGGAGAGTGCAGAGCTCAGGCATCCAGTCCTGAGTGTTACCAGTGCCAGGGGGTGGCAGCGTCTCACTAAAGCTGCCCCACAGCCACGGGCTTTGTTCAAAGGCATCTTGTGTACTACCTCATATCCTTTTATAAAATCTCTTTTCTGTTTAGCCAGCATGGATTCTGATGCAATTAAGAACATTAAATAATGCATGTACCACCTTGCCTCTGGAGGTTTTACAATTGTCACTCCTTGGTTTCTTCCCTGAGGATCCTGGCATCCCCTGTGAAATCAGGGATCCCATTTCAGCCACAGCACTCTCAGCATAAAGTCACAGCCCTTATGGCACTCATCAAAGATGTTGGCCCTCCCCATTGTAGTATTTCTCAGTGCTTTGGTAAAGGAAGCATCTTCAGATACCTCTTAGGTAATACAGTTAAGGGTGTGTGAGCAGGTTATACATGGATAAATTACACAGGTTACACAGGATAAACCCATGTTAACCTTCCTAGCTTTTTTTGGTTCTTTACATTATATCAAGAGTTTTCTGGCATCTTGATTCCTTATGAGCCATTAGCAGGTTTCAGTAAGCCATCTGAGAAGATACTTAGAAATCTCAGATACTTGAGCCAGCATGTTGAATCTAATATCTCTGATAAATGTACCCATATCCATAAATTCGGCTTCACTTAAAATTATATTTCCCCAAAATGAAAAGCCAGTTTAGATTCTGGGTCACCAAAATGAATAACACTTGTCCCCTACAGTCACCAATGTGGTTCTCAAAGTGTTCTCCAAGAAGCTCTAGGAGATTCTCAGAGCCCCTCTAGAAGCTAAGAATATAAGGTTCTGGGCCCTATGCTCCACTTTAATCAGAGAAACTTCAAATTCAACTTACAGCTTTCATTTGAGGATAAGATCTACAGCTTTAACAAAAAAATGGTTAGGAAGCCACTAAAATCAATCAACTTTGAAGTCCACCTGGAAGACTCCATGATTTTCTAGTTACCATGGGTTGGTTTGATGTCCCTCATGGGATTCTAGGGGAGCCCCCAGAAATGACTGCATTCCTGCTTCAAGGTTTATTTTTTCCTAAATCCACCGAGCCTGTCAGGAAGCCACATCTCTTTCCAAGAGCATACTGTGACATATACTTCTCTTGATGAAAAGCACAGCACCTTAGAGGCCATACCAGGACCTGTGTGGCACTCTCCATCATATCTAGGTACTGGAAGGTTGCCTTAAAGTAATTTTTTAAAAAGAATTTATTTGTGCAGGGTCAGTATTATCAATGAACCACCATGTATCCATCAGGTGCTCAGTCCTGTGCTAGGCTCAATGCGGAATTCAAGGGAAGACATACTTTCTCTCCATTCATTCATTTCTTAAACCAGCCAATATTTACTGAGTATTGTGTTTCAGGCACTAAGCTGGTGAACACAACCCCATTTCTCAAAGCACTCACCATCCTAGATACCTAGTAGAAACAAAACTCTTACACATAAAACAATTAGAGAACACCAAAAGAATACAATAATGTGGGTGTCTACAGATTATAAGTGCCCCTTGCATTCAAAGGAAAAGGAAACAAGTGAGGGCTAAAATAGACAAAAGATCTCATGAAAAAGAATAAGATCTGGTTTAGACAGCAAAAGGAGAAAGACAAAGGTTTCCTAAGCAAGAGTGAAGGAGCCACACACGGCAGGCATGTAAGTGCCTTTGCTCTGCTGGTGTTTGTTTTTGCTGTCTTCCTCACATGGCCCGTTCAGCTCAGTTAGTCGAAATGCTGATGAGATCAAAGACTCTTCCAGCTCCATAATTCTGTGATCCTGTAATCCTCAGGGAATTATCGTTGTACCTGGAAGCCAGTTAGTTTCACATGAAAAGAGAAACCCTCTGATCGCTGGCTCCAGACTGTGTCTCTGATGCATCCTATAAATGTATGCAAGCCCCCAGTTAAGGGGGAGTCGAGAGAATGTGGATGTCCCAACACAAACCCCAATGCAACCCTCCTTTAAGCCCTAGTGATGATGAGTCAGCAGCATCTTTTCTAACAGAGACTACATCAGTACCTGGCCCACAGGTATATACTAAATGTTTTTGAGTGGTAAGTGTGTAGAGGAAAGGGACCACATGTATTCTACAACTGCAAGGTGAATTTGGAGCCAGGGCCAGGCTGAAAGCATCACAATCTCAGAAACATTTGTAAAGGGTGTATCACCTAGGTACAGCTCTAGATTCAGACTGTCTGGTTTCAAATTCAGTGCCACCACTTCCCAACTGTGTGACTTCAAGCCTTTGTTTCTGCAATTGCAACGTAAGGATGATAGTTATTGTGAGCAGGGGTTAAATGACAAAGTATTTTGCCTCATGGCTAACAAACATTAATTAATGGTAATATCGAGAGGTTGATTGATGGTATTTGTAAGTTACCTGTTACTCAGGGAAAAGTCAGATTTGGAAACATTTGCCTCAGACAGCTAATGAAAACAATCCAAAGAACCCACTATGCAAAGAATAAGACTGGCCCAGAAACCTACAGAAACATGGTCCTCCTAAAGATTATTCTGTCCTTGCTGTAGGCTTTCTTTTCCTTCTTGACACCTCCTTCCTATGTCTCTAGACACATCATGTGTGCCCCCTTCCTACAAGGTCCCCATCACCCTAAGATACTTAATAGAATTAGAAAAGCCCAGCATTGACATGGACCATGGAAGGCATCTGGTCTACATTGCATGCTGCTGGACTTATAACACTGTTGGAAGATAAAGGCCTCATATGCAATCTGTTCCCCCCAGGTGTCTGAGTTTTAAATTCTCAGTGGAATGAGTCTCTGCAAGAGGAATCTCAGACCTGTGATGAAGATGATGATGGTAACTACCACGTCATGCACACAGAATCTGTGCCATGTACCAAGCCCTTTCCAGGCATTGTCTCACAGAATCCTCATGTTAAGCCAGAGGTGGGTACTCTTATTTGTCTCCCACCCCTTCTTCCATGAGGAAACTGAGGCTTAAAGAGGATAAGTTGTACAAGGTCACACAGCTAGTAAGAAGATATGACCTAAACCCATGTCAGCTGTCTTTTTAGGGCTAGATTTGTTGAGTTTTAATAAAGCTATAATTAATAGCTTATAGATTCTTTCATAGTTAAGCCAGGCTGAAGGTGTCCATGAGGGCTAGCAGTGGGTGTCAAAGGGTCTGGGCCAGAGAGAAAATCCTTCTTGAGATGACGATACCTTTGTGTATGTACTTGAAACCTTCAGATAGAGACAGAGAAAAGATAGGGGAGAGACAGAAAGAGAGAAAGAGAGAGAGAGAGGCTATCAATGAGAGCCTGACTTCCCTGAGCTCTATGTGTCAAGCAGAGATAATAATACCTAGCTCTAGCTCTCAGGATGCTTGTGTGGTGTCTCAATATATAGTAGCTATCATTATCAAAGTTTGAAAAATAATGAGATCAAGGAATTGTTGTTATTAGCTTCTGAGAAAATACATGTACTGCCAATTCATATTCTTGTGTGTGCTATGGGCACCATGCAATGTGAAAAGCCAGGCTTGGCTGGACAAGTGCTGCTCTCCTCCTGGACTATGGGGAGTACCCTGAAAGCAAAGAACATTCTGTGGCTAGGCTTCCTTTCCCCTGCATACAGGCTGTCTGTCTGTCTGTCTACCCCTCATGCTATATTCTCTTCCCTACAGCTAGGGCCTGGAACCCTAGGAGGTGTGGAGTCTTCCTTTCCTCCCCCACCCCAACATCTCTGTGTCATAAAGAAGGTTGTTTGGAGTTTTCAGATCCCTCTGTGCAGGCAGAGACTTGCTCTACCTTCTCAAAGGCCTCCGCACCTGAGGGTTCCCACAGAAGTTATGGGGTCTACTTCCCTTGGGGTTTCCCTAACTCTGAAAGAGGCAGCCAGAAGCCTGGAAGTGGGGAAGGGAGTCAGTGATCAGGGATAGGATCATTTCCTTCTTTTCCTTTATCTGGAGGCAGAACGAAGTCAGAGAAGCTCTGAAGGGTGTAAAGCAGAACCGCTATCAAATACAAGTAAAAATAGAAATAATACTAACATCACATTCTATAGTACCCTTCTTCCCAAGTGTACCTAGATCTATTATTCCATTAATGATCAGACTTCCCAGGAATTTTATTCCCATTTGACAGATGTGTAAAAAGCGGGAAAGTAAGAACATGGCTAAGCTGAAGCCAGAACTCAAGGCCCCGGAGGTTTTGTCCATCATCCTCCCTGTGTCCTGCTGACTTGATGTCTCCAGCCACCTTACAAGAGTCCACTCCCCCATTCCCAATATAAAGATGCACCAGGGCCAGTCCTGGGAAAGACACCATCTAACTTGATTTCAGAATATGACCCTTCTCCCACCAGAGCAGCCGTCTCTTTTATCCAGGAGACTTCATTCACTCCTTATAAGAACTTGGAGCTAATTGCCCCCTGTGAAGAATCAGCTGCCCCAAATGCAGCTCTGAGAAACACTGCCCAGCGAGCCAAGGGGTCCCACGTGTCTGGTTCTAAGAGGGTTATGTGTAACTGAGACTTGAACGGAATGGGTAAATAAAGACTTCGTCAGTTCTGTGTCAGTCCCTTAAAATCCTTGAGGAGTGGGGGAAATGGGCTACCATCATGAGGGAGTCCCACCCATCAAAGTTGTTCGAGTCTTTAACTAACTCCTCTTCTGTGAGTTATAAGGCAACCTCATTAAATTGGTCTGTGAGGAGCATTCCACCACAAACGGGCAGCCCTGCTTCATCTGGCTTCAATCTGCCGAGGACATAGGCTCTACTTCTTAAGTGGACTCAGCTGTATTACAGGCTTCTGTGGTGATATGGGGCTGCAGCGAAGCTCCATTTTATGTTCTTAAATATTCATAAGGAGCTTTGCAACATTAATATCTTAGATGGCTTACAAGAACACTTAAATACTGGGTCTTCACTCCCCTCCCTCCTCCCAAAAAGTCCCAGCCTGTTCTAATTTGTGTAATGCATTGGGCCATTTTAATAATTGTCCAGGGATTTATTTGGTGGTTGTGCTGCCCCATCGCATAGGGTGTAATTATGACCCCAGCTTCTCTTATCACGCGCTAATCCTGCTTGTTTCACCAGCAGAGAAGCCAAGATTGGAAAGGGCGAATACAGGGCAGGGCTAATGCACAGGAATTAAGTTATGGGCCTCAGCCATTTCCCCAACCCTTCCCTCTCCTCCTCCAGCTTTGCAGCTGCTGAATGGAGAATGAACAGCCGTCTCGGTGTCTGGAGGATGTTTTTAATTGAAGAGCTTGTTTTATCAAAAGGAGAAGATTCAAGAATGGGAGACCAGGGCCATCAATGAGTACCCAAACAATAAACTTTTGGCACACACTGCTCAGAGACATGAGGCTTAGAGACATGGCTTATCCTAAGGTGCCCTGAAACTCTGTTGGTATGGTATTGCATAAAAGCAAAATAGAATAGAAGCTGCCAGTTATAACTGAGAAAATAGGGATAGGGGAAGACTCTGCATCATAAAACTCACTGAAATTTTCTGATAGGATTCAAATACCAGGGTCTCAGGAAAAAGTGAAATTAAACTGCTCTAAAACCAGGTACTTCTAGCCCAGATGTGGTGGCCCACAGCCCGTAATTCCAGCACTTTGGGAGGCCAAGACAGGAGGATCTCTTGAACCCGGGAGTTCAAGATCGGCCTGGGCAACATGGCGAAACCCCATCAAAAAAAAAAAAATTAGCCGGGTGTGATGGTATGTGCCTACAGTCCCAGCTACTCAGGAGGCTGAGGTGGAAGGATCAGTTGAGCCCAGGAGATCAAGCCTACATTAAGCCATGATTGTGCCACTGCACTCCAGCCTGGGTAACAGAATGAGACCCTGCCTCTGAAAAAACAAAAATAAAACCAGATACTTCTAAAAAGACACAGATATGGTAGGGTATGCATGGCATTATTTTGCATAGGGTGAGGTCATCTTGCATCACTGATGCTGTCTAATCACTTCTTGCTTCTAGCCCTAACCTCAGAGCAGGCTGAAAGAGAGAAGACTGAGCTGGAATAGCATGGCATGCAGAATCCATGTCAATACACAAAAAATTCTGAACACCAGCATTCTGGACCAAACCCATGAAGCTTACAGAACCCCAACTCTGAATAATTTCAATAGGGAGATAGGCCAAACACACATAAAAGCATATGAAATCCCTTAGAGGTGAACATATAAAAATGCATGCCAGGGCCAGGCACAGTGGCTCACGCCTGTAATCCCAGCACTTTGGGAGGCCTAGGCGGGTGGATCACGAGGTCAGGAGATCAAGACCATCCTGGCTAGTATGGTGAAACTCCGTCTCCACTAAAAATACAAAAGTTAGCCAGGCATGGTGGCGGGCACCTGTAGTCCCAGCTACCCAGGAGGCTGAGGCAGGAGAATGGCATGAACCCAGGAGGTGGAGCTTGCAGTGAGCCAAGATCGCACCACTGCACTCCAGCCTGGGTGACAGAGCGAGACTCCATCTCAAAAAAAAAAAAAAAAAATGCATGCCAATAAGTAGCACAAAGCTGATTTAAGAATATCTATGCTCTAGAAATAAGCCTGTTGTCACCAGCTGCCATCTTTTCAAGGCAACACACCTATAGTTCTAATTCAAGTTCAAATGTCTGAAGCTGGCAAAGTTGTATGCTGGCCTAGAAACTGTAGGCCAACCCTAAGCCTTGCCTTTCCCATCCCCATTTGTTCCCATTCCTTTCCTCATGCGTAACTTCCCAGATGGCCTTTCCCTGGCTGGTGGTTCCAGTGGTACCGCTATGCTGACCTAGAGTAAAACTGGCCTGGCAGTGGAGGCAATAAAGTCCACCCCATTTTGTGACTGGGAAGGTGAAGTCTTACCCTCCAGGTTCCTGGAGTTCCTTCCACAAAAGCACTTGGTAGAGAAGGCCTCATGGCAGAGATGAGCTTTGAACTGGACTTGTGAACTGGGCTGGTGAGCAGGAGTATTTCAAAAACAGAGTAATGACAGGGATGGCCAAAAAAGGCAAGCTATGCTCTCAGATGGCAAATTGTTTTGTTTGTCAGGACAATTTTTACCAAGAAGTTGTAGGAGTTAAGGCTGAGAGAAAGACCAAGGCCAGAACCTCATCTTTAGGCCTCACATCTGAGAGCTCATAGTTTTCTTACCGTACTTGTAACACAGCATCACCTTGTAGACAAATGCCTCACACAGACTGCAAAGATGGCTTTATAACCAAGGCCCAATTAACATTTAATTAATAACAGCGTTCATCTCCATCTCATTCCTGTAAGATTCTGAAATAGAGAGGAGGCCAACTGCTTCCACAACAGGCTCCTTGATATCTTACTACCGGGATCATGGACTTTTCTTGTCAGAATATGATTTATGACATTAGGAACAGTCACATAAATTTCCATAAACATCTGCAAATGCCCCAAACATCACATTCCATGAACATGAGAGAGGGGAAGCAGGGAGGGGGTGCTGGAGAGTGGGGGACACCAAGGCAGCTCCCCCAACTTCAGGACATTCAAGCAAAATTTGACTAATCGTGAGTGGTTCTTCCTCTGCTGAGCACCTGAGCGCTAATTACATTCCTGGTTAATTCAGTAATGTATGTACATTGCATAGCTGCACTCGCTCTCTTCCTCCCTCCTCCTCACGAGATTAATGAAGGGAAGAAAGAGGACATTGTTACAGACCTGTTTGTGTGGTTGTTCTTTACACCTCCCGTGATGATGACCAAAGTCAATCCAAGCCACTTGGCATCTGCCTTGCCCACCACTGCAGGGGGTACATAGTCATCATTTAGCACTGAGCACGTCTCCCTAGCAGTGCTGGAAGGAGGGGTGCCATCAACAGCCTCCAATGCAGCTGAACTCGGAGGGGTGGCAAGCCTGGGAGAAAGACCAGGACAAGGGTGCCGCTCTCCACAGAACTTTGACAACCCGTTCCTCCATGGTGTCCTGATATCACATCTTCTGTAACCACTGTTTCCAAATGGCCTTCCTAGGGGATGTTGACTTCTAGCATTTTCAATATCAGAAACTTCCTTGTCTCCCCACACTTCCCTCCGTATGCTATTGGGCCTGTCTTGTAGGGACTGAACTAGGTGTGCATTCCAGGGTCAGAGTTGCCCCTTATGGCAAGAGCCTGAAATGCTGAGGCCTCTTGGGCCCACATGCAGGGCAGCAGCTAAAGAGGACAGCGAGAGGTGGAAGGAGGCTTTGCCAAGTGGAACAAGGGGGAAAGCTGGGAATCCTCTAGACATCGCGATATCCAACAAGCCTGTAAACTTAGCCCTGCCATCCCTGCTGCAGTCCTCAGGATAGAAGAGGAGAGATGGCCCCTCCTTCTGCCCCACACACCAAGGGCTGTTCTTTTATGTTCTTCTTCCCCAATAAAACTCACCTTGGTGTTTATAGCCTCATTCCATCCTTCAGAAAATGCTTGCAGAGAGATGGGCCTGGCCTTCTAGAAACAGCCAGTGGAGAAGGAGAAGAAGGGAGAAGGGAGGGAGAAATGGGGAGAGGAAAGGAGGGGAGAGGTAGGAAAAGGGAGCCACCCCCAAACTGCCCTGGCCACTTTCATATTTCCATGCCTTTCCATATCTGTTCTGGGCCCTTCCTGCTGCCACATTTCCCTGTCTGTTTAGAAAACTCCTGGTCTTCTTTCAGGCGTCTTCTCTGCTGTGGAGGTGTTCCTGAATGTTCCCTCCACCCCCCAGCACTAACAATCCCTTCTCTGCACCCCCACAGGGCCTCGGCCATGGCCTTCTAGGAACAGCCCAGCCCCTTCCTTCACTCTCTCTCAGAAACTCCCCTCAATTCTGGCCTCCCTGGGTGTGATCTGCTCACCCAGGTCTGGCTGGGCATCCATGGAATGGAATGAGCCCAGCATCTGGCTGTCCACTTGCATTCAATTCAACACTTAAGCACCTTTCTTGGGGAACCCATATACTGAGCATACCAGAGGCACCAAGGTGAAAAGACAGGTTCTTCCTTCCAACCAAGTATGGAGTGGAACAAACTCATTGGTACAGTTTAGTCTGGTACATCCATGTACAGGGCACTGTGGGAGTGTAGAGAGTGGATTGTTAATGCTGGGGGGTGTGGAGGGAACACTTGGGAACCCCTCCACAGCAGAGGGAAGGCCTGAAAGACCAGGAGTTTTCTAAATGGACAGCAGGGAAATGGGGCAGAAGGATGGGCCTGGGAACAGCATGCACAGAGGCGTGGAGGTTTGAGAATGGTCAAGGCAATTTAGGGGCAGCTCCCTTTTCTTACCTCTCCCCTCCTTTCCTCTCCCTCTTTCTCTCTCTTTCCTCCTTTCTCCCTCTCCACTTCCCTCACTCATTCCCAGAGGAACTTTGCCAGAGGCTCAGGGCCAGTGCAAACCCCTCAACGGACCCTCAAGTTTGAAGAGCGGCCCCTGTCCACACCAAGGAATAGAAGCCAGCTAATCTGTCATTTCTCCCTCCTTTTCCGGACCACTTATCACCAGATTAACCACCGACACTGAACTGGTAGACCACTCACCTGCAGGGCATATTTAGATCTTAAAAGAAAGAGAATGTGAAGCTTCATGAAATGAATGTGTCTCAAAGGGTGGACTTTTAGTCACCAAGAACAGGCCACCTGAGAGGTTATTTTGAGGATGGGACTCCCTTCTCCATTGCCCCTCAAATAATAACAGGGACTGAACCAACTCTGGTGTACTGAGTTGAGTGGACATTTTTTAACATACCTCACTAGGTCAAAAAATCTCAAAGCCTTTTTCCTCTCAGGATGAAAAATGGAAACTCTGGGACCTGGTGTCTCTGGCCTTTGGAGTCTGTTGGCCATTTGGTCATAAGGTGGAAGTGATCAGAAGGCAGATCCACTTCCCGATCCGGTTCCCAATCTGGTTCCAGGCCAGGAGCCAGGTTGGTTCCCCATGCACTCCCAGTGTAGGAAGAGAATTTGAGGTTATGTGGGGGCCATCCTTAGCGACTCAACACACCTTCACTTTACACTTTCTCTGAGCCAAATGTCCCATTCTACCCCTTCTACTGCCCCTCCCCCCAAACCTTGGTCTCTCTCAGTTCTACAAAGAGACCCAGGGATACCCATGGGCAAAGTTTTCTGCTTTCAGCTGCAGAACCACCCAGTGATTTGGGGGATCCCTGCTTGTTAACAAGTTGTATGTGGCCAAGCCCCTGGAACAGACCAGCAGTGAGGTCACGTCCCCTTGGTCTGCACCCTCCTCTAAGCCTGCCCAGCTCCCTTTCAGGCCAGGTGATTAACAGTGCTGGCTGGGCCTGTTTCCACTTCCCAGAAAAGGAGAAGCTCTCTGCACAAACCACATTAATGGGGTTCCACCACAGCTGCCCATTGACAACCAAGAGCTTCGACAATCACTTGGTCTTTTTTTTTTAAAAAAAAAAAAAAAAAAAAAAAAAAAAAAAAAAACGCCAGTCATCCCAGAGACTGCCTTGATTACATCATGGGCTGTTACCCAGCCAGGCTTTTACACAGACCTATGGGATAACTCCCTCTGCAGCCAGCCCGGGCTGCCGCTGGGTGGCCACTAGCCATAGATCGCATCTGTAAGTCTTGGAGTTCATTATCCCTCTAATGCTGCCTTCTTTCTTAGATCATTAGAAAGAAACTTGACCTGACCTGTGAACTCTGAAATTGATTGTTGCCTTGAAATGGTCAACAGCCCATTTTCTAATCGATACATGGAATAATTTTATACATATTTAAATTATATATTAACTTTAATGCTTGTTAAATTTATCTACCACTTTCCTCCTGTACTTTTATATTCGCTCGAAGTCAGGTGAGTATATTTACCATTGGGTGGGAGAAAAAGAGAGTGGGAGGAGGATCTAGGCCAACACCAAGTGAAGGAGAAAAGGGAAGGTCCCAGGACTGAGCCTGAGGCAGTAGAGGACTGGGTCCTAGGGCTGTGTGTGTGTGTGCACACACGTGTATGCATGTGTGCATGTGAGAAGGGACATATGTATGTGTGCTTGTATGTCAAAGCATGTGTGTCTCTAGGAATATATATGTGTGTGAGTGTGTGTGTGTCTAGGTATGAGAGAATGATGCATGTGAGAGTGTGTGTACCTGTGCGAGAGTCTGTGTGTCTCTGGGAATATATGTGTGTGAATGTGTGTATGTTTTCTCTCCCATGAACTCTCTCCCAGCTTGTTAAGCCATCCAGACACCTTGTCTAACCCCTACTATTGAGAATTAGAGTTTTTCCCCCAATAGGCTTTAAGAAGTTATTGATGCAGGAGTTTTGTCTGAAAAGGCCAGACTCTGGCCCTTACAGTTATCCTGAATGTGGCTTGAAATTTCTAGTATGTAAAAGGGTCCCCAAGGTGCTAAGCTATCTGGAAAGAAGGCCCCAACTGCTAATGGTCTCTAAAGCCGATGTTCTTAACAGTGTTCATCAACCCTGAGACCCCTGTGGATCAATGAGTCCCTTGAAATCGAAGGGTGTGTGTGTGTGTGTGTGTGTGTGTGTGTGTGTGTGTGTGTCTGTGTCCAGGGAGGGACAGGCTTCCTCGAATTCATTAGATTTTTCAGGTTTATGACTATGGAAGAAAGAGCTGCTACAGTGATGGTACATTTGTCAGGGTGAGGTGGCTTTCTCGGTTTGCCACTCCCCCACCCCCACCCCATGTTTAGACTTGCAAACACAGCCCCAGCACCCCTGTTTTGACTTCCAGCTGGGGCAGGACTCACCATGGGTCTCTAACCTTGTGCTCAGAACAAACACCTGATAGAGAGCCCCTCATAACCAGAGCAGAACAACCAGCAAATAGCCTCTGCACAGGTTCCAAGTTCACAGTCCCAATGAGCCTGCTGGGCTGTCCTTCCTGACCCTGACCTCCCAGAATCTGGGCCCTCCTGAGGCTTGCACTCTCTGCCTGCCCCTGTGGGTGGGATGTAAATGGACACAAGCAATCCTTCTAGAAAGCAATCTTTAAAGTAGTCACACTTTTCACCCCAGTGATTTTGCTTCTAATTACCTATCTTAAGGAAATAATCAAACTGCAAGCAAAGGTCTGTGCATGAAGATGTTCCTCAGGCCATTAACACCAAAGAAAATCACCAGAAACAACCTGCTGTCCATCATTAGGGGAATAGCTAAATAAACACAGTGGATCCATATGAAGGATTGCTCGACAGCAATTAAGAAGCAGGTTTACATAGAGGAAACATGTGACCAAATTAAATACCAGTAATTTTAATTACTTATCCCTATTTTTAATATATATGTTTAATAGAAGTTTGTAATAACATGGGGAAAATCCTTGTAATACAATTATACAGTAAAAGCTTGACGTGGTGGAATTTCAACTTTTAATGCATAGAAAAGACACTAAAAGAAAAATCACAAAATATCAATCATAATTTTCTGAAGTGGTTTTTCTCTCCTTTTCCTACATTTCAGTACTTTCCAAGTTTTTGTCATCACCATACATTAATTTGATTTTTTTAAAGCTAAGTTTAAAAAGATCTCTGCTTTCCAATCCATCCACAACAAAAGTCTCCTCTAGCTCCAGACCCCAAGCTCGTGGACTCCACGTTACTGTTTCCCTTCTCCTCGGGAGCAGTGCAACTCACCTCTCATGGCTCACCGAGATTTGCATTCCACCTCAATCCTGGTAATAAAATCAAAACAGTGCTTACCTCTTCTATTCCTTCACATGTCCACAGCCATTGTTAACTCCCAGAATCCTTCTTCAAGCAATCTCTTTTAACTTATCCCCTGTTTATTCAACAACAGCCCAATCCCTCATTTACAAATAAATGTCCAGTTTAGATGAAAGAGTATAACCTGGGTTGTTTCTTCTGTGTTAAAGCAAGAAGAGGGGTTGGGCAAGAAAGAAAAAAGAGGAAGTGAGAAAGAGGACAGCTTTACTTATGTGGGTTGCTCACGACTTTCCTGTGAAGACCAAGGTCATGTAATATGCACTGCCTTGACTTTCTTCCCTCCGCCCCAGAGACTCCGTGAATTATTATCATCCATCCTTTCATCCGCCCTCCTGTCTCAAAGGAAGACATATTCTTTTACTTTGCCAAGGTGCATCCCTCCACCTGGACTATTGATCCCATCCCTTTCCATCTCTTCCAGAACTTTGCTAGATCAATCATCCCCAAGCTCTCTAGTACTTGCCATCTCTCCCTCCCTACTTGCTCTTTCCCCTTCTGTAGAGTCACACTGCACAGATTTAAACCCTGCTCTATTGCTTAGTAGCTGGGCAGGCTATTAAACTCTCAGAGCCTCCATTTCCACTTCTGAAAACTGGAATAATAGCACCTGCTTCACACAGTTTTTAGGAAGAAATGAAATACTCCCTATAAAACACTTAGACTAGGGACATCAAATGGCCAATGTGAGCTGCTTTAGTTACTGTTATAATCCCAAAGCATGCTCAGTGGGCTTCCAGTTTGAAAATACCTTTCCCAGCACCTTCTCCATCTAGTGCCAAAAATCACTTTTTTCTGTCAGGGGAAATATTTTTCACACCTGCAATTTTTCAGCTTCCATCAAATCTTAATTTCTTGTCATCTGGGTGCCACCTCTTCACACTGTTCAGCCCTTTCCCCGAGTAATCCTCTCCAAGCCCACAGCTCCAACCATTATCTGGACAATGACCACTCCCATATTGGAATACCTTTTTTTTTAAGCAGGTATGAAATGGATTTTTTTTTTTTTAGCACGGATGAAATAGAATAGCTGCTGGAAAGGCAACAGACAGTGTCTCCCAGAGGAAGAAAAGGAGAAGGGAAAAGAAAGGGAAGAGAGGGTCTAACGCCCACTTTACTTACAGGTTGAAATGTGGAATTATTTCTGGGGTTTCAGATTGTTCTCCACCCCCACCTGCCATCAGGGTTATCATCTGAGAGTCCTTCCTTTAGCCTAAGGTTTGGATTCCTGTTTTGTTCCCCCTCCTCCTTCCCCCTATCTCCTCTTCATCCTCCTCCTTCTCTTTTTCATATAGCTTACACATGTGGCTCCCACAGCGTGACAGAAAGAAAGAAAAGTACGCAAAGGATTCCAGAGGCCTGTTCAAATCTCAGCTGTGCCACCAACTGTGGTATGCGCTTCCTCTTACTGGCTTTGCATTGGTAAAATCGGAAAGTAATGCCAATTCCAGAGGGCTGTTGGGAATATTGAGCCAATTATTTATTTTCCCCAACTGGGTCTCAGTTTCTTTATCTGTGAAATGGGGGTGATTTGTAAATTCACTATGAGTAACACTACTTTGAAAGGGTTTGGCTCTTGTCCTCTGCTTTACTTAGGAAGTGACTCCTAACGAGATTTTAGAGGTCAATAAATAATACTTCTCTTCTGAGACAGATGACTCAGAAGCAGCTGAGCCCAGCAGAGGGAGAATGGGCTTCATCATTGCCAGACTGGAAGATGCAGCCTTAGATCTGTGACAACAGGGGATTTTCTGACATTACATCCCAGAAATTCAACCTCCCCTCCCCTTCAGGAGACCACTCCCTCTCCCTGGCATGTGGGAGGCTGCATTTTCTACTTCTCTCTCCAACGAGGAAAGTTTAATGGGAGCACAGGAGAGTCCTAGAGTTTTCCAGCTGGGGAGGGAAGGTGTCAGAGTTAAGATTCAAACCAACCTCCTGAATTCCTTGCCTACTTTTCTTGCCACTGAATCATGAAAGCCACGTGTGACACTGAGAAATGCCTATTACTCCAGCAACCCCAAAGGGGCAGAGCATTCAAGGACTATTTCTGGAGGAGATTAACGTTTCCATAAGTAAATTCTGGGAAAAGCAGGTTGCCCTCCCTACTGTAGGTGTGCCTCATTCAATCAACTGAAGACCTGAACAGAAGAGAAAGGCTGGGTAAGAGGGAACCTCAGCTGCCTGTGTGAGCTGGGATACTGACCTTTTCCAGCCTTCAGGCTTGGACTGAAACATTGGCTCTTCATGGGTCTCGAGCCTGCTGGCTTTCACACTGGAACTTACAAAGTCTGCTCTCCTGGGTCTGTAGTTTGCCAAGTGCAGATCTTGGGACTACTCAATCTCCATAATTGCATGAGCCAATTCCTGAAAATAAATACACACACACACACATACCACATACACATGCACACACACACACACACCACATACAAATGCACACACACACACACCACATACACATGCACACACACACACACATACCACACACACATGCACACACACACACACACACGATTGGTTCTGTTTCTCAGGAGAATGCTTACTAATACACCCACTTCAGCTAAAGTTTCCTGGTTTACAGTTTGACTCATCTGGCGATGCTAAGAGGTGGTTCTAGCCAGAGCTGCCCTGGTACTCAGTATCAGAGCATCAGAACAGGACAGCAATGAACACTGGCCACAAAAGAGTGAGAAAAAATACAGAAGGCCACCAAAAAGAGGTGCCAGAGGAAAAGAGAAAAGAAAGTCACGGGGCTTTCTGTGGGGAGCACAGAAAAGGTACACTTTGCCCCTCAAGTTGGAGGAACCCATGGGTTCGCAGGTCTGCTGGTAAGAAGGAAAGGGGATATCCGGGAGAAGAGAAGAGGGAATGAGAAGTCCCCTGTTCTGCACTGCCTCCTGTAAGTAACGCCACTCCCTCCCCTGGGCCCAGTGTCCTCCCAGCACACTGTGCCATTGCTGCCTCTTGGCTCCTTACTCGTGCATGAAATCCCCAGGGAAGGAGCCTATCTTCCTCATCTTGGCATCCCTAGCACTTGGCACAAGTAGGTGCCCAATATCAGTAGAAGTGGGTGTCTGTTGGTCAGATCCCCAAATGATAAGTCATTCAGTTTATTGTGTGAGGTGGGTCTGCTTGGAGAATGAAGAAAAAACCAGAGAGGATGAGTGAGAATGAGGGGTGGGAATTGGTTCCCAACAGCAGCCGCCTAAATCCTTGCAAGACAGTAAAGCACCATGGGAGACCAGTGCTCTGAAGCCAGACTGTGGGATTCAGATTCAATTATAGGGCTGACTACCTGTGTAGCCTTGGGCAAGTTTCTTAACCTTGCCGGTCGGTCCTCAGTTTCCTCCTCTGCAAAATGAGAGTAACAGTAGCACTCACTTCAGAGGATTGCTGGGAGGATTAGGTGAATTAAGGCAAGTAAAGTGCTTAGCACCGTGTCTGGCACATAAGCAGCACTAAATGTGTTTCATCAGTATCACCATCATCAGCATTTTGTGTAAGTCCATCAAGTGGCTCAAATTAGTTTTGTGACTAACCTGAACTGTGCAAGTTCTTTTGTAATATCCCACATGGAGATTCAACCTCCTATGGAGGCCACAGATCTGTCACCTGATTCTGACCCAGGGTCCATCCTCAAAGGACAGGTTAGACCCAAATGAGGACTGTAATCACAGCATGTCTCCAAAATCCCAAAAAATCCACAAATAAAGCTCCATGTATCAAAAAACTGGGAAGAGAAATATGAAGTCACCGAAAACATTCAGCCTTATTCAAGGATGGGGGTGGGGGGAGGATTATTTGTTTGTTTTTGCAAATATTAAACTTTTCAATTTTCTTATAACAGTGATGTTTTCATCAGAAAGCTGGAATTGGATGCCCAGATTATTATGAGACAGGCTGTGGCTTAATCTTCTCGATGTTTTTATATTTGAGAATAAAGAGGCATTTGGCACTTATCTAAAATTACAGCGGCAGAGAAGGAAAAAAGCCCTCACAGGTACGTGGCTGTGATGGCATACGTACATGTTTTTGAGTTCATTATGGAATCACAAAATCAAGACATCTCAGAGTTAGAAGAAGCCTCAGCATTTCTCTCTTCTAACACCTTCCTCTTACAGATGAGGGAAACTAAGGCCCACAGGAAGGCTATTAATCACCCGACCTCACTCAGTTATGGCAGCATAGCCAAGCTTTCTGGGTAGAGAGCTGTGAAATCCTTAAGCAGCGAGAAGGTATACCTCTTGTTTTCACAGGAAAATTCTCTCCACTTTGTGTCTCTGGACAGGAATGTTCCTCAGTCTTAATTTTGAGCCCCTGCATCGTCTGGTTCTGTCTAACCTCGCTCTCCATCTCTGCCTCCCATCCAGCCAGCAGTGTCTCCTCCGTCCTCCCTCAAGTTGCCTCCCACTTGAGTGGTTCACACACCCCCACTGCCAGCACTATCAGAAACTCTCCCATCCGCCCACCATGCTGATGCAAATTCTTCCTATCCTTCAAAGCCAAGTAGGAGGCAACTTCTTCTTTGAAGTTGCTTCCTATCACCATAGCACTCTGAGCACTGTCAATTCCTGAAACTGAAGAGCAAGTTCACAGTGCAGACCCAAGGCTGGGAGAACTAGGGTGGACAAAAAGAAGCCCCAAGGAATCCAACAACCCCAAGCCTCCCTCCCAGTTCTCCTCTGGGACTTCAGAAAAAGTATTTCCTCCCCAAGCCTCAGGTTTCACTATAAAAATGCTTAGCCTGCAGAGTTGTTTGAGAATTAAATAAAATTACACATGATAGCATACTAGGTACTCAGGTAATTGGAAGTTGTAAGTTAAAATGCATTATTTAGTTCACCAACATACAATATGCCTTTTTGTTCTACAGTTGGCTCTTACGCATGTGGGTTTTGTCATCTCAACTAGATCATAAGGAAATATAATCAAATTCCGTGGGAGCAGGAATTTTGTCCCTTTTACTCCCTCAAATACCCCAACTGTTTTGCCCAATGGCTGGCACATAGTAGGCACTCAGAATATATTTGTTGAATAACGTTTTAATGAAATAATGACCAAACTTTTCTTTCACCCCCTAAAGAATTTAGATGACAATAATAATAGTAAACGTTGTGTTTATATAGTGATGTATACTTTTTGGAGCATTTTCACGTGGAGAAATGTGTTTGCTACTCAGACGCTCCTGTGAAGGAAGAAGACCAGGTGTTATTATCTGTCCTGCTTCACAGGTGAGGCAAGTGAGATACAGAGCTGGGAAGTGGTGGAGATAAGGGGACACCCATTTCACAAATCCAGGTTCAGTCCATTTCCACGCTGCCACACCCAATGAGTGTTCATGGATGGACTGATTAATTTGGGTTCTGATTTTGATCAACCTGGTGAAGCATTTGATGACTGCATGAGTTCCCAGCTTCTAGAAGAAAGACATCTCTGAGAGTGGTGGCTGGATAAAGGGATGCCCAAGCAAAGAAGCTGGGCATTGGAAGGAAAGTGAATTAGAGAAACTCTTCCTTCAGCAAGACACATTTGTGCAGGGAAATCATGCTTGTCTGGGGAAGCCAATTGGAAAAGAATGATAGAGGGCCAGTTCCTGAGGTTCATCAAAGTCATTTGTTGCAGGTAAGCTCATTTTTCACAGGCCAAGGGGATATTTACCTGGAGTACACCTTTAAGGAATAGCCGACAGATTGAATGGTACAATGCTTTATTATATTTCACACCCTGGTGATTCAATATGTTGGAGGCAGAAGGCGGGGGGTGGGGATGGTGCTCAGGAGGGAGAGCAAAAGAGAAAGGCAGAAGAAAGAGATATGAAAATGTCCAGCCTTAGTGTGTACTTCTCAAGCACCCAGGGCCAGCCTCAACTGTGGCAGAAGGCACTGGAGGTGCACAAGCAGCTGTGCTCTGTGGAGGAGGCTGACCAGGGAGTGGGCATCTGACATAGGTTGACCTCATCCTTTTTCCCAACCACTTGCCCATGTCCCATGAGTCCTATTCAGTCCTGTCACCATTTCAGAAATGTTTTCACACAGTTCTGCAGACCTGCATTCTAGCCCTGGTTCTAGCACTATTTCAGCTGGGTGAGCTGAAGCGACACATTTCACTCCTGGGCTCCAGTTTCCTCATCTGTAAATGAGACTCTTCCCTAATGGTCCTTAGGCTCCTCCCAGTTACCTTACATTCTAGGATTCCAAATCAGCCCCAGTGACCGGCCTTTACCTGAACACGGCTGGCCCCCGTGGCAGCCCTCCTTCTCCAACCTCCACACCACTTGGCAATCCAGAACTCTGCCACAGGCATCCTCAGAAAGGCCAGTCTTGGCCCAGGCTCTGAAGGCAGGAGGGGTTATCCCCTTGACAGTCAGCATCTTTCAATAATTCCCATCCAGGAATTCATCTCAGCTCTCTGGGAAGCTATATTTTTAGCCCTTTCCACCATCTACAAAGTGACATCCCTTGAGCATGCCAGAGATCTTTGTGATTTCCACCATCCTCAAGTCTTCAAAGTGTCTATGGAGCCTATCTCATTTCTCATTGCATCTCATCTTCTCACTTAAGATTTCACCATTGCTCTTTGCCCCTTGTACCAAGGACGTACACTAAGGATGGAGGGCGCTCAGGGATGAATCAACCATCACCTCTGCCCTGGTACAAGTCGCAGTCTAGAGGGCCTAAAAGGGTTTATGCAAATATCTAGCATATGATGTCGTTTCCAGTGCCCACAAAGGTGAATAAGTCAAGGGTTATGGGAGTACCTGGGAATGAAGAAATGAATTCTGCCTGGAATTGAGAAGAAGGTTTCTCAGAGGAAGTGGCCTGGTGGGCTGAGGAGACCTCAGGCAGGCATGGATGTGTGTGCATGAGGGAGTGGGGAATAACCCAGCAAAAGGAACAGCATGGGCCAGGGAGGGGAGTGTCCAGAGGAGGAGCAGTTGGATGAGTATTTTGAGAAACCAGCCTCCTCAGAGAACACCCGCAGCTTTACTGCCCAGGATATGGTTAGTTCTCTATAGAGATGGGCATGGAGCCCAGGAACTCCAAGTACATGACATTTCCTGGGAATTAGTCCAGCAGTGGAAACAGCTTTGTTGAAACTCAGGTGGCCAGTGAGGTCGGCAGGCCAAGTGCACCAGGGCATCCCTGACTGTCCCCTGGATGCCACACCTGTGGAATCCAGCCTGCACCTAATTGCCTCTGGACATTCTGGAAACACAGGCTAATTACTAAATGCTTTAGTGATACTGGAACCCAAGCCAGTCTCCAGGGAAGAATCCCGGGGATGTCAGAGGTAGTGTATGCTTTTCTTTTCTTTTCTTTTCTTTTCTTTTCTTTTCTTTTCTTTAGGCATTGTGTAGCTCTGAGAGCTTTCTATATATCTGGCTTCTATGGTGACACAGTGACAGGAAAGAGACATGTCCAGCCCTCTCAAGCTCACAGCACAGTTACAAGGCAAGAAGCTCACATGAGAGATGACAAGAGAGTACACTCATAAAAAAAGGCAGAGTCAATGAGAGTTAGAGAGGCATGGAGCAGATTAAGAAAGAGAGATTTAGGCATGACCAATCTGGGAGGACCTCCTGAAGGAAGCAACTTTGGCCCCTAAGTAATGAGAAAAGGAGAATTTCTGCACCAGTGGTTGTACCAGTCATCTATTACCACATTAATGCTGCATAACAAACCATCACAAAACTCAGAGGCTTAAAACAGCAATCACCTACTCTCATTGATCCAGGCTGGACCCTTGGCTCAAAGCTGCAGGTCGGGTCCAGGTGCCCACATTGGTTTCTCATCCTCCTTGCACCAGCTGGCCAGTTGAAACAAGTTCTTATGACCACAGCAAAACACAAGGGGCATGTTAACGTCTTATCTGCTAACGTCCCATTGGCCAAAGCAAATCAGATGGCCACGCATTTAATAAAGGAAGGAAGGGAGGTGAGGTACACACTTTGTCCACCGTGAAGTCAAAGCAAGTCACATAGACAAGCCTAACATCATTCAGGCAAGGAAGTGTGTATGGAGGGCGCAGGGGTGTGTGGGAAGAAGGCAAATTTTTAAAAATCTACTACAGTTATTAGAGAACGGAAAGATATCCCACCTGGAAGAACCAGATAAGCAAAGATACAGAGGCAAATCTGAATCTGGTGTAGAAATGGAGCCAGGAGGAAATGTGCCACCCAAATTGAGCTACAAAAAAAAAAAGGTGTAAAATACAGTCCCAGGGTGGGCAGTAAAGACGGTGGAGACCCACCTGCCTCTGGAAAAGAGGGTGGGCATGAGGCTGGGGGAATAAGTGGGTGGCAAACCCGCTAACACTGTCTTCCTGTGCCCTTGTCTCTTCTTGATGAACTAAGAAATTATGAATTGGAAGCAAGAGAGTTCAAGCCTGCAGGATCTACTTCCTGGGAAAATATTACAACTCACTGAGCTCCTACCTCCTCCTCCATGAAGATTTCCAAGGTTTACCCAGCCCTGGGCTCTCTCCCTTCTCTGAGCAGGGAACAAACACACATATGGGCAGTGCACCTGGGCATCCAAAAGGCACTCCGTTGCCTGCTTAGATCATTCCCATGTGAGCATCTGTCTTGACTTCCCAGCTAGACTCTCAGCTACCAGAGGCCTGGGACTGTATTTTACACCTTTTTTTCTTTTCTTTTTTTTTTTTTTTTTTGTAGTCTCTAAACAGCAAGAGCTATATAACCACATGTGGAATAAATGACTGAAGAGTAGACGGTGCTAAGAGAGTCAGGCAGCACCATTCTGGAATAGGAAACTGGAGAAAGGTCAGCTGGACCAGTCACAATCAAGACAGTCCTATTAATAGAAAAAGCAAACATTATTTAGGGACAGGAGCGTGAAATGGGAAAGGGGAAGAACACTTGCAGGTGGATGGAAACTCAGCCTAGTGTGAAAGCACAACCTTGAGCAGAAATGAAATTGCTGGGGAGGTTGTTCCTAAAGAAATGTGGTTGCAGGTAATGGCCCCAGGGAAAGCTTCCATGGCAAATCAGTCTATCAGCCACCTCCTGCAGAGGCCAGAGAGGTGTGGCTGGCAGTACAGACACATGGGACATGCTTGTGCAAAATCTTACCAGCTACACCAGGATGGCTGTCCAGCAGTCACACCTGCCCCGTGCCAGGATTTGCCCTGCCTTGTGCTTAAACTTCCTCCCACTGAAATGAAAGCCTTCCCACTTCACCTCCTCCAGGAAGCCCTCCAGGATAGATAAGACCACAACACTGACTTAATTTCAAATAAAGCACACAAGTTCTCCTTCATTGATAATTCACTTAATATGTTTTACTCAACTCCTGATAACAGTTTTTAATATTGTTTCTCATGTATCAGCCTTGTACCTTAATGAAAGTAGATACCATAGTTTCTCTTTCCTACAGCCCACTCCTCCAGGCTGGGCACATGCCTAGTTCTTGTTGAATTCCCTTCAGCAGAATATGGGGTAAATATGTGACAATATTGATGAAGACCAAAGACACCAAACAGAAACCCAGAACCTTCAGATTGAAGCAAGAGATTTGACATGAACAGTGTTATCTTAATGGGAGCACCTATGAGAAGGAAAGCACTGTCAGTGACAGAGCTCCCACCAACTTCGTACCTGGGCACGACCCCAACCCCCTCCTGTCTGTGTGGGGCCCGGGGCAGTAAGCTAGCCTGCAGAGAGGAAAGGGAAGAGACAGGGAGGTTCCTGTGATGCTGCTTCACCCCTGGGCTCTTTACCAGGCTTCCATCTTTCCTCATAAACGTGGCCTCCGCTCAGGTTCTTTCTGCCCCACACAAGCCCTTGAAACTGTCCTGACTACAGCAAATCCGTCCCATCTCTCCTCTAATGCAGGGGGACGAGGATGGCTTGTGTCCCCCTATGCTCTTTTCTTTTTAGTGCAAGTTCCTCTTGCAAACTCCCAGGACTTTTCTCCCACCTTGGTCAGGACAGAGCAAGGCCAGGCTGCTCAGACCGCCAGCCTCCCCTCCTAGGGGAGCTGTGGAGCTGGGTCAAAAAAGGGACCCCAAGGCTGGAGTCTCTGGTCCACGTGCAGTCATCATAAGGCTTTCAAAGGCCCGGTCCCAACACTGTGTCTTCCAGGAAGTGATCCTTGGGTACCAGGCCCCATGCCAGTATCTCACAATACCACCCAGGCACAGGCTCCAGCCCATGAGGGATTACAGGTGTTAATTCATGTTCTCCCCACACTGGCCAATCAGTTCCTGAAAGGCCTCCTCTCTTGGCTCCTCCAGGGGCCTGGCCCAGTCCTCCAAGCAAGAGGTCATGTCCATTTGACCCGACATCTCTGCCCAGAGAGACCCCCAGGCACTGCTATCCCAGGGTCTGTATCTACCTACAACCTGGATGAAAACAGCCCACAGGGCCGGGCGCGGTGGCTCACTTCCTGTAATCCCAGCACTTTGGGAGGCAGAGGCGGGCAGATCACCTGAGGTCAGGAGTTCAAGACCAGCCTGGCCAATATGGTGAAACCCCATCTCTACTAAAAATACAAAAATTAGCTGGTCATGGTGGCAGATGCCTGTATTCCCAGCTACTCAGGAGGCTGAGGCAGAAGAATCACTTGAACCTGGGAGGCAAAGGTTGCAGTGAGCTGAGATAGCGCCACTGAACTCCAGCCTGGGCAACAGAGCGAGACTCCTTCTCAAAAAAAAAAAAAAAAATTAGGCCTCCAGCCTGGCCTGGCCCCTGCAAAGGCAGGTGTCCTAAATGTCCCCTGCAGGGGCTTAATTGCCCCTTATTGAAAACCATTGTTTTGCATCACCCTCCACAGCCCAGGGCCCCTGTTGGCTGGCTGATGGGATTGTTGGTTTTCTTGGCAAAATGACCTCGCTTTGGGGTTGAAGAAGTCATAGGCGAGTGGAAGTCAGTACGTCGGGGTCCTGGTGAAGCTGTGGGTGGCTGTGTGCTGCATTCCAAGCACACTGGAAGCTGCACCTCCTTTTCGGAGGTTGATTCTTAGGCCACAAATGGTTACACTAGGGATTAATGAGAGGAAGCTGGAACAGACCCTTCACGCCCACCCTGGTGTCTTCACCTACCAGGTATAGAGTTTCTTACTGTGTATCAATTTGGTGGAAGAGTTTCTTATTCCTTAGGGAGAAGTGATTATTCACACGCACACACACTCACACTTACACAACCATTCTCTGCCATTTTCTCTGGCATAAAGTGGAATCAGGGATTCCTGGTTTTTTGTTTAAAAAAGGCCCGCATTTCTATCCTGCCTTTATCTTTGCAAATGATTTTCATAACTAGTATTTGTAAACCTTCTATTTTTTTAACTCCCTTTCTAAGGTAGGCAGGTAGTTATTGTTAGTGCCATTGAAAACACTAGGCCCCATGAGATTAAGTAGCTCTCTGCAGCCAGGAAACATTGCTGGTCAGAAGCAGTGCTCGGGGTGAACATCCTATAATGTGCAGGATAGTCCCCCCCCAGCCAAGAACTATTCGGCTCCAAATGTCAACAGAGTAAAGAAGGAGTGTGAAGCCAGGGTTGTAGGCCCAGGTCCTCCACTAACTTGCTGTGTGATGTAGGCCAAGTTCCCTCACCTCTCTGGAGTCCATGCTCTCTGTGGTCTCTTGTGGCTCTGGTATCAGGACAAGCACTGCTTGGTCTGCTAATCCCTCCTCCCTCTTGTTATGAATGCTCCTCCTATGCCCCACCTCTAACCTGTACATCCAGTGGGGGCATCATGACCCCACCACCACTTGACCACAGACACCCTCCTCTGGCCAGGGTTGAATGGCCCATGGGTAGCCACAGAACCCAGGTCAGGCCAGAGACCCTCCCTGAGATTTTCAGCTTGGAATTAGAGACAAAGACCTCTCTCTGGAAGCCATGGCAGACTATGTTTCCACTAGATAGAAGAGGAAGCCTACCTGAGAGGCACAAGCCAACTTACAGAGAAATGCAAAGCTGAGCTCTGGAGTGTGTGAGAACCAGCCCTGGCAGCACGTGAGGCCCAGCCACACCCTGGCTTTCCTGACATTTAGTTATAGGAGCCAAGTGATTTCTCTTTTGGTTTTATCACTTGCAACAAACTATTCCTGCCTAACCTCCACCCCCTTCCCCTTCCCCTTCTCAGGTACCCACCCACAGCATCAAGCTTTCTTGCCTCCTTTGCAACTAGCAATCACAAGACCTGGTCTAGACACTGAGACATCAGCAGATGCCTACTGGGGACGCCTCTTTCTTCCTGTCTTGAATAGTCAGCACTCTGGCCCAAGCTGTTAATTCTAGTTGCCAATGTATTTTTTATTTTAAGAAAAAAAAAACTTGTATATTTTCAAGACTTAAGTCATTGCGTTTCTGTGTTGTGCAGCCCAAAGCACTCCAGCTACGCTGGTGAAGGAGTCTCCTTTAACAGGGATGGAGGAGCAAGTGGACGGGGGCAGGAACTCCAACCCACTGTGCCTTTCCCTCTGTTGGCGCCTACCTGCTTGCAAAGATTTGAAACACTGACATCAAAAATTTGGGGCATCAGAACAGTCCAGCTGTGCCACTGTTTGACTTGGGAGAAAGCCTGGCAGTCCTCAGGCCAAGGGGGGGCCAGTGAAGGGAAGTGTCACAGCATAATACTGACAAAGTAAAGCATCTAGTCTGGATAATCCTCTTAAGTCAAAAAAGAAAATAACCAGTGCAATTGATGATCCCAGGACTGAGCCAGGGAGCACACAGAATATTTCTACCCAGTGAGCAGGGGGTTTGAAGGATCAGGTGAGGCTTGGAGGTCTGGAGGTCAGGCCAGAGGTCATCTGGAAGGGCCTGGCCTCTCTTCTGACTGGGTCTCTTGCCCTGCTCCAGGCCAAATATGCTGATCAGGCTGGGCCCCTCAGGCCTCCCAGGGATCCTGAAGAAGAGGGAGGCAGGAGGTCTCTGCTAGGCATGTCCTGTCAGGAAATTTAGACCCCTCTCATCTGCAAAATGAGAGTCCACCAGAAAGCATTTCACAAAACTTCACCTGGAAGTTTTGTTAAAGCTGGAAGTCATGTTAGAGATTGTCTAGTCCAACCACTTATCCAAAAGTGGCGGGACTGAGGTTTAGAGAGGGAAAGGGTCTTGATCTCAGGCACCCAGCACAGGGATGACAGAACTGGGTCAGGGACCTGAACCTCCTGGCTTCTCCTCTCAGGCATTTCTCACTGCAAAACTCTCCCTCTCATTTGTTGAATTATTTGTTAGGCTCAAGAAATTGCACTAGGATGCACTAGAGTGAGAAGCATCCTAGTCAGGGAAGAATGTAAAAGCATATCAGCTACCTACTGCTGTGTAACAAATTAACCCACAACTTCGTGGTTGACAGCAACAAACATTTATTATCTCACGGTTTCTGTGGATCAGGAACCTGGGGGCTACTGAGCTGGGTGGTCCTGGCTCAGGGTCTCTCATGAGGTTGCAATCCAGCTGGAGACTGAAGCCTGGTAAGGATTCTCAGCATGGAGAAAGTGGGGAACAGCAGGGATCCAATGAAAGGGGATGATGAATCTGGGATTAGAAGGAGTTGAGTGAGGCCAAAGTGAAGAAGTGCTGAGAGGTGAGGCCAGGGAAGCTGCAATTTCCATTTCCTCATCACTTCTCTCAGGAAGACTTCTCCCCGCTTTCAAACTACTCTACTTGCACCCTGGCTCCCTAAGCTTCCCACTCTACCGACAGCATAGCTGTGTTGTCTCTCAGTGTCCCTCCCTTGCTCTTATACGTTGCAAGATCAGCAATATAAAATAATGGTGATCATGACAATAGGTAACAATTACTCAGCTCTTACCAAGTAGATGCCAGGCCATAGGCTAAGCACTGATGTAAGCAGGACAGTATTTTCAGATAAAAACTGGCTTTTGCTTTCCCCCATGTGTCTGTCTTCCTCCGATGTCTCTAGCCCCGTGAATCAGGCTAATAGGACCAGCTTAGAACAAGGTCAGTGGAGTGGCCAAATGGATGTTTTAACTCACTGAAGAAATACTAGTCCTGAAAGTATTTCATGTTAAGGAATTAGAAGCTTGACTAAGACACAAGGCTTTTTAGGCCAAAAGCCTGACTTTGGCTTCTCACTATCCACGGGGCTGGAGGGCTCTGTGCCCAGAGGCTACACTGGACCCTCAGTGCAGGGAAGAACGATGCTGACAGACAGTTCTCACTCAAAGGAAAAATATTGAGCAGCCGGCAGGAGGAGGAAGAGAGCATGACTATGGCTTAGCAATCACTGCCAAAGTCACTGAGACGGGGTTCAGCACCCAACAGGCCCCGAATATCAGGGCAGACCAGACAAGAGAGACCAGAGAAGGCGGAGTGTCCTGGCATCCTGGAGTGTGGAGCAGGAGCCCCTAAGC
This sequence comes from Homo sapiens, assembly GCF_000001405.40. NCBI lineage: Eukaryota > Metazoa > Chordata > Mammalia > Primates > Hominidae > Homo > Homo sapiens. The sequence goes on along the minus strand of NC_000018.10, from coordinate 47,406,189 downwards.
CTGGTCTGCACCTCACCTGGCACCTGTTTGTCCAGGTAGCAAAGGTTGGAGGGGGTATCTGGGCTGACCGGCCTGAGGGTGCCTCACAGCACTCAGTGTGTGTTGGGAGAGGGGTGTACACACACCTGCGTGTGCTGGACAAGCCACACACACACAGATACACAAGCACACTGCTGCCCCTTCCTCTAGACTAAAATGGCTCTCAGAAAAAAAGGGAAAGAGAAGGAGAAGAGGGAGAATCCTGGATTTACTAGTATTTCCCCCAAAGAGACTGCATTTAAAATGGGCAGAGATGACTTTGAGTTGGCAGAATTACTTTCCTCCCTATGGATACAGAGCTCACGAGGTAAGCTAAATTTGGAAAAATGAAGTTAGTTTTGCCTACCTTCCCACTTACCCTCCCTGCCTCACCTTCTCCCTATCTCCCCAGGCCATGTGGACCCATGAATTCCCCTCAGCCCTCTCACTGCACCACTGGCCTCTGGCCAGGTTCTCCACTCCCACTGCCCTCATCCTCTGGGCTGGCAACTTTCTCCTAAGCCTGACCCTCCCCACGCACCTGGGCACCTGCAGTTCAGCAGGCGGGTGGAGAATATGCTGGACGCACAGAGAACAGCCTGGGTTCCAGATGGCTCCAACATCAACAGGCCACAAGACCACAGGCAGGTCATTAGACATCTCAAGCTCAGTCTCCGTGTCATAAAAATGGAAACACTGGTGATTAAAAAAACAAACAAACCAAAAAAAAAAAAAAAAAACCCTCTTCATGCACAGTTGCTGTGAGGCATGAAATGATGGAAGTATTGGATGAAGTCAGAGAGCTTGCCACCTTCCCAGACACGGTTCTAAGCACCTTCTATGAATTAGCTCATCCAGAGCTCACAAACCAATAATGTGGATTCTTCTAGTCACCTCAGTTCACAGACGGGGCAACGGAGTTGTAGAGAGTGTTCAGTGACTTGCTTCAGGCCACACAACTTCAGTTAGTGGCGGAGCCAAGGTCTGAGCCCAGGCTGTCAGCGGCTGTTGCTCACCCACCTGCCTCTCTCCAGGGAGCCTCCCATCTCCTCACATCCAGGAGACTCTGCTAGCCTCCTGCTAGCCTCCGCCAGCTGCCCCTACCCATCCTAGTGGTTTGCTAGTGGTAATGGGCCAGCTTGCATTTTTACCCCCAGGCACCCAGTAGAGCTCTATGGTCCTCCTGCATTGTAATGTAGACAAGCTGGGGGCATTGACACAAAGGACCAAAGCAGGAGAAGGGTCCCTGATGCCCCCATGTGTGACAGGTGTTAACCCTTTGGTTGCTGGATTGGGAAGAGATGGTGGATGAAGAAGTCACAGGCAGGAGAGGAACCAGAGCCATGGAGAGGGCACCCCAGGGGTTTGGGCAGCCAATATAAACTTACTTTAATGTCACAACCTGTAGGGCTCTCTGGGACTTGCCAGCTGATTATTGATACTGGAGCTTGTATCCAGTGAAGTGCAAAGCTGGGGCTAGAAGGCTGGCCTCCTGGTGCTTTTTACTATCCCAGGCAGCCCCTAAACTGGGCCCTTGAGAAACACGGCTTCACATGTGCACGGCATCTCTTCCTTAGTCATTGGCTCTCCTGTTGTCCTCAGCTGCCTCTCGACCTCACCCAACAGCTCACAGACCCAAGTGTGATTCTCCAGCAGCACAACTTCCAAGGGTGCAACCTGCCAGACACTCACCCTTCCTTGGCTGGACCCCAAATCCCTGGACCCACCCCTGCTCTTAGCAGCATGTTAGTAAATGACTCTCCAGGGGCCTGATAGAGAGCGTTTGCTGGTTCCCATGGTGTGAATACTCCCACCATGGCCAGTTTCAAGCTACTAATGTTTAAATGTTTGTTTGTTGTAAACAAACACCACTGTTTGTCGCATAGTTCATTGTATAGTTAACCATCAGCTCTTGTAAGCTGGCAGAGGCAGTTCCAACACACCCTCCCCAACCTGCTCAGAGACCAGCAGGCCTAGAGAGTAAGTGGGAGGCTCTGCGGGGGATGCCGTGCCCACCACTGGGTCAGGGCAGGACATGCTCTCTTCATTCCACTACCCACCTCCAAGCCCACATACCCTGAAGTTAAAGCAATGAAGAATCTTTATTCCCATTTCCCTACACCCATGGGTGGAGAGAACAAGCTGCCACTGATCTCAACCATTAGTAGATATAATTGTAGACATAGATATATAGACATAAATATTTCTTTTGTGTCTCATGTATTTTGCAACCTAATGAGAATAAAAAATGGATATATATAATTATAATTACTATATTTAAGATTATCCCTGATAGAAGCATCTAGATTATACTCCCCAACTGTGAGAAGGCTTCTGCTGCAGCCAGCATCATCTTCCAGGGTTCATGGTTTTCCCTCCCTTCTGGGGGGCTCCCATTCCCCAGGCCCATTAGCAGACAGTGAGCCCTCGTAAGCAGCCACTGACGCATACAAACAGTTGCTGGTGGGCCCACCGTTTGTTTGCTTTTCAAAAGCGTGAAGGTTGAGTTGAGTCATTTTGCACCCAATTACTTTGCAGTAAATTTGCCAGATGGTTCTTGTCCTCTGGTATTGATCCAGCATCTCACCTTGAGCTTGTTTATTGACACATCAAATTCAGGAGTCAGGCCCGCTCGATTGACCACTTCCCAATTAGGGCATTTATATGATGTCACCAAGGCTCCCTGTCATGTTCCGATGAGAGACATTTGTCCCCCCAACCACGGTCCCTGCCCAATCACCTGCAACTGAGTTGCCACTTTTCTCTGACCTTTCCAGAGACAGATGGCAGTCCATAAAATACATCATTAGCAAAGTGTCATTTCGTCTTGCTGCTTTTTCTTCACGTGAAAGGTGTTTCATTCAACAAAAGATTCTGCAGTTGCATTCACCCCAGCTCACACTACTTCTTTGCTGGAGGTGTAGATGTTGGAAACCAATGCTTCCTCTCTCCTCGGGGGTGTCCCTGAGCCCTCTTGGAATAGAGGCATTTGAGCAGTGACATAGAGCAGACTGCAGGTAGGGAAGAGCTGAGATGAGGGTGCAAGTATCAAAAACACATCAGATGTCAAAAAGACAGGGCCAGGGAGTGCAGGGATGCGTTCAGACCCAGGCAGTCTCCTGGGTGACTTTCCTCAGTCTGTGTTGGGTGGTTATCTCAGCATGTCCTGAGTGTGTGTGGTGGTGGGAAGATGATTGTGGAAAGGCACAGTGCGGTGGCCCCGGTGGGAGGATGATTGTGGAAAGGCACAGTGTGGTGGCCCCAGTGGGAGGATGATTGTGGAAAGGCACAGTGCGGTGGCCCCAGGTGGGAGGATGATTGTGGAAAGGCACAGTGCGGTGGCCCCGGTGGGAGGATGACTGTGGAAAGGCACAGTGTGGTGGCCCTGGGTAGAAGGATGATTGTGGAAAGGCACAGTGTGGTGGCCCCGGGTGGGAAGATGATTGTGGAAAGGCACAGTGCGGTGGCCCCGGCTGGGAAGATGACTGTGGAAAGGCACAGTGCGGTGGCCCCGGCTGGGAGGATGATTGTGGAAAGGCACAGTGCGGTGGCCCCGGGTGGGAGGATGATTGTGGAAAGTCACAGTGCGGTGGCCCCGGGTGGGAGGATGATTGTGGAAAGTCACAGTGCGGTGGCCCCGGGTGGGAGGATGATTGTGGAAAGGCACAGTGTGGTGGCCCTGGGTGGGAGGGTGATTTTGGAAAGGCACAGTGTGGTGGCCCTGGGTGGGAGGATGATTGTCGAAAGGCACAGTGTGGTGGCCCTGGGTGGGAGGGTGATTTTGGAAAGGCACAGTGCGGTGGCCCCGGGTGGGAGGATGATTGTGGAAAGGCACAGTGCGGTGGCCCCGGTGGGAGGATGACTGTGGAAAGGCACAGTGTGGTGGCCCTGGGTGGGAGGGTGATTTTGGAAAGGCACAGTGTGGTGGCCCCAGTGGGAGGATGACTGTGGAAAGGCACAGTGTGGTGGCCCCGGGTGGGAAGATGATTGTGGAAAGGCACAGTGCGGTGGCCCCGGGTGGGAAGATGATTGTGGAAAGTCACAGTGCGGTGGCCCCGGGTGGGAAGATGATTGTGGAAAGTCACAGTGCGGTGGCCCCGGGTGGGAGGATGATTGTGGAAAGGCACAGTGCGGTGGCCCCGGGTGGGAAGATGATTGTGGAAAGTCACAGTGCGGTGGCCCCGGGTGGGAGGATGATTGTGGAAAGGCACAGTGTGGTGGCCCTGGGTGGGAGGATGATTGTGAAAAGGCACAGTGCAGTGGCCCCGGGTGGGAAGATGATTGTGGAAAGGCACAGTGCGGTGGCCCCGGGTGGGAGGATGATTGTGGAAAGGCACAGTGTGGTGGCCCCAGTGGGAGGATGATTGTGGAAAGGCACAGTGTGGTGGCGCTGGGTGGGAGGATGATTGTGGAAAGGCACAGTGCGGTGGCCCCGGGTGGGAGGATGGTTGTGGAAAGGCACAGTGCGGTGGCCCCGGGTGGGAGGATGATTGTGGAAAGTCACAGTGCGGTGGCCCCGGGTGGGAGGATGATTGCGGAAAGGCACAGTGTGGTGGCCCCAGTGGGAGGATGATTGTGGAAAGGCACAGTGTGGTGGCCCTGGGTGGGAGGATGATTGTGAAAAGGCAGTGTGGTGGCCCCGGTGGGAGGATGATTGTGGAAAGGCACAGTGCGGTGGCCCTGGGTGGGAGGATGATTGTGGAAAGGCACAGTGTGGTGGCCCCGGGTGGGAGGATGGTTGTGGAAAGACAAAGTGTGGTAGCCCTGGGTGGGAGGATGATTGTGGAAAGGCACAGTGTGGTGGCCCCAATGGGAGGATGGTTGTGGAAAGGCACAGTGTGGTAGCCCTGGGTGGGAGGATGGTTGTGGAAAGGCACAGTGTGGTGGCACTGGGTGGGAGGATGATTGTGGAAAGGCACAGTGTGGTGGCCCTGGGTGGGAGGGTGATTGTGGAAAGGCACAGTGCGGTGGCCCCGGTGGGAGGATGACTGTGGAAAGGCACAGTGTGGTGGCCCTGGGTAGAAGGATGATTGTGGAGAGGCACAGTGTGGTGGCCCCGGGTGGGAAGATGATTGTGGAAAGGCACAGTGTGGTGGCCCCAGTGGGAGGATGATTGTGGAAAGGCACAGTGTGGTGGACCCAGTGGGAGGATGATTGTGGAAAGGCACAGTGTGGTGGCCCTGGGTGGGAGGATGATTGTGGAAAGGCACAGTGTGGTGGCCCCGGGTGGGAGGATGGTTGTGGAAAGACAAAGTGTGGTAGCCCTGGGTGGGAGGATGATTGTGGAAAGGCACAGTGTGGTGGCCCCAATGGGAGGATGGTTGTGGAAAGGCACAGTGTGGTAGCCCTGGGTGGGAGGATGGTTGTGGAAAGGCACAGTGTGGTGGCACTGGGTGGGAGGATGATTGTGGAAAGGCACAGTGTGGTGGCCCTGGGTGGGAGGGTGATTGTGGAAAGGCACAGTGTGGTGGCCCTGGGTGGGAGGATGATTGTGGAAAGTCACAGTGTGGTGGCCCCGGGTGGGAGGATGACTGTGGAAAGGCACAGTGTGATGGCCCTGGGTGGGAAGATGATTGTGGAAAGGCACAGTGTGGTGGCCCCGGGTGGGAGGATGATTGTGGGAAGGCACAGTGTGGTGGCCTCGGGTGGGAAGATGACTGTGGAAAGGCACAGTGTGGTGGCCCTGGGTGGGAGGATGATTGTGGAAAGGCACAGTGCTGCTGAATGCATGCTGTTGGGACTGCACTCAAGATTCAGCCCTTCACACAGTTGGGTAGCATTGTTACCCCATTTCAAGGAAAAACTCACAAGTGAAGGATGGGGTTGGGCATAGGCTTCCTCCTTCCTAACAGAAGGCTAGAAACAGCTAGAATGTGGGGTCCACTAGGGCAGTTTTCTTACCATTGTATCCCTAGGACTATCAAGCCTGGCCCAGAGAAGGCTCCCCCAAAAATGTCTGTGGAATATTGACTGAGAGCAGTTCAATTCAACAGAGAATACTACATGTTAAACAAGAATGTCAAATATTCTTTCCACCAGCATCAGTAATTGGCATGGACTTTTGGTGGTTATTCATATAATATAGCTAAGAAATAGTCCAGTCTAGGCCACTCTTGCTGGTAGGAAGCAGTGCCAGGACTGGAACCCAGTCTCTGGATGGCAGGTCAGACCCACTTTGCTATAGTGTGTTTGGGGAATTATACAGACAGCTGATGGTCCCATGAGTGTGGCGTAAGACAGTCTCCTTGCCTTTTTCAAGTCAATGCAGACAGAACATGAAACTGACCCATGCTGAGGTAGGGGGAGGTTCCTAGAGGTCAGAGGTGCCCAACCTGGGGATCTTGCCTGCCACAGAGCCAACTTGGCTGCCCAGATGGCTGAAAGGGTCAATAGCTCAGCAAACCATCACCCAGTCATGGCACTCAGATGGGAAAGTCTGGTGCATGAAGACAATGTGGAATTGGGAGAACTTGACTCCAACCCAGACACTCCAACTTGCACTGTGGCCATGCAAGAGCAAGTGGCGGTCAGAGCTGTCCCTGGGGTGACTCCCCTGCCCTTCCACTGGCCACTCCCACTTGCTCTCATTGTCTTCTCAAGAAGCCACCAAGTCTCAGGTTAGAATGGGGTCTAAAGAAGCCACTCACAGCATTCTACATCTTGAAAAACAGGGTTGCCCTTCTTAAAGGCCTATGGCAATGATCTCCAATTTTGTCCTCCAAAATTAAGTGTCTCTGATAAATCACTCAACATGGAGGTCCATTCTTTATCTTACTTTCATCTGTCTTGCCATAATCTGTGTCTGATCCAATTTCGAGCAATTTATGTGCTCCTGAGAATGGAGAATGGGTGAGCAGGGTCTTTACTGATCCTAGGCAACCAGGAATTATGGTGGGAGAGAATATTTTAACATACAATCAGCCCCTCACTAGAAGGCCCACTTTGGTTGAAACACATCAATTCAATATGTCTTTTTTTTTCTTTTAGCATGCCTGTTAAAAGAGGAACACACAAATTGCATAGGGCATGGTATCTGCCCACAGGAGGGCTTAGTGTCTACTTAGGAAAATGAGGAACACCCAGGAAATAAAAAAGAAGAGTCACAGTCAAAACAGGGTGAAAGAGACTGTCATGAGAGATCATTATTTCACTTTATCCTCTTCATTCATCAGAAGAGATCTATGTCCATCCAAATCTTTGGCCCAGTTTAATGCAATTCAATACAATAAACGCTTTATTGGGCACCTGCCATGTCCCATGCCTGCAAGGGGTGCACATCCAAGTTATACATCGTGCCTGCCCCTTATCATTGAGGAATTAGTCTGTATTCAGCACTCAACACTTACTCTGGGCCATGCACTGTGCTGTGTGCTGGGAGCTCAGCCTTGAGTGGGAGACCCTTGAGCCAATGCCTGGGAGCTCATGGTCTAGCAGGAAGCAGACAGGTGAGCAGATAAATTAGCACAGATGGAGACTGCAGTGCAAGGGGGAGTGGGGATACCTGGTGCAGGCTGTAGGGAGAGGGGTAATCAAGGCAGATTTGTCTAAGCTGTGACCCGAAGGGTGCGGGAGTGGTGAGCCAGGCCAAGGGAAGGCATTCCAGGTAGGCAGCGTGGCCCACAGATAAGCAGGTTGAACAATGTGTCCTGGTTTGCCCAGGACTTTCTTCTTTGTAGCACTCAAAGTTCCACATTCTAGGAAAGCCCTAAGTACCAGGCAATCGAGGATGATTGATCACCATCAAGAGAAAGTGTGGTATATTCTGAAAACTGAAATTGGTTCAAGTTTAAGACAAGTGTATAAGAGAGTTATCAAAGAATCTTAGATTTTTGTCTACTTGAAAGTTGATCCTAAGGAAGTGCAGACCTTGGTTGCCACCTAAGTTCAGATGCTTTAACTTTTTTAAAGCTATGCTATTTAAATTTTTTAATTAATATTCTCTCTAGCTCAAATATGCCTAAAGCTTAAACAGGGGCTTTGGGAAGCAGACGGGTAATGTAAATGAGTGGCTGCCAGCCAGGTGAGGACAGTGGCCACAGGAGGCTGCACATCCTGCCCCAAGGCGGCAGTCCCTACTCAGCACCAGCTGGCTGTCTGCTGGAGGGAATGTTGCTAGATATCCTGATATTTCAAAAGAAGCCCCAAATCGGAATTTTTATGGGCAGGCTCCTACTGTTAAAATATTTGTGACGAATTCAAGATTTTTAAAAAGGCACTGCCAAACTGAACACTACAGCTGCTAGTTTTCTCCTCTCACGTTACCATTCTTAGTACCTGGTCAATGGAACTATCGCCCCCTTATGGCAGCATAGCCAAATTGCAGGATATTCTCTGAGGGGTAACACCTCTGGAATCAGTGTACTCCAGGGCAAAAGGGTAATCGATGAACCCCTTAACATGGAAAATAGTTGCCCGGGGAGCAGGGTTGGGGCCAAGAAAAGAACGAAGGGCTGAGTTGAAAGCATCAAAAGTCAAGATTTGACTATGTCCCAGTTGGGGCAAGACTGGCCCAGGCTCCATGACAGAGAATCAAAGTCAGCCAGCAATTGATCTTGGGTTGAGGCCTTCAATATGACATCTCAGCTTGAAATTGGCTGTCTTGCTGGCTGATTTATAAAACTTCAAAGAAAAATCCTCAGAGCAGAAATCTTGGCCCACCCTTAACCAAGGCAGCCTTCATCCCATCAGCAGCAAGGCCAGGACCCAGGAGGAGCTGCCATGTTGGTCTGTGCATCTGCAGGTCTAAGTCCATTCTGATTCCAATGCAGCTGGAGGCAAAGTTAAGCTGCCCTGAGCTCTTGTCTCTGCCTTAAGGACTAAACATTTGTAATAGAGTAGAAAGCTCTGCACCTGAATTTTCTGAACCTTATGTCAACAGGTTCCCCTAACCAGCCGCCCTGGCTCCAGATCTATTCTTCATTTTCTCTACAGCTGTGGGTCTTTCTATCTGCCTCCTTTTCACTGATTGTCAAGAGACTTCAATCTCTGACTAGGTAGAGTAGGCATCCACCTCTATGTTAAGAGATCAGGACTATACCCTGCTGTCAGTTTTTCCCCATGTGTTCCCTGAAGTCTCTATTCCTTAGCAGGAGGGGATGTCTTCAATTGCACCGTGCAAAATGAAATTTAAAATGCAAACAGGAAATAGACACATGCACACACACACACATGCACGTGCACCCACACCCAGTGCACACATTGTACACATATGCACACACTAGACTAGGAGTCAGGAGTCCTAGGCTCCCTTTCCAGCCTGCCACTGACTTTCTGTATATAGTTTGGAGGTAGATTTCTCCTCTCTGCACCTCAATTTTCTTTTCTGTCAAATAAAAGGGAATGGGGGTAAATTCCATATCCTCAGTTGTCCCTCCATGATTTTCTATAAAGTCATGTTATGATGCAAGCTAACTGGTAGAAGGCCTTTCCATGAGATTGGGATTACATTAAGCAGATAAGGACATAGGGCGCAGTGGGCAGCTGAAAGGAGAGTGGGAGTCCAGTGAGGGGGAAACGGGCCTGGGCAAGGGTGGCAGACCAAGGGTGCCAGAGATCACCATCTCCAACTTCTCTTCTGCTCAAGGCTGGCACCGGCTGCTAGGCATCTGTCATATTTGTCTCCTCGTGGAATTCTATATGTGACCCTACCCTCTTAGAGTCCTCTTTCTGTGCCTCCTACTTCCCTCCCCTCATAGTGAATGAGGTCCCCTATATGCAAAGCCCTGTGTCATGTGCCAGGCATATATGGGGTCCCCTATATGCAAAGCCCTGTGTCATGTGCCAGGCATATATGGGGTCCCCTATATGCAAAGCCTGGTGTCACATGCCAGGCAAGGGATCTTTCTGCCAGTTTCTCCCCCTGCTTTGGAATGTCTCCGATCACCCCTCATGAGGAGATTGAGGTTCTAGGAAGCTGTTGTCAGATGCAAGGCAGGAAAAGATTTCCTACCAGAGAGGTAGGATGGCACAGTGGCTAAGAGTAAGGCTTGGGCCGTGTGTGGTGGTTCACACCTGTAAGCCCAGCACATTTTGGGAGGCCAAGGCAAGAGGATCACTTAAGCCCAAGAGTTCAAGACCAACCTGGGCAACACAGCAAGACCCCATCTGAATAAAACTTTTTTTTTTTAAATTAGCTGAGCACGCTGATGCTGGCTGCTAGCCTATAGTCCTAGCTACTCAAGTGGCTGAGGTGAGAGGATTGCTTGAGCCCAGGAGTTCAAGGCTGCAGCCAGCCATGATCACACCACTGCACTCAAGCCTGGGCAACAGAGCAAAACTCTGTCTCTGAAAAAAAAAAAAAAAAAAAAAAAGAGTGAGGCTTTTGATGCCACACAGTCCCTACATTTAAGCCTCAACTCTATTCCTTGAGCAGATTAATCTCTCTAGGCCTCAGTTTTTTTATCTGAAAAATGGGAACAATAATACTCATCTATCCTATAGGGTTGCTGTAAGAAATAAAATAATCAGGCATGACAGAGACTTTCAGTTGCATATCCAGTCTCTCCTACCTTTCTAATGGAGCCCCAATTTTGTTGGGAGTTCATTAAACCCAGCTAAACAAATTATATTTTCCAGCCTCACTGCAGCCTGGATTGCCAGAAGGTAGTGTCTTGCCCAAGAGATGTAACTGGCAGCCCCATGGGGAGGAAATATTTGCTTGCCTGATACAGGTCTTATCCTTTTTAACTGACTTTGCCCTTCCTCCTGCTGGGAACACAGATGATGGCTGGAGCTGCAGCCATTTTTCAACGATGAGGGAAAGGCCAAGGCAGTAGAGAAAGGCCAATAGTAGAGATCTCACCTATAGCTCACATAAACAGCCACCTACACCCAGACTTCCTGTTCATAACCACTATTTCATTTTAGCCACTCTTATTTGGATTTTCTGTTTTATCTATCTAAACTTAATCTTCAGTTGGCTCAAGTGTTTATGTCATGCACTCAGTAAGCACTTAATACCTTTTTTCCACTGCATGGGATGGATCCCTGGTGGCCCATTGTAAGGTGCCCCATGGAGGGAGAAACACCATACAGGACTTTAGCCCAACGTAGTAGGTCTAGGACTTTGCCACTCTTCTGCTGCATGGGCTTCAGTGGATCCTTTAGCCTCTTGGATCTTCAGTTTATTCATTTGGGAAGACGTAATAAGTTCCTTCCACCTCTGGCCATCCATAGATCCATGACAGTCTCCCAAGGACATCCAGGTCCACAATATGGCTCCATATGTTCCATGCTCCATGCCCCAGACTCTCCTCTAATCCCTCCATCTCTACCCTGCAAAGTTTCCTGAAATCCAGAGAATTTGCCAAAGAAAGGAACTGTTTAAATCAAAGGCCACACTGTCTTAGTTAATTGTCACCAAAGAATACCAAGAGTAACATAAAACCCAATGGAATCAATAAGTCACTAAATAATTTTGGTAACATTTCACATTAAGGTAGCATGAATACTTTATTAAGAGCTGGTAAGTAAATTTCCCTTTTTCTTAAATTATGCTAGAATTTGCAGAAGCATAAATAACTGCTTGGGCTGCTGCTCCGAAGTGCTTCCTCGCAAGTTGCAACAACATCATCTATTAACTAGTTTACAATCATTCCGACAGGTCTCTGTGTGTCTCGGAATAATTTACTTTGCAAAGCAACTTTGATGAATCATTTATTCATCATTATTATTTATAAATGCTACTTTAATTTAGCCCCATTTCCTTTGCTCCCTCGCAGCATATTGACCAAAAATAGGAATGCTTAGGGCAGAACTTCTGCTTGGCTTTGTGGTGTTACTTTAAACAAAAGAGTGCCATTGAAGCACATGGCTTCTCCACCTACATTATAAACGCACTCTCCATCCTTCCCAGTCCTGAGCATCACGGTTTCTCCACCTACCTACCTGCCTGGTGCTATGCATATGTTGGGTAAGTGAAGGAAGGACAGGGCCCCCACTCCACACACCTGGGACAGGGGAGAAAGAGAATTAATGTTTAATGAAGACCCACTCTGTTCCAGGTGCCTCAGCAAATAGTTATTGAGGGTTTCGCATGTACCAGACACCATTTAAGCAACCTTGCCTGTATCATTCACTCAACTTTTTCAATGATAATTTCCTTTTTGAGACAGAGTTTCACTCTGTTGCCCAGGCTGGAGTGCAGTGGCGCAATCTTGGCTCACTGCAACCTCTGCCTGAGCCTTCCAAGTAGCTGGGACTAAAGGCACCTAACACCATGTCCGGCTAATTTTTGTATTTTTAGTAGAGACAGGGTTTCACCATATTGGCCAGGCTGGCCTCGAACTCCTGACCTTGTGATCCGCCTGCCTTGCCTCCCAAAGTGCTGGGATTACAGGTGTGAGCCACTGCGCCCGGCCCATTGATAATTTCTAAAACTTATATAGCACTTTTAAGATGCCAGTATGTGCTCTAAGTGGTTTGTCTATATTAATTCAATCATTACAATAACCCTGCATAACGGTACTATTATGCTCCTCATTGTAAAGATGCTGGAAATGAAGCACAGAGAGGTTAAGTGAATTACCCAAGGCCACAGAGCTAGGAAATGACAGAGCTGAGATTCAGATCCAGATAGTCTCATTTCGAAGGCTACACCCTTAACCACCATCTGCCTCTTGATAATCTCATGAGCTAAGCACTATTTTTCATCCATTTTACAGAGGATAAACCTGCAACATAAAAAGAGTCAGTGATGTTTCCAAATTTTCAAAGCTAAAGAGTAGCAGAACAAGGATTACCAGATGGTTTGACTGCTCTTAGCCACAACACATAATGCTTTATATATAATCTCCCCACGGTTTATAAATTAGGTGCTATTCCTATCTCACAGGTAAGGAAATGGAACATGAGAGGTGATGTAATTTGCCAAAGGGTCACATGGTTATTAAGTGTCAGGACTGAGATTTAAACCCCAATTTACCTAGCTATTTTTTTTAACTTTTATTTTAGGTTCGGGGGTACATGTGCAGGTTTGTTATATAGGTAAACTCAAATGGGGTGGGGTTGTTGTACAGATTATTTCACCAACCAGGTACTAAGCATAGTACCCAATATTTATTTTTCTGATCGTCTCCCTCCACCCATTCCCTCCCTCAGGTAGGTCTCAGTGTCTGTTGCTCCCCTCTGTGTGTCCATTTGTTCTCATTATTAGTGGTATTTAGTTTTCTGTACCTGAGTTATTTTGCTAAGGATAATGTCCTTAATCACAGCATAATAGGAAGAGAAGAACACCTTTCATTTCAGGAAGGTTTGGTTGAGGACTGCACTCCATTTTCCTCATTTCTTTCACTCAAGTCTCAGGTGCCAGCCCAAGTGCTCAAAGCCCTGACAGCCTCCAACATCTCTGCCCTCATGGAGGGGAACAAGGCAAAGGAGGCTTCTGGATACTGTGGGGAGGATGAAACAGGAACCAGGGACACCCCAATTGGAGAACTTCTTGATGTGGCTCCCTTCACACATGTCCACCTCCCATCTCCCCAGGGCTCTATCCCAGCCACCACTTTCTCCAGACCCCAAGGACGGAATGAAAGCAAACTATTTTGATACACAGAGAAAGCCTTTTGGGTGAATTTCAGCTGGAAAATAAGGAATTAGAAAATTAGATGAATATTTAAACCAACAGGGGTCTGAGGCCAAGGAAGACAGACCCCCAGAAGACTGAGGAATCTTCTTAAAGAATCTTGAGGACTTTAAATGATATAATAAAATTCAACACTGATGAAAGAGAATGAGCTGAAAGTCTTTGCAAGGTCCTTCCAGCTCTCTATGTTTCAAGGACAGTTGGCTTTAATAAGAAGTTGCACTAAAAATGTTAAAATTGAGTCCTTGAATGAAGCATGCTTTCAAGAGCAAGAGTGCATACTGACACTCCCAGGACCAGCCACGCTGACCTCCGTAATGTGCTACTTATCTGAGGAGTGACCTTTCAGTGCATTCTCTGATTGCACAGAAGAGAAAAGGAAAAGGAAAATCTTAGAAACTTTCTTCTGAGCTGGACTCTTCCTTAGTACAATGTTGCTGTATTAGTCTGTTCTCAAACTGCTACAAAGAAATACCTGAGGTTGAGTAATTTATTAAAAAAAAAAAAAAAAAAAAAGGTTTAATTGGTTCACAGTTCCACAGGCTCTACAGGAAGCATGATGCTGGTATCTGCTCAGCTTCTGGGGAGTCCTCAAGAAACTCAATCACAGCAGAAGGCAAAGGGTAAGCAGCACCTCACATGGTTGGAGCAGGAGGAAGGGAGAGAGCAGGCTGGTGCTACACTCTTTTAAAACAACCAGATCTCATGATATCATGAGAACAGCACTGGGAGGGTGGTGCTGAACCATTAATGAGAAACCGCCCCTATTATCCAATCACCTCCCACCAGGCCCCACCTCCAGCATTGGGGATTACATTTCAATATGAGAGTTGGGTGGGAACACATATCCAAACCATATCAGTTGCTCATGCTATCAAAAGAAAACATTAGGCCCCATACAAAACCTAGAGCTGATTTACAGTCCTTGGATTCTAAAACAAGACGTTTTTGTTAGTTACTGAAAAATGAAGAGGCACAAATGAAACGGAGACTCTTGATATGCACGAGGTATTGGACTAAGGGGGAAAGTCCAAGCAGACAAGGAGGCCAAGAATGAGATGTTGGACACAGGAAAGTCCTCTTTTTTTTTTTTTTTAAATTGAGACAGAGTCTCACTCGATCACCCAGGCTCAAGTAAGTGGTGCAATCTCGGCTCACTGCAACCTCCGCCTCCCAGTTTCAAGTGATTCTCCCGCCTCAGCCTCCTGAGTAGCTGGGATTACAGGAGCCCGCCACCACATCTGGCTAATTTTTTTTTATTTTTAGTAGAGACAGGGTTTCACCATGTTGGCCAGACTGGTCTCAAACTGACCTCAAGTGATCCACCCACCTCGGCCTCCCAAAGTGCTGGGATTACAGGTGTGAGCCACCACACCTGACCAGGAAGGTCTTTTAGAGCTCCTCAAATTATTAAGTCAACACTGCACTTAAATGACTGCTAAATCCAATACAGACTGACGACATCTGCCCCATGGAAAGCTCTGGTGCAGCCCCAACTTTTCCATCCATTTCATCCATTTAACAAATATGATCTAGACAAACACCAACTGTCTCATGCTGTGGTCACACTGAGGACAAAGGCATGAACAAGACATGGTCCTGTCCCCAAGGAGCTAAGTAAAAGATAGCTGATTATACACAGATGGAAACCACGAAGTTTTATTACAGCTTAGAAACACATACACTAATTCCCCTGAAGTAAGGGTTGTTCTGGGAGGTAGGGGGATGCCCTGATCCTAAGCCAGAGTCAGGCAGATGCCATCTAGACACAGTAGGCTGGATGCCCTAAATCACACAGTGGCCCCCAAGCCTGCATCTTAGGGTCCCCAGGTCCAGCCCCCGAGTCCCTCAGACTGAGTGGTTTGCAGTGCCTACCACTTTCACATGCTAACATCATTTCCTGCAGCCGTGCAAATAAAAGTGGACAGCAAGCCAGTGCCCTTCTGTTTGCTGCTATTGGATTTATGACATGTCAAGTTTAAATAGCACATGCAAGGCTCACAATGGAGGCAACACAGAATTCATTTTCAAGCCCATCAAGGCTCTGAGGCCACCTCCTTCTCCCTGCTGTGGCTGGGAGTAAAATTTCATGAAATCCTAATACCAAGAAAAGGCCTCTCTGGATTTCCACATTCAACTTTGCTTCTGTCTCTATCTCCTTTCTTTTTTCCCTCAAGTCCCAAAAAAATACCAAAATAGCATAAATGCCTCATACCAGTACCCAATAGATACCAATTAATCTTTGTGCAAGTTTGCTTCTGCTGTGCATAAACCCTAATCTTATTCCCAGGTTGAATTCTTAATCCCTTACAACCAACCACCATCGCGTCACTGCTGCCCAGCTGAGGTAACTAGCTCTAATTTAGGGCTGCTCTGCCTACCTTTTGTGCTTTTCTTTATTTGCATGTGAGAACCTTCCCCTCCCTACCCCGCCTGCCATCTTCCCTTCCCCCTAACTAGCAAATTAAACTGTGCAGTTGCCCCCAGCTCTTCCCAATAAAGGAGGCAACTTGGACTTGACCCATTAAAGGAGAAAGCCCGGAAAGACTTGCTACAGTATCCAGCAAGTCTCATTTTGATAATTGACTGGTAGGAGAAGCATTTGGGTTGCAAAGCAACCTTAGTAGTCAGGTTTCCATTTTGCAGCAAAACCCCCAAATTAAAAATCACCTCCAGGGGATAATTCTTTTGGAAATAATATGAGCTGGGCTATTTCTGTTTTTGTCAGGCACACTGTCACTCCAGGCTGGTGTCTCACATGTTATTCTGGCTGCATGAGAGAGGCCCAGAATAATAGCACTGGTAACAGAAATGATGGCAAAAATGGGAAGGTCAATTTACAAACATAAAACAAGGAGAAAGCCATACTCCTCCACAAAAAGTTGGTGTCCACTTTAGACAAGGGAAAATTACAAAATAGAGCCCCTAAATACACATGGTTTAGTCAATGACAAGGCAGGCAGCATTTGGGATGCCGTGTTTGGCTGTGGTCAAATCTGAGTTAGGCTAGAAACACCCAGGAAGCAGGGGCCTTTTAAAAACGAACAAATGTCATTTGGTTGACTAATTATTTTATGTTCATGTCACAGTGAACTGTGGCTGAGTACCTTAGATTTCTGCCTTTGCTCATGATGTTTCTTCTGAATATTACACCTTCTCCACCCTTGGCAAATGAATCACACTTCCTCACTCTTAAAGGCTCAAGTGTCTCCTCTATCAGAAAGCCTTCCTGATTTTTTAGCAGATTTTATCTCCTCCTGTCTCCCATTACATACTGTTTAATAGCACGTTCATACCATTACTGGTTGACTTTTCAGTCTCTCTCACTACACTTTAAGCTCCTTGAGAGCAGGAAACACATCTTACTCCTCTCTTTTAATCTCTAGCAGCTGACACAGTGCCAGGAACATGATAGGTATTCAGTAAATGTTTGTTGAATGAAGGGATATGTCTAAATATAGAAACCTATATGAGATGAAACAAAGAGCTGAATTTAAAAGAACTGATTATTATAGAATCAATCTGTTGAATTAACTGATTTATTTTTAGCAATGTCTTCCTGAGTGCCTGCCAGATATTCGGCCTTGCACTAAGTAAGTACATAGAGGTGGCAGGAGAAAAGGACAGAATCCCCACTTTCAAGACATTTATAATCATATTTATGGATTTCTATATTAGGATAGTAGAAAATAGTCCAAGATAAAATTTTGTAACACAGTAGTATCGTTGTGTGGGCGCACTGGGTTGGGAGTTAAGAAAACTTTGTTCCCTGTCACAATCTCACCACAAAGTCATTGTGTGACCGTAAGCAAGTCCCTCCACCTCTCTGGACCTCTGTTTTGTCATATGTAATGTCAAAGAGTTGAAACAGTACTGAGACAATTGGCCAGTCAAATGGAAGAAGATGAAATTAAATTTCTGCTGCATATCATACAGAAAAATAAATTCCACGTGAACACCTAAATGTAAAATAGCAAAACTCTAAAAGCTTTCCAAAAAAAGAAAGAAAAACTATAGAAGTATATCTGTATGGGTTTAGTTTAGGAAGAACTTTCTTAACAAAATGTGAAAAGCAAAAACCATAAAGGAAACATCTGACAAACTGAAGCACCTTAAAACCCACACACACACACCCTAACAAAGTGAAAAATGAAGCTACGACCTGGAAGAAGATATCTACAGCCCTCATGATGAAAAATGAAAGAGTAGCCAGAATATCTAAGAATTTTACAAATATATTAGAAAGACAAATACATTAAATACATTAAATGCAATCCACAAAAGAGGAGAATGATTGACAAACTTATGAGATGTTCAACCTCATTAATAATTAGAGAGGCCTCAATTTAAAATGGCAATAAGATACCAGTTTATACCCAGCAGATTAGAAAAAATTGAAAAGCCTTATAATACCTAGTTTTATCCAAGGTGTAATGGCATGGAGACTCTCACATGCTTCAAATAGGTATGTAAATGGACACAGCTATTTGAACAATAACTGGTAAAGCTGAAACTGTTAATATCTCATGACTCAGCAATTTCTCTCTCTATACAAGGAGATCTAGACAAATATATTCCTTGCAGCATCATTTGTTACAATCAGACATTGATAATTCTTGTTGTCAACTGGATCACCAGTAGACTGGAAAAGCATAGTATAGTAACATAGCATACTATATGACACTATAGTATAGTACTGCTATAGTATAGTATAGGAGTATAATCATACAATGGAACCCTATACAGCAGTAAAAACTAATTCACTAGATCTACAAGTAACACCACAGTTAATCTCAAAAATGTAATACTGAGGAAAAGCAGAAAGTTGGAGGATTATGTGAACTGGATGGTGGCATTCACGTAAAATTCACACAAAGCAACCCTACATTGTTATGGATGAAAACTTATCAATGTGGCAAAGTATAAAAACTGGGCAGGAAAGATGCTCTCTGAATTCAAAATTGGAGTTACCTCCAGAAAGGAGAAAATGGTGGCAGTGTGGAGTGGGAAACAAAGGAAGCCTCAATTATATTACGTTTCATTTAGTAAAATGAGTAGCAAATAAAACATCCTGTCACACCTCAGTAGTGGACATATGAGTGTCTTCTATATTATCCCCTGTACTGTCATAATTTCAAGTAAAATATTTCATTTTTTAAAGGGTGAAAAGAATATAGACCAAAACATTTATCAGAATTATCTCTGGAGGAGGTAGGATTACGAGTAGTTGTGTTTATTTATTTATTTTGCTTACCTTATGTTTTCTGAGCTTTCTCTAATGTGAGTTGTCACTTTTGAAGAAAAGTACAATAAAGCTTGCTTGCGAAAAGAAAACAACATGAGAGTGTTTGAAGTACACTGTTTTAAAGAACCTTTCTGACATTTAAATTCCATGATTAGGACTGGCTGTCAGGACAAATATGGGCTCTGCCCTTAGCCAACAGTTGTTCTAGGTCCCTGTGAGAAACTTGCAGAGACAACACCAGCCAATGTCTAAACAAATACAAATGGGTTTTGGTGTCTGCTCCAGGCAGTCAGAAGACTAGACAGCAGAACTGCAGAATGACTGCAAGGCCTCAGGACGAGATATCTGCTGCATATCATATGGAAAAATAAATTCCATGTGGATTAAACACCTAAATGTAAAATAGCAAAACTCTAAAACCTTTCCAAAAAATAAAAAATAAAACCTAGCAGGAACACCACCAGCCAAGAGCTAAACAGAGCAAGCTGCAATGCCATCTTGGGCTGGGGTCAAGTACTAGAAAACCATTAAAAAGAGTCTGGGATTGGGCTCTTTTTTGGTTCCATATGAATTTTGGAATAGTTTTTATTTCTGTGAAAAATGATGCTGGTAATTAGATAGGAATAGTGTTGAATCTGTAGATCACCCTGGGCAGTATGGTCATTTTTATGATATTGATTCTTCCAATCCATGAGCATGGGATGTGTTTCCATTTGTTTGTGTCATCTATGATTTCTTTCAATAGTGTTTTGTAATTCTCCTTGTAGAGATCTTTCACCTCTTTAGTTAGACATATTCCTAGGTATTTTAGTTTTGGTCGCTATTGTAAATGTGATTGCCTTCTTGGTTGGCTCTCAGCTTGAACATTATTGGTGTATAGAAATGCTACTGATTTTTATACATTGACCTTGTATTCTAAAAATTTACTGAAGTCGTTTATCAATTCCAGGAGCTTTTTGATGGAGCCTTTATGGTTTTCTAGGTATAGAATCATATCATCAGCAAAGAGAGATAGTTGACTTCTTCTTTTCCTATTTAGGTGCCTTTTATTTCCTTCTCTTGCCTAATTGCTCTGGCTAAGACTTTCAATACCATGTTGAATAGGATTGGTGAGAGTGGGCATCTATGTCTTGTTCCAGTTCTCAAGGGGAATGCTTCCAGCTTTTGCCCATTCAGTATGATATTGGCTTTGGATTTATCATAGATAGCTCTCACTATTTAGAGGTATGTTCCTTGATGCCTAGTTTGTTGAGAGTTTTTATCATGAATGGACGTTGGATTTTATTGAAGGCTTATACTGTGTATATTAAGATGATAATATGGTTTTTATTTTTAATTCTGAGAACAAGCCTGAAGGCATCATACTATCTGACTTCAAACTATACTATAAAGCTACAATAACCAAAACAGCATGGTACTAGTATAAGAAGAGACACATAGGCCAATGGAACAGAATAGAGAACCAAGGCATAAGGCTCCACACCTATAGCCATCTGCTCTTCAACAAGGTCAACAAAAATAAGCAATGGTGAAAGGACTCCCTATTCCATCAATGCTGCTGGAATAGCTGGCTAGCTATATGCAGAAGAATGAAACTGGACCGCTACATATCACCATATACAAAATTAACTCAAGATGAATTAAATATTGGAATATAAGACCACAGACTGTAAGAATCCTAGAAGAAAACCTAGGAAACACCATTCTGTACCTCAGCCTTGGGAAATAATTTCTGACTAAGTCCTCAAAAGCAATTGCAACAAAAATAAAAATTGACAAGCTGGACCTAATTAAACTAAAGAACTTTCTGCACAGCAAAAGAAACTATCAACAGAGTAAACAGACAACCTACAAAATGGGAGAAAATATTCACAAACTATGTATCTGACAGAGGCCTAATATCCAGAATCTGTAAGGAACTTAAACAATTCAAGAAGCAAAAACAAACTCCATTAAAAAGTGAACAGAAGACATGAACAGACACTTCCCAAAAAAAGACATACAAGGGCCCAGCAAACATATGAAAAAATGCCCAACATCACTAATCGTCAGAGAAATGCAAATCAAAACCACAATGAGATACCATCTCATACACATTCAGAATGGCTACTATTAAATAGTCAAAAAGCAACAGATGCTAGTGAGGCTACAGAGAAAAGGGAATGCTTATACACTGTTGGTGGGAATGTAAAACAGTTCAGCCCCTGTGGAAAGTAGTTCAGAGATTTCTCAAATAACTGAAAATAGAACTACCATTCAACCCAGCAATCCTATTACTGTGTATATACCCAAAGGAAAAGAAATCCTTCTGCCAAAAGGACACCTGCACTTGCATGTTTACTGCAGCACTATTCACAATAGCAAAGACATGGAATCAACCTAGGTGCCTATCAGCAGTGGATTGGATAAAGAAGATGTGGCATATACACACCCCAGAATACTATGCAGCCATAAGAAAGAACAAAATTATTTCCTTTGCAGAAAATGGATGCAGCTGGAGGCCATAATTCTAAATGAATTAATGCAGGAGCAGAAAACCAAATACAGCATATTCTCACTTATAAGCGGGAGGTAAATACTGGGTACTCATAAACATAAAGATGGCAACAATAGACACTGGGGGCTACTAGAGGGATGGAGGTGGTTAAGGGTTGGAAAACTCATGTTGGGTACTAGGCTCACTACATGGGTAATGGGATTATTTGTACCCCAACACATAGCATCACACAATATACCCATGCAACAAACTTTCACATATACTCCCTGAATCTAAAAATAAAAGTTGAAATTATGAATAAATAAGTACAAAAAATAAAAAAGAGGCTGGAGAATAGCATAAATTGATATGTTGGTTCTACCACCTACTAACACTCATTTACAGCATGCTCTTGAACAGATTACATTAAAACTCTTTATGCCTTGATTTTTACACTTGTAAATTATAAAAAATAATATTATTATTAGAGGGTCATTGGAGAATTAAATAAAATTATCCACTATGAACATGTACAGCCCAGAGCCTGTGGCAGGCTGGAACAGGGCCTGTTCCAGATTGCAGTTGAGCCTGTGAGCTAGAGGGAGGCTTGGTGTGCACTCCAGGCTGGAAAGGCTGGGGAAGCAGGGCAGTCACATAGGGAGGAGGGCAGAGGACCCACATCAAAGTCTGCACTTCAGCAAGGCTGCTTGACTCCAGAAGGAAATAAATACTCAGCCCTCAGAAGCAGAGTCTGCTCAAACCTAGAGAGTCAGAGGGAATCCAGGGGAAATTAGCCATTTCCCTGCTAATGGGGCACTTTACCCAAGGGCCCTCACTGTCAGTCTATAGGCACTTAGGGAAAACTGGAATCTCTGGAGAATCATGGGTAGAGAGGACAGATAAACGCCCTGGCTGTGTGGCCTTAGGTAAGTCACTCAACCCCTCTGGGCTGCTGTTTTCTCATTTATGAAATGAGGAACTTGATATCCTGGAAAGATACTTACAGGAGGAAAGAGACCTTGGTTCTATTCAGCCCTACCTGTAACTGGCCATGTGGCTTTGGGGAAATCTTCCACCTTCCCAATCCTCAGTTTATTCTACAAAATGATGGATATAAGTGCAGTGTTCTCCAAAAGCCTACCAAGCTTCGGGGTAAGTCACATGCAAACACGTGCACACATGCATGGGCAGTTGGAGTTCAGTTTAACCCAGATTGGGTTTTAGGACAACTACCTGGCATATTAATATCACATATCCAAGATAAAAGAGAGAGAGAAAAGAAGGAAGAAAAGGAGGAAGAGAGGGAGGGAAGGAAGGGAGGGAAGGAAGGAAATGGTGGAGGAGGGAGAGAGAGAAGGAGGAAAGCAAACAGGTAAAATAGCTACAGGCATCCAAGCATGGGCATGCCTGAAGATCAGCTGCCTATAAGGTATGATTAGGGAGGCATTGAACAGGCTCTTCCCTAGAAAAACCCAGCTTGCCCCAACTGTACCTACCACAAGGTCTGGAATGCCACTGTTAGCATGCCAGCCTATCAGGCCTCCAAGGATTTTTCAGTCTTCCAGATCTCCCTTGAAAATGCCATGTGCAGAACAAGGCTCACCCTGAAGGCATTATCTTGTCAGCTTGGTCCCCAATCTCACAACTGGCTATAAGAAAAATTCTAGGAGAAGGTTACAGATGGAGCTGTATTGGGGGATCATGAAAAAGGCTGGAAGTTCCAAAAGCAGACCACCTCTTCCCACAGGCAGTGGAAGGGCCTTTCCAAGTCATCGCATCACCAATGCCCCCTTGCTTCCTACTTGTCCCTTATGTAGGACCCCTCTCTGTTGCTGGGCTTATGGGAAGGAATTACTGTCCCCCTCATACAGCAATGGCTGAGAGGGCTTGGGGAGCTTATGCAGCCAACGTTAGGCCTACAGAGATGAGAGCCTCTTGACCAAGGTCTCCATGGTGGGTTAAGGGTACAGCCTCAACCAAAGTAACAACAGTGATAATAGCAGCTACCCTTTATCAAATCCCTCCTAAGGCCAAGTCCCATTCTAAGTCATTTAGCCCTCATAATGCCCTATAAGGCAGAGACTATTAATATTTCCCTTCTACAGATGAGGAAACTAAGGCACAGAGAGGTGAAGTTTCCCAGTGCCTTTTATATGGGCGCCTAGCTTATGGGCGCCCAGGCTGGAGCTCAGGCTTTGGCTGCAGGACCACTGTGAAGAACTCTGAGGCAACACTGCTAGGACACCCAGGTCTTTGGCCTCCTGGGCCCAGGTGTTGCCCCTTCACTAATTTTTCTAAGGCTGGCCCAGATCCCTGGTCCTAAATCTAAGCCTCATCCCCATGTCACCAACCCCTCAGGCCCTGAAGGCTCTGGAAGTTTCCCCTCCTTACCTTCCCCTCCTCCTACCTTCCCTTTCACCGAAAGAGAGAAGCTGCAGCAGAAAGGTGTCAGAGAAAGTGATGAATGGAGGCTGACCCCAGGGCAGAGCTCACGTGGCCCGCCTCTCTACCCCCATCGAATCAGCCCATCTCCCTCATACTCACCTGACAGGCAGGAAGCAGAGCCCCGGGGTAGGAGCAGGGGCAAGGCACGTCTCCTGGGGCCACCCCCACATCACTAGGGCAACTGGGCAGACTTCCTTGCCCCACCTACTCCTGGCCCCAGGTCACGGTCCCCACCCCTGCCAGAGCCCCTCGACTGGCTAAGCCATCCTTCAGGCCCAGCTGACACGTGCTTCCCGAGTGCTGGTGACAGGCGCCCAGCTGGAAAATAACGAACTGTGGAGATGGGGCAAAGTGCAGGTTCTCCTGCATCAGAAATGACAGCCTCGGCTAAAGCTGCAGGCAGGGTACCCTCACACAGGCGTGTATACACACATGCTTATACACACATGCACATTTGCTCACACACTCACTCCATCTTGGCTGCATGAATGGGACCCAGGAAGATGAAGTAGGTCTCAGCTTATAAGGGGTGGTGCCAACTGCCACTGCTCTCTCTGAAAGACGAGCACTAACAGCAGCAATTCCTTCCACATAGATTACATCCTACAGTTTGCAAAGCACTTCCACACCTGCTGGATCAACAGATAAGTAGGGGTGAAAAATGAACTGGACAGTCACTTTGAGGCTAAGGGGTCACACGCAAGCTGCTGAACCTCTTTGTGCTTCTGCTTTACCATCTGTACAAAAGGGTTACTAATAGCACCCGATAAAAGCCACAGGGACTGGGGAGTTAGGGCGGCTTCATTAAAAACCCAGAAGAGACCATTCAGTTCTGCCCCCGTCTGCTTCAGCTGCTGATGGCTGCAGCTTCCCAACTTCCTGGTGCTCTAAATTTATCACGTTCCACAGCAGCCACCCTTCTGAGCCGCCTGGGTGAACTCCTGGGCAGAGTGACACCAGCCCCGGAGAGACAGAAGAGGAGAAACCATGAATGCATACGCATGCACCACACAGGCGCGGCCACTGCAGGTCCAGCCTGTTTCCGATGTCTGCTGTCTCTGCTATGGGCTTGGTGCTGGGCAGAATTTCCAGCCTGCCACAAAGACTCCTGGCGTAAGAATGGGAAGAAATAAGGCCACAACTACAGAACTGCCAAGAAACAAACCCACAGCTCATTTGAGACAGCCAGTGAGAGCACTTAATGTACAAAAGTTAGTATGGAGATGCCAGCATGGGCTCATTCAGCCCATGTTCATTCAGCATATCCAGTCAACATCCCCTAAATACCTGCTACCTACCCAGCTCTGGGATGGGTAGCACAGGGTGGGCAGGAAATAAGAGGACGCCACTCAGGCAGGCCTGAGACATAGACAAAGGAGACAGAGATCTTCTCCAGCACCTGCCACCATGCCTGAAATTCCACCATCAGGAATGAAGGCTATGACCATCGATGCCCATGTTTGCCTATGTGCACATGATAGGGAGATCCGCCTCCTCTTTATGGAATTCTTTCCTTTTATAATGGTTATACATATGGACAGATGTTTAGAATGTCAGAAATGGATGGGACTTGGGAGAGCTTCTAGTCCTTCCATCTTCAAACAAACTCTAAGTCAACAGGTAAAATACACAGAAGTGGCACAGACACAATTGGGTTGGGATGGCAGTGAGTGAGGAGGGCTAACTCAGCCTCTTTAAACTCTCTTTGCTCATGATGTCTCCTGACTTCCCTCAGAGAATTTGGAAAGCACTTCTCAAGATATATCCTTATGATTAGGCTCAATTGCAAGCAACAAAGATTCTAAACATGGTGGCTTAAACAGAGTAGTGGTGTTTGTTCTTTTTGTTCCCGGAGAAGTCAGATGTAGGCAGCACAGAGCTGATGTGGATCTTGGATTCACAGTCATCTCTTTGCAGACCACTTCTGGCCTCTGCTTCACATCTTCATGGTCCAAGATAGTAGGCTTATGATTCCAGGCAGCTGGCTGGAGGAAATGACAGAAAAGAAAGTCTCCCAGAAGGTGCTGAGGACCCATTCACATCCCACTAGCCATGATGTACAGTCACATGGCCACATACAGCTGCACAGCCTGCTGGAAAATGTAGTTTTACTTCCAGGAGGCCATGGGCTCAGCTAAGAGCTCTATGACATGAAGTAGAGGGAGAACGACTATGAAGTTAAGCAATTGGTGATTACTGCTCTATCAGTTCAATCCTCTACTTTATAAGTAATTAAAATGAGGTGGTAGGATGATTATAATAAGATCATTGGTTAAGGTT
The DNA here is from genome assembly GCF_000001405.40 of Homo sapiens. NCBI lineage: Eukaryota > Metazoa > Chordata > Mammalia > Primates > Hominidae > Homo > Homo sapiens. Next base: position 47,380,143 of record NC_000018.10, on the reverse strand, counting down.
GTAATGCCCAAGAGATTTTCCCCAATACCCAACATAAGGCTTGACTTAGACAAAAACAAAAAGATAAGCCCTTGTCTTCCCAGTGGGAAGGGAGATATGCCAGCCAACATTAACATGATAAATGATGTGACAAAACTAAGTGCAAAATAGAATGGGAATAACAACACAGAGCACCCAAATCTCTCTGTGAGGGTCCAAGGGGTCACTGAGAGAGAGTGCTTTGCAGCTGAGGCTGGATTAGTGTGAGAATTGGTGTCTGTTGAGTGGACAAGAATGGGGAAAGATAAGTCTGGCAAAAGGAACAGTGTGTGCAAAGGCCCAGAGGCAGGATAGTGGACCATTTTTGGAAGCTAAAAAGAGGTGCAATATTGCCAGAACATACAGGGCAAAGGGGGTGTGATGGTTAATTTCACGTGTTCACTTGGAAGGTGTTTTCAGATAAGATTAACATTTAACTTGTTGAACTTTGGGTAAAGCAGAGTGCCCCCAAGGCTTCAACATACATGCATATCCTATCGGTTCTGTTTATCTGGAGAAGCCTGACTAATGCAGGAGATGAGGTTGGACAGATAGGCAGGGACCAAATCCTGAATGGCCTATGTGCCATTCAAGGCCATTTCCATCTTACACCATAGAAAAGGGGGATTCATTGGAGACTTCTGAGCAAGATAGGGGTCAGACTTGGATGTAAATCATGGCTTAGGGGTGTGGTGGGGACTATGATAGACCAACATGTACTGTTCGTCTACCGTACGTGATAAGCACTGTTCTAGAAGCTTTAGAGGAGAGTGGTCAAGGCCAGTGGCAGGGAGACAGAAGATAACTGGATGTGCTAGTGGAAAGGTAGCAGAGGCAAAGGAGACTCCCAGGTTTCCAACTTTCACAGCTCCACAAGGACAGAGCCTGACTCTCTTGCCCATCCCTGCACCCCCGGCACTAGCACAGTGTCTGGGACTAGGCCTGCATAATTCTTTTTGGAATCCAGAATGAATAGCTAAAGAGATAAAGACTCTAACAAAGAAGGGTTGTAGGTCCAGCGTAACATTGTAAACAAATGGGTTCTCACTTCAATTCAAACACTTGTTGACTAACTGAATGAAGGGCCCAAGGATGTGAGATGCAGCCATGCCACCCGCATTGGCCCTATATGCCCTCCAATCTGATGAAGGTGCTACCAGGAAAGCAGAGGTGGAGGGTAACATTCAGATTTCAGAGAATGCTGCATTTCTGCTTTTCCTCCAAAACATCCTTTCTCCACTGAGGGATGTATGAAACTCCACTGTTTAGAGCTTAACATCCTTAATCCTGACGTCCTAGTAAAGGCAAAATCCCATAGGCGAGGATCCCCCTCTACAGCCTAAGAAGACATTCACACCCAAGTGTTGACGGTGGCTCTCAGCGCAGGAATGGGTGAGGAGGAGAGAAGTAGGAGTGGGACATATCTGAGGGGAAACAGAGGAGATGAAGGGAGGCTGAGAGCCGCTGAGGCCAGCCTCATCCCTTGATAGTTTTGCAGAAGTTGAGCTGTCTTTGGAGAGGGAGAGGAGGACTGAGAGCAGCAGGCTGGAGTCCATCAAAATCTTTGCTGCTTCCTTGAAGAGGACCCAAATGCTAAGGATTGGAAGATTAATCCAGTGACTAAACTTGGTGGCAGGCTCTTACTGTTGACACATGGGGACCTTTTCATACCACATTTTAAATATATTTCTGCCCAGAAGAGGCAGTTGACAGGCTTGGAGAGACCTAATGGAAAACAGCAGCTAATACTGCAAGTCAGCAAAGCTTGTCAACCTGGACGACATCATCCCTCACCTCCTCTTTCATTTTTATAGGAATGGCTCAGAAACAGAGAAGAGAAATTTCAAAAGCCAAACAAAAAATCAATACTGTAGGAGATAACCCAGCATTAATATGAAAACCAGAGAGGGCTTCTTTGTCTCAAGCCTCAGCAGCACTATCAATCACACTTCTTGGATAGATTTGGGAGGCTACTTTTGCTCACAGCAGGCAGGATCCGTTTTAGTTAAAATGCCTGTGGAGAGTGGGATTTAGGTAGAGTGAAGCCTGATTCAGGGCGTAGGGGGATGCATCGTCCCCCCCTCCCAGGTGGCCCCTCTAGGACTCCTAGCCAGTCTCCAGGCCAAGGCTCACAAGACAGGAGGACGATGAGGATAGGAAAAGACAGCTTTGACTGAAAAGCTGGATTGACAAAGTAGAAAGTGCATTTAATACTTAAAGGAGCTGCCTCCTGGGTGCTTGGGCTCAAATCAATGCCCACATTCACAGGATCATGTATTTCAAGGCCAGCGGGGACCAAACTCAGTCAGCCAGTTCTAACCAGATGTGTTCATGGGGTCCTGGAGGCAGCCCATACACAGGCAGGACACAGAGCAGGCACCTCTGGGGAAAAGCCGAGGACCTCTCAGAAGGCTTTGGCCTGCCCTCACCTTCCTGACACTCACCCCATGTTCTCAGGACTCTCCTGAGCTGGATGAAGAGGACTCCGCAAAGCCTTAAGCAGGATCTAGGACAGAAGGAGGTGCTCCTCCTCACTGCTCTTCTCAGCTTTGTTGCCTTTTCCTCAAGCCCCCAGTCTAGATCCTCAAGCCCCCCAAGTCTAAATCAGGGCTCTGTCATATGCCTCATTCCCTGGCCACCCCCTGTTTTCCCTTCTAAGCTGATATGGTTTGGCTGTGTCCCCATCCAAATCTCATCTTGAATTGTAGTTCCCATAATCCCGTGTCATAGGAGGGACCCAGTGGGAGGTAATTGAATCATGTGGGGGGTTACCTCCATGCTGTTCTCATGATAATGAGTTCTCACAGGATTTGATGATTTTATAAGGGGCTTTTCCCCCTTTTGCTAGGCACTTCTCTTTCCAGCCATTGTGTGAAGAAGGACGTGTTTGCTTCCTCTTCCACCATAATTCTAAGTTTCCTGAGGCCTCCCCAGCCATGCTGAACTTTGAGTCAATAAAACCTCTTTCCTTTATAAATTACCCAGTCTCAGGTATGTCTTTATTAGCAGCATGGGAACAGGCCAATACACAAGCCCTCATTATTATGTGTGATTATCATTCTTGGATATTGCTATTTTTCTCTACCAATTAACACTTCACAGAACAATTCCCAGTACCAACCCAAATAGAAATGTGTTCCATCAACAGAAGCCTCACTAACATTCACACAGTCCACCTAGGATAGCTTCTCCATCCCAGTCTCTTTGTTTAAACCGACTTTTTCCAGCAAAACCACAGGCTCTCCTTGTTCTGTACCGATCTTTCCCTTCTCTGGTCTCCCAGAGTTAAACAATCTTAGAGTTCTGTGGGCACAGTCTAAGAGTCACAGAACCTCAAGCTGGGACGGACCTTAAGCAGCATCTCATAATCTCTGGGGAGCAAAGAAACAACCCTTCTTTCCATCTATCTATCCAGGAAAAAAAGGAAAAACGAAAACAGTACCAAGGCCCAGGTCTCATCCTAGGACAATTATGTCAGAATCACAGGGGGCAGGGGCAGGTATCGACATTTTTAAATCTTAGCAGATGATGGTATTGTGCAGCCAGGGTTGGCAACCACTGTCTAATCCAGCCCTTTCAAGAACTCTGCATACATTTGGTGAGGTTGTGTACCACACAACTCTAGAGGATGCCATTCACCTGTAGCCCATATTGGTGTGCCCGTCGGGGAGTTGTGCAGGGCACCAGCTGCCCAAAGAGACCTCTGGTTTATGTCAAAGAAAGTTGAGGTTCAAGATGAAGCAATTTGGCCAAGTTTGCACAGGTGGTGAGTGTCAGAAGAGCTTTACCGACAGCCCACACCTCCCAGCTTTTCATCATGGCAATCTGTAGTCTCCCACCTGGCTACTCAACATATGTAGTCCTAGGCTGGTTGAGGTGGCTCATGCCTATAATCCCAGTACTTTGGGACGCCAAAGCGGAAGGATCACTTGAGGAGTTCAAGATCAGACTGGGCAGCATAGGAAGACCTCGTCTTTACAAAAAAAAAAAAAAAATTTACAAAATTAGCTGAGCATGGTGGTGTACACTTTTAGTCCCAGCTACTCCAGAGGCTAAGGTAGGAGGATCCCTTGAGCCTAGGAGGTCGAGGCTGCAGTGAGCTGTGATTGAGCCACTGCACTCCAGCCTGAGCAATAGAATAAGAACCTGCCAAAAACAAAAAAACAAAAAAAAACAAAGTGTGTCAAGTGTGTAGTCCTTGCTCCAGTTTGTTAGGAATACAGATTCTTGGGCCCCACCTCAGACCTCTTGAATCAGAATCTGCATTTTAATCTGCACATTAAAGTCAGGGAAGCACTGCCTGTCACACTGCATTGCAAGAAAGCTTCCTGGAGGCTGGGCTGTACTCCACATCTACTTCTCATGAATCTTCTCTGTACCATGCACATAGTAGGCAATCGATCAATACATATCTGCTGATCAATTGATTGAAAAACCTGTGGTTTGCATTAGATACAGGCCCCCTGAGTATTGCTGTATTGGAAATGACTGACTTTTCTAGTTCCTATAATCAGCGATTACTGAAATAAGGGGAATCCCTCCTCACCACACCGGAGGCATCCCTTTGCAACTATAAAAACAATGACACTTATAACAAAATAATGTCTTGCTAAGCACACACAGGGTCCAGTGGATGATTTCATGCCCTGTCTGTAAATAACATCTAATCATCTTACCCAGCCTCATTTAGATAATGGCTCCTTTTTCATCTCTACTAGGAAAAAAAATTAATCCAAAAAAGAGAGACAGCATGAGAGTTCTCCAGGGTTTAGGGCATCTTTTGATTAGAGTTTATTTACTGACTCCTATTAATCAACCTGATTAAAGGCAACCCAGATCAGGGGAATGCTTCCTTTCAGAGCTTCCATATTCCTTCCCTTCTCTGTTGGCTCCAGCTCTGTGTCTTCAGGTGTTGACTGAGTCTGCAGTACTCCACAGTCAATGGCTTGGATGGCTGCTTGGTTGTTCTGGCCCTTGTCACTTTTATGAAGTGTTGTCCTTTCTGTTTATTTCTTCTATAAACACTTAGTGCAACAGCTCTGGCCTTGGGTTCAAACATGCATGTTCATTGAGCAGCTAAACTTTCACTGGGAGTCATAAACTCTAGCCCAATGCAATTGACCATCTTAACCTGCAGCATCAAGTATCTGATTCCATGTATATGGATTTCATTAAATAGCATAGCCCCAAACTCCTGACCAAGCAACATGGAGCAGAAGATTGATAGGTAAGAAATAGTCTAAGCAGATCTAGCCCAGCTATTTCACTAATTTAGTGGTTTGGAACTTTGAGGGAGAAATTATGGACTGTCACCCCAGAAGAATGTACATAAACATGTGCTCAAAAATTTGCATGCTGTATCAAGAGTTCATAGGCTTCATATAAGGATCAATTTAAGGACCTTGTTCCAAATATTATAAAATGTTTACTGAACTGATCTGAATCATCAGAGACCTGGGTGCATAGATATCACATTTTAATGTCATTGTGGAAGCACTCTTACTAGAATGAACTGTGGTATTGGCTATCAGCTATCATTTAGAGCCATTCCAAGATTTGTCCCCATTGTTTTATTGAAAAGATATGGCTGAGATTATCATCCATCGTGTTACCTGACTTCTTCTTTAAAAGAATCCACAGGAGAAGTCTCTTTCTGGCCTCAGTACCAAGAAACCTTGTCTTCTCCTCCCCAGTTGACTTATTTTCATTTGATGGACATCATAAAGCCTATAACCCATCACATTTCCTTCTCTGCATGGCCTGCCAGGTACCTCAGAGCCAATTCATTGCCCAAGTGTACACACCTCTTTTGGGGTATTAACCTCATTTAGAGTAATAATCTTATCCAGAAGCCAAATTTTCTCCCTTATTGATCATTTTTAAAAATTTTATGTATTTTTTTGAATAAATCCTTTTTGAAACACGGTAGAGTAGAAATACAAAAATTTCTTAGTTGTTTTAATTGTTACTGATCTTGGTCCAGAAGCTGGCTCCATGCTGAACTACTCTGGGACCTGGCTGGGCATTTCTCCAAGACCTGCAGAGCACAAAGATGCTAGCTCCATCCTTCCCTGCTACCAGCACACAGAACCTCACTCATGCTCAGAAGTTCCATTCTTGTCTCCATTCCTTTTTTTCATCAAACTTACTGAGTTACTTCTATGGGCCAGGCACCATGACAGGACATGGGGAGGATAAAGAAATGGACAACTAGAGTCTGTGCCCTGGCAGATCCCACAGTCCTGGAAGGAAGACAAGTAATTACATTACAATACAAGAGTGTAAGGGCTATGGGGGAGGTCAGCAAAGGCTCTGCCAAGGAAATAAAAGCTAAGCAGAGACAGTCAAGTGGTCAGGTTGGGGTGTGGAGGAGGGTGTGTGTGTGCACGGGCATACACTTAAAGAGGGAGCAGACACCTGAGAGATGAGGCTAGAGAAACAAGCAGGAGTAAGATTGCAATGTGAAAGCTTTGGGGCTTTATTCTAAGGTCAACAAGAAACCACAGAGCAGGAGGGAAGGGTGACCAGATTTTCACTTTAGAAATCTCGTCAGTGTGTGGTGTGGGGAACGGATGCAGGGAGACAAGGATGGCTGCTGGGAGAGCAGGTGAGAGGTGGTAATTCAGGTAAGAGGTAATGAACTGTAGGCAGAGGAGTGAGGATGGGGACACAATAATGCTTCAAGAAAGATATTAGGATGTAGAATTGTCCAGGGCATCTCCAGGGAAGGGAGACAGAAGAATGAAGAATGATGCATAGGCTTTTGGCTTAGGAAATGTCCCCAAACATTTAACTCACCATATATTCAGGGTCTCATTAGCTCCACTCATCATTCTGTGAAAGAATTTGCCCCACAGCCTAGTAAAGACACAGCTTGCCTGAGTGTATTCCTTTGACAACAGATCTCAGAAGGAAACCTGACTGACATGAAGCCATGGTACTGATGCAGTATTGTGCTTGTAAATGGAGGACTCAGGAAGTGTTTGTGAATGAATGAATGAATTGGTGAATAAATGCAGAATAGAGATTAGTCCTGTCCTTCTGACTAGTGTGAACTCCTGAGAGTTATCTCTTAATGACAGCTAGCTCAGGACCCATCTCTATCTCCAGCTCTGCAGCTGTGACACACACTTCTTCACATGTTCTCAATGCCACAAGTTTTCAGGGCGCTGAGTAGACACACATGCACAAAAGACATAAGCCAAATCACTCCTGAAATTGCCATTGACGAGAACAGGATATAGATCATTCAGGTGGTGCTATAAAGCAAGTGTTCCCATAGTTAAAGTTAGAGGCATCTGCAAGAGCTGTTACCTTATTGCAATGAGCCCCTTCAGGTGGAGGCATGAAAGTCATTATGCCTGTTAAGGTGGTTTATAGCCTGTGGGCCGTATGTAATGCTCACCACCCGAGAACCTGAATTGCCCTGGGGGCTGGGTCGAAGTTCCCTGCCTTGTTAACTTTCTCCTCTTATGGGGAGGCATTCCTGGGGCCAACCTGATGCAAAGGATGATGGTGTGACTGTTATCCGATGTCCCTTTAGTCTAAAGCTTGTCCCATTTTGGGTCTCAGATGTCTACACAGTGTACATATAGTTAGCACTGGGGTTTTAGGCAAAGCTAGCCAAAAACAAAATTTGAAAGTCCTTGAAGGTCAAAGGAAGCTAGAAAAGGGTTATAGACAAACCACCCTATGTACCACCACCAACTCTGAGCCGTTTCTTGACCCCCAAACTCCACCCCAGGCAGAGTTCATTAGACAACCTTTCCCTTTACTGCCCTAGTAAACACCAGTACACTGAACTACAGTGTTTTTTGTTTTGTTTTGTTTTTTAACATGGCTGGGCTACCAGGAGAAAGGTTATGGCTTATAAATTTATCTGCCTTCAGAACCTAGGTAAGACCTTGTAATAAAAATGATATTAAATATGCATTGAATAGATAAATAAATGAAACATGAGGATATATCCTTCCTGAGATTGACTGCATCCCTGAATTCTGAAAGGTTTTGCAGACATAATTGGAAAATGATGGATCAAGTCTTTCAGGGATCATGGTGAGTGAGGAAGCATTCGGGGAACATAGTGAGTGAGGCAGGAATTGGAAAACTGAACTCAAACATCCCACTTTTTCAGGCACAGGGAAAGAATGTATCCTGGAAAGCACAAACCAGGAAACCTTTGTGCTGTTTCTTGGCAAAGTTTTAGAGTAGGTTAAAAGTGACTTGTGCTGAGAAAATCTAGAAAATACTACCTCACCCAGGTTACTGAGGTCAACATCATCAGTGATAAGTCATGTTGACAGCATGTGCCCTTGACATGATGCAATGAGCATGGCATTTCACCTCTGTGGTCTTTCCCTCACCAAAAAAACCATAATCCCAGTACCACAAGATAAACTCAGACAAGTTCAAATTGAGGGTCAATCTACAAAATCCCTGATCAGTACTCCTTAAAATTGTCAAGGTCATCAGAATAAAGGAAACTGAGAAAATGTCACAGACCAGGAGAGCCTAAGGAGACGCAACAACGAAATGTAACATGATGTCTTTGATGGGATTCTGGAACAGAAAAAGGACATTAGGACAGAACTTGCAAAATCAAAACTGTGGAGTTTAATTAATGGTAATGTGTCAATGTTGGTTTCTTAGCTGTGGCAAATGAACCATCATAATGTAAGATGTTAATAGGGACATCCAGGCACAAGATATACGAGACCTCTCTGTACTACCTTTCCAAGTTCTCTGTAAATCTAAAAATATATACAATTAAAGTATTTTTTTTAATAGAGACAAGGTCTGTCTGTCACCCAGGCTGGAGTGCAGTGGGGTGATCTTGGCTCACTGCAACCTAGACCTCCCAGGCTCAATTAATCCTCCCACCTCAGCCTCCCAAGTAGCTGGGTCTACAGTCATGCACCACCACACCCAGCTAATTTTTGTACCTTTTGTAGAGACACAGTTTTCCATGTTGCCCAGGCTGGTCTTGAACTCCTGGGGTCAAGCAATTCACCTTCTTCAGCCTCACAAAGTGCTGGGATCAGAAAGTGCTCTTTAAAGTGAGTTATGCACATTAAGGAGACAAAGCTATAGTTGTAAGAATCTTTCATGGGCTCAACGATAATTAAGCCTGAGCAGCTAGGCTCACCTGTTCCTATGATAGGGTAGAGTACCTGACAAGTCTCTAGAGAAATGCCCTTGTAAACCTGGATGGGTGTGGCCTGGATGGCCCTGTGCTACTGATCCCTTAGCTCAGAGAACAACTGCCCCAGGAAGAGTGTTACCAGGTCTGTACCACCTGGAATGTGGGATGTGTATATAGTGTCAGGTCACAGAATCTCCCCTTCACCCTGAAAATTTAGACTCCTGCTGATCAGGATGGATAGACACATTAAATTTTATAATTGGGATACCAAGAATATATAAACAGAACTGAAACTAACAAAATGAAAATTAAGAGGTGTAATGAAAATACAGTTGACCCTTGAACAACACGGGTTTGAATTGTGTGGGTCTACCTATATGTGTATTTTTTCCAGTGAATATACTGAAAAAAATTTTGGAGATTTGTGATAATTTGAAAAAACTCACAGGTAAAATGTGTAGCCTAAAAATATTTTTAAAAATTAAGAAAAAGCCAGATGTGTCATGAATTCATATAATATATGTAGATACTAGTCTATTTTATTATTTACACCTATATAATATACACGAATCTGTTATAAAAAGTTAAAATTTATCAAAACTTACAAACACTTATAGACTGTACAGGGTGCCATTCTCAGTTAAGAGAAATGTAAACAAACATTAAGATCTAATATTAAATCATAACTGCATAAAACCATAGTACATACTGTACCACTGTAATAATTTTGTGGTCACCTGTTGCAATCTCAGTGAGCTCAAGTGTTGCAAGTATCTACTTAAAATGCTGTGTGACACTAAACCTCCACGTGAGCAGTTTGTCTCTCCAGTAAGTTGTGTATTACAGTAAAAAGTGCTCTTTCACAGTTCTTACATGTTTTTCATTATGATTAGTACAATACTGTAAACCTTGGATAATACCATGGGACCCATGCTAAAGTGCCACTAGTGATGCTGGAAGTGTTCCAAGAAACAAAGTCATGACATTACAAGAAAAAGTTGAATTGCTTGATCTGTACCACACATTGAGGTCTGCTGCTGCAGGTGTCGACCATTTCAAGATAAATGAATTCAGGTAAGAACCATTGTAAAAAAAAAAAAAAAAAAGAAAGAAAGAAAGAAAGAAAAGAAAAAAAAAAGGAAAGGAAATTTGTGAAGCCATCACTACAGCTACACCAGCAAGTGTGAAAACCTTGCACTTTTTGCATAATATCTCATTATCTTGTATTGAAAATGTAGCTTTTATGTGAGTACAGGATTGCTATAAGACAGGCATCCCTATAGACTCAAATATGATTCAAGAAAGAGCAAAGTCATTATATGACAAAGCAAAAAGAAAGTGAAAAATCTAAAGCTGGAGAATGGAGAATTTCATGCCAGAAAAGAATAGTTTGTTTATTTTAGAAAGAGGTTTTGCTTAAAAAATGTCAAGATAACAGAAGAAGCAGCATTTGTCAACCAGGAGGCAAAAGACAAGTTCCCAAATGCCATTAAGAAAATCATTGAGGAGAAAGGATATCTGCCTGAACAGGTTTTTAACACAGTTGAAAGTGCCCTATTCTGGGAAAAAAAATGCCACAAAGGACATTTATTAATAAGGAAGAGAATTGAGTACCAGGATTTAAAGCAGGAGAGATAGGCTAACTCTACTGTTTTACGCAAATGCAGTTGAGTTTCTGATTAGGACTGCCCTGTTAAAGCTGCTAACGCCTGAGCCTTGAAAAGAAAAGATAAACACCAGTTGCCAGTCTTCGGTTGTACAACAAGAAGGTCTGGACAATCGTGACCCTTTTTTTTTTATATTGGTTCCATCAATGTTTTGTTCCTGAAGTCTGGAAGTACTTTGCTAGTAAGGGACTGCCTTCTAAAATTCTTTTGATGTTGGACAATGCCCCTGGCCACCTAGAACTGCATGAGTTCAATACCAAGGGCATTGAAGTTGTCTACTAGCTCCCAAACACAATGTCTCTAAGTCAGCCTCTAAATCAGGGGGTCATAAAGACCATTAAGGCAGCTCATTACCTATGGCACTCTATGGAACGGATCGTCAATGCTATGGAAGAGAATCCCAATAGAGAGAACATCATGAAAGTCTGGGAGGATTACACCACTGAAAATGCCATGAAACCCATGAGGTTATAGAAAAAGCCATGAATCTCATGGGGTTCTGGGTGGCTGGGGCATTGTCCAGAACAATAAATTCCTGCTGGAGAAAACTGTGCCCCTGACTTCACAGGATTTATAACAGTGCCAATCAAAGAAATCATGAAAGAGATTGTGGATATAGAGAAAAAAAAGATGGGGAAATGAACAGTTTCAGGATATAAATCTTAGAGAAATTGAAGAGTTAACAGATGCCACATCGGAGAAATTAGGAGAAGACAACTTGATAGAGAGGAGTGCTTCTAAACCAATGTTAGATGATGAGGAAGAAGATGTGGAAGAAACAGTACTAGAAAACAAATTAACATTAGACAATCTGGCACAAAGGCCTAACTATTCAAGACTGCTTTTGACTTCTTTTATGACATAGACCCTTCTATGATACAGGCACTGAAACTAGAGCAAACAGTGGAAGAAGGATTGGTACTTCAAAGAAACATTTTTAGAGAAATGAAAATGCAAAGAAGTCAGGCAGAAATTATGATGTATTTCCCTAAAGTTACACTGAATGTGCCTGCCTCCCCTTCTACCTCCTCCATCTCTGCCATTTGTGAGACAGTAAGACCAACCCTTCCTCTTCCTCTTCCTCCTCCTCCTCAGCCTACTCAGGGCAAAGATCATGAGAATTAAGACCTTTATGATGATCTACTTCCACTTAGTGAATAGCAAATATATTTTCTCTTCCTTATGATTTTCTTAACAGCATTTTCTTTCTCTAGCTTACTTTATTATAAGAATACAGTATATAATACATGTAAAATACAAAATACGTGTTAATCAACTGTTTATGTTATCAGAAAGGCTTCCAATGAACAGTATGCTATTAATAATTAAGTTTTTGGGAAGTTAAAAATTGTGTGGATTTTGGACTATGTGGGGGATAACCCCTAACCCTCTTGTTGTTCAAGGGTCAACTGTACTTATTTACTATATAAAGGGTAGGAGACATAGTTAAATAGTTATTTCATTTTGTTAAATAAAAGTTATGCGGCACAGTGGCTCACGTCTGTAATCCCAGAACTTTGGGAGGCTGAGGTAGGCAGATCATGAGGTCAGGAGATCAAGACCATCCTGGCCAACATGGTGAAACCCCATCTCTACTAAAAATACAAAAAAATTAGCCAGGTATGGTGACATGCATCTGTAGTCCCAGCTACTCAGGAGGCTGAGGCAACAGAATTTCTTGAACCCAGGAGGAGGAGGCTGCAGTGAGCCGAGATCACGCCATTGCACTCCAGCCTGGTGACAGAGCAAGACTCTGTCTCAAAAAAAAAAAAAAAAATTGGCCCACCCAAGTCTTATTGCCACCACCACCAGTGTCCATGTGTGCCACCACCTGGGGGTCCAAAAACCAGCCTGTTCAGCCCACTGCCACTGCTGCCAGCACCCATGCTGCCCCCCACCAGGGGCCCAAGGATCAGTGCACATGGCCTTATAAGAAAAAAAAAAAAAAGCCTGCCTAACAAGAACACTATACTCAGCAAAGCTATTCTTCAGAAATGAAGGATAAATAAAATATTTCCCAGACATACAAAAACTGAGGGAATTCATCACTTCCAGACCAGCCCTATAAGAAATGCTTGGCCAGGCGCAGTGGCTCATGCCTGTAATCCCAGCACTTTGGGAGGCCGAGGCAGGTGGATCACCTGAGGTCGGGAACTTGAGACCAGACTGACCAACATGGAGAAACCCCGTCTCTAACTAAAAGTACAAAATTAGCCAGGCATGGTGGTGCATGCCTGTAATCCCAGCTACTCAGGAGGCTGAGGCAGGAGAATCACTTGAACCTGAGAGGCAGAGGTTGCAGTGAGCCGAGATTGTGCCATTGCACTCCAGCCTGGGCAATAAGAGCAAAACTCCATCTCAAAAAAAAAAAAAAAAAAAAAAAAAAAAAGAGAAAGAAAGAAAGAAATGCTTAAGGGAATCCTACTATATCTGGAAGCAAATGGATGATATCTACCATCATGAAAACTCAAAAAAGTATAAAGCTCACTGACAAAGCAGATACACAAATGAGAAAGAAAAAAGAATCAAGTATTATCACTACAGAAAACCACCAAAGATAAATGAAAGAAAGGAAGAAAGGAACAAAAAATATAGAAAACAATCAGCAACCAGTTAACAAAATGACAAGAATAAGTCCCCACCTATCAGTAAACCTTGAATGTAAATAGTTTACATTCCCCAATTAAAGAATATACACTGGTTGAAATGATAAACAAACAATACCCAGTTATATGCTGCCTACAAGAAACTCACTTCACATGTAAAGGCTGAAAGAATGGAAAAAAATATTCCATACAGACAGAAACCAAAAGCATGCAGGAGTAACTATATTTATATCAGACAAAATGGACTTTAAGTCAAAAAACATAAAAAGACAAGGTCATTATAAGGGTCAACTCAGCAAAAAAATTTAACAATTATAAATATATATGCACACAACACCAGAGCACACATATATATAATGTAAATTTATCAGAGCTAAAAAGAGATAAACCACAATACAATGATAGGTGGAAACTTCAACACCCCGCTTTAAGCATTGGACAGATCATCTACACAGAAAATCAACAAAGAAACATCTGACTTAAGCTACACTATAAACCAAATGGACCTAACAGACATTTACAGACCATTCCATCCAACAGCTGTAGCACACACATTCTTCTCATCAGTACATGGAACATTCTCCAGGACAAACCATATGTTAGGCCACAAAACAAATCCGAACAAATAATTAAAAATCAAAATCATATTAAGTATCTTCTCAGACCACAGTGGAATAAAATTAGAAAACAATAATGAGAGGAACTCTGGAAACGGTACAAGATACATGGAAATTAAACAGCAGGCTCCTGAATTGAGTCAAAAAAAATTAGAAAGAAAATCAACAATTTCCTGAAACAAACGAAAATCAAAGCACAACATATCAAAACCTATAGGATACAGCAAAAGCAGTACTAACAGAGAAGTTTATAGTAATAAATACCTACATCAAAAACGTAGAAAGATGGCAAATAAAAAAACCTAACAATACACCTCAAGGAGAAAAGCAAGAACAAATAAAACCCAAAATTAGTAGAAAGAAATAATAAAAATCAGAACAATTAAACAAAATAGAGACTAAGGCTGAGCATGGTAGCTCAAATCTGTAATCTCAGCAGTTTGGGAGGCTGAGGCAGGCAGATTGCTTGAGCCCAGGATTTCAGCCTGGCCAACACTGATGAAACCCCATCTCTACTAAAAATACAAAAATTAGCTGGGCATGGTGGTGTGCACCTGTAATCCCAGTTACTCAGGAAGCTGAGACATGAGAACCACTTGAACCCAGGAGGTGAAGGTTGCAGTGAACCAAGATCATACCACTGCACTCCAGCCTGGGCAACAGAGAGAAATTCTGTCCCCCCCAAAAAAAAGAGAGAGAGACTAAGAAAACAATACAAAAGATCAATGAAATGAAAATTTTTTTAAATAATGTAAACAAAATTGGCAAACTACTAGCTAGATTAAGAAAAAAGATTCAAATAAAATCAGAAAGAAACAAAAAAAGAGATTACAACTGATACCACGGAAATATAAAGGATCATTGGTGACTATTCTGACCAACTATGCGCCAACCAATAGAAAATCTAGAGGAAATGGATAAATTCCAAAATTTTCCTGATTCAGTCTTCCTACCAAGATTGAATCAGGAAGAAACAGAAAATCTGAACAGATGAGTAATGAGTAAGGAGATTGAATCAGTAATGAAAAGTCTCCCAACAACAAAAAAAAGCCCATGACCAGATGGCTGTACCACGGAATTCTACCAAACTTATAAAGAAGAACTAAACCAAGTTTTCTCCAACTATCCCAAAACATTGAACGGTAGGGAATTTTTCCTAACTCATTCTATAAGACCACCATTACCCTGATATCAAAACCAGACAAGGACGTAATTTAAAAAGAAAAATATAAGCCTATATCCCTGATGAACTTAGATGCAAATATTCTCAACAAAATACTAGCAAACTGAATCCAATAATACATCAAAAAATAATACACCATAATCAAGTGGGATTTATTCTGGGAATGAAAGGATGGCTCAACATAGCAAATCACTAAATGTGATACATCAAATGAACAGCATGAAGGACAAAAATTATATCATCTCAATACATGCATGAAAATTATAATATTCAACATCCTTTTACGATAAAAAACTCTCAACAAACTCTCTCCTTTCTTAGGTATAGAAAGAAGACACCATGACACAAGAAAAATCATATAAGATAATTCCACAGCTAACATCACACAGGATGGGGAAGCCTATAAACTTTCCTTTAAGAACTGGAACAAGATAAGAATGCCCACTTTCACCACTCTTATTCAACATAGTTCTGGAGGTCATAGTCAGAGTAATTAGTCAAGAGAAAGAAATAAAGGGCCTCTAAATTGGAAAGGAAGAATTCAAATTGTCCCTCATTGCAGACAATATGAAAGAAATATATAGAAAAACCTAAAAACTTTACCAAAATATGGCTGGGCACAGTGGCTCATGCCTGTAATCACAGCACTTTGGGAGGATAAGGCAGGTGGATCACCTGAGGTTAGGAGTTCGAGACCAGTCTGGTCAACATCACAGTGAAATTCTATCTCAACTTAAAGTACAAAAATTAGCTGGGCGTGGTGGTGGGCACCGGCAATCCCAAGCTACTTGGGAGGCTGAGGCAGGAGGGTCACTTGAACCCAGCAGATGGAGGCTGCATGAGCCGAGACTGCACCATTGCACTCCAGCCTGGGCAACAAGAATGAAACTCCATCTCAAAAAAAAAAAAAAGTTTATCAAAATACTCTTAGAACTGATAAATAAACTGATAAATAAACTGATTTTGCAGGATACAAAATCAACATACAAAAATCAGTAGCATTTCTATACACCAATAATGAACCAGCCACTAAATAAATAAATAAGCAATTCCATTTACAATAGCTATTTAAAAAGATACCTAGGAATAAATTTAACCAAGGACATGAAAGACTTCTATAAGGAAAACAACACACTGATGAAAGAAATTAAAGAGGACACCAAAAAATGGGAACATTTCTCATGCTCATGGACTGCAAGAATTAATATTATTAAAATGACCCTACTACTCAAAGCAATCTACAGATTTAATACAATCCCTATCAAAATACCAATGATATTCTTCACAGAAACAGTAAAAAATAATCTTAAAATTCATATGGAACCACAAAAGACCCTGAATAGTCAAAGTAATCCTGAGCAAAAAGAATGAAGCTGAAAGCATCATGCTACCTGACTTCAAAATATAGCACAATTCTGTAATAACCAAAACAGCATGGTGTTGGTATAAAATCAGACATATAGACCAATGAAACAGAAGACAGAGCCCAGAAATAAATCACATATTTACAGCCAACTGATTTTAAGTAAAAATGCCAAGAACATACATTGGGTAAAAGACACCCTTTTTAATAAATGGTTCTGGTACTACTGGATATCCATATTTAGAAGAATGAAACTAGACACCTATCTATCTCTCACCAAATACAAAAATCAATTCAAAATGGATTAAAAGCTTAAACAAGAAAACATAAACTATAAACCTACTAGAAGAAAACATGGGGGAAACACTTCAGGACATTGGTCTAGGCAAATATTTTATGAGTAAAATTTCAAAAGCACAGACAACAAAACCAAAAATTGACAAATTGAACTATATAAACCTAAAAAACTTCTGCAGCCAACAACAACAACAAAAAAATCAACAAAGTGAAGAGACAATGTGTGGAATGGGAGAAAATGTTTGCAGAGTATTTATCCAACAAGGAACTAATATCCAAATATACAAGGAACGGAAACAACTCAACAGATAAAAAACAAATACTCTGATTTAAAAAAGGGCAAAGGACCTGAATAGACAGTTCTCAAAAGAAGACATACAAATAGCCAGTAAATATATGAAAAAATGCTCAACGTCACTAATTATCAGCGAAATGCAAATCTAAAGCAAGAAGAAATATCATCTTACTCTAGTTAAAATGGCTGTCATCAAAAAGACAAAAAAAAATGCTGGTGAGGATAGGGAGAAAAGAGAAGTCTTATACACTGCTGATGGGAATGTAAATTAGTACCTTATGAAAAACAATATGGAGGTTTCTCACAGAAACTAAAAATGGAATGACCACATGATCCAGTAATCTCACTACTATTTATCCAAAGGAAAGGAAATCAGTATATCTAAGAGATTTCTGCATTCCTGTTAATAGCAGCTCTAGTCACAATAGCCAAGATATGGAATCAACCTAAGTGTCCATCAGTAGATGAATGGATGCAGAAAATGTGTTATATAAACACAATGGAATACTATTCAACCATAACGAATGAAATCCTGTCATTCACAGCAACACGGATGAGCCTGAAGGACAGTCTGTTAAGGGAAATAAATCAGACACAAAAATACCATGTGTTCTCACTCATATGTGGGAGCTATATAAAAAAATTCAGATTATAAAAGTAGAGAGTAAAATTGTGGTCATTAGAGCCCAGATCATTAGAGGGGCAGAGGAGGCTAGGGAGAGGTTGGTTAATAGATACAGCTAATGGGAGAAAGAAGTTCTAGTGTTTTGTAGCACTGTAGGATGATTATGGTTAACAATAATTCAGTGTATATTTTTAAAAAGCAAGAAGTGAGGATTTTGAAAGTTCACAACACAAAGAAGAGATAAATGCTCCAGGTGATGGATGTACTAATTACTCTAATTTGATCATTACATATTATATACACATATCAAATTAGCACTCTGTATCCCATAAATATGTACAATTACGTGTCCACTAAAACGGAAAAGAGGAAATGCAGACATTAAGCAAAGAAAAAATCCCATTTACAATAGAATCAAAAGAAAAAAAACACTTAGGAATAAATCTAACCAAAGAGATGAAAGATCTGAACACAGAAAACAATAAAATAATGACAAAAGAAATTGAGGGGCTGGGCACAGTGGCTCGCACCTGTAATCCCAGCACTTTGGGAGGCCGAGGGAGGTGGTTCACTTGAGGTCAGGAATTTGAGACCAGCAAGGCCAACATGGTGAAACCCTGTCTCTACTAAAAATACAAAAATTAGCCAGGCATGGTAGCAGGCACCTGTAATCCCAGCTACTTGGGAGGCTAAGGCAGGAGAATCTCTTGAACCCGAAAGGCAGAAGTTGCAGTGAGCTGAAAGGTGGAGGTTGCAGTGAGCCAAAATCATACCACTGTACTCCAGCCTGGGCAACAGAGTGAGTAAGACTCTGTCTCAAAAAAAAAAAAAAAAAAAAAAAAAAGGAAAAGAAATTGAGGAAGACACAAATAAATGGAAAGATAGCCCATGTCATGTTCATGGATAGGAAGAAATATTGTTAAAATGTTTGTACTACCCAAAGTGATCTACAGATTCAATGCAACCCCTATCAAAATTCCAATGACATTTTTCAAAGAAATAGAAAAAACAATCCTAAAATTCCTGTGAAACCACAGAAGTCCCTGATTAGGCAAAGCAGTCTTAAGAAAAAAGAACACAATTGGAGGCATCACACAACCCGATTTGAAAATCTACTACAAAGCTATAGTATCAAAACAGCATGGTACTGGCATAAAAACGATATATAGACCAATGGTACAGAATAGAGAGCCCAGAAATAAATCCATCCATTTATGGCCAACTGTTCTTCTACAAAGATGCCAAGAACACAAATGAGGAAAGGACAGTCTCTTCAACAAATATTGGGAAAACTAGCTATCCACATGTAAAGGAATAAAATTGGATTTTTATCTCACACTACATTCAAAAATCAACACAAAAGGGATTAAAGTCTTAAATGTAACACCTGAAAGTATAAAACTACTAGAAGAAAACATAGGGTGAAAATCTTTTTTTTTTTTTTTTTTTTTTTTGAGATGGAGTTTCACTCTTGTTGCCCAGGCTGGAGTGCAGTGGCACAATCTTGGCTCACTGCAACCTCCGCCTCCCAGGTTCAAGTGATTCTCCTGACTCAGCCTCCCAAGTAGCTGGGATTACAGGTGCGTGTCACCACACCCAGTTAATTTTTGTACTTTTAGTAGACATGGGGTTTCACCATGTTGGCCAGGCTGATCTAGAACTCCTGACCTCAGGTGATCTACCCACCTTGGCCTCCCAAAGTGCTGGGATTACAGGCATGAGCCACTGTGCTCAGCTGGGAAAATCTTCTTGACACTGGTTTTGGCAATGACTTTTTTGATATGGCCCGAAATGCACAGGCTACAAAAGGAAAAATAGACAAATGGGATTACATTGAACTAAAAAACTCTACAGAGCAAAGGAAATAATCAACAGATTGAAGAGACAATCTACAAAATAGAAAATATTTGCAAACCATATATCTGATAAGGGGTTAATACCCAAAATATTTTTTTGAAAACTCAAACAACTCAATAGCAAGAAAACAAATAACCCAAATAAAACATTGGCAAAGTGTTCCCACTCATGGCAAAAAAGTTGATCTTATGGAGGCAGAGAGTAGAATGGTAGTTATAAGAGGCTGGGAAGGGTTCTGGGAAATGGGGGGATGAAGAGAGGTTGGTTAATGGGTACAAACGTACAGTTAGATAGAAGAACTAATTTCTAATGTTCAATAACAGAGTAGGTGACTAGTTAACAATAATGCATTGCATATTTCAAAACAGCTAGAAGAAAGGATTTGAAATGTTTTCAACACATAGAAATGACTACTCGAGGTGATGGATATCCCAAAAACCCTGACTTGATCATTACACCTTCTAAGCATGAACAAAATATCATTTGTGCCTCATAAACATGTACAAATA
This sequence comes from Homo sapiens, assembly GCF_000001405.40. NCBI lineage: Eukaryota > Metazoa > Chordata > Mammalia > Primates > Hominidae > Homo > Homo sapiens. The sequence goes on along the minus strand of NC_000018.10, from coordinate 47,359,964 downwards.
TGTATCAATAAAAACGTTTGTAAATAATTTTTAATGAGCAAAGACCCTGAATAGACATTTCTCAAAAGAAGATAAACAAATGGCCAAGAGGTACATGAAAAAGTGCTCATCATGTGAATTAGAAAAATTCAAACTAAAACCACAAAATGAGATATTACCTCACACCTGTTAGAATGGCTACTATGAAAAAGACAAGGCCAGGCATGGTGGTTCATGACTGTAATCCCAGCACTTTGGAAGGCTGAGGCAGGTGGATCACTTGAGGCCAGGAGTTTGAGACAAGCCTGGCTAACTGGCAAAACCTCAACTTTACTAAAAATACAAAAATTAGCTGGGTGCACCTGTAATCCCAGCTACTCAGGAATGGCTACTATAAAAAAGACAAGGCTAGGCATGGTGGCTTGTGACTGTAATCCTAGCACTTTGAAAGGCTGAGGCAGGTGGATCACTTGAGGCCAGGAGTTTGAGACAAGCCTGGCTAACTGGCAAAACCCCACCTTTACTAAAAATACAAAAATTAGCCAGGTTTGTTGGCACACCTGTAATCCCAGCTACTTGGGAGGCTGAGGCAGGAGAATCGTTTGAACCTGGGAGGCAGAAGTTGCAGTGAGCCAAGATCACGCCACTGCACTCCAGCCTGGGCCACAGAACAAGACTCTGTCTCAAAAAAAATAATAAAAATAAATAAAATTTTAAAAAGACAAAAGTAACAAGTGTTGGTGAGGATGTGAAGAAAAAAGAACACTTGTACATTGAATGTGGGAATGTACATTAGTACCATCATTAGGGAAAAGAGTATGGAAGTTCCTCAAAAAACTAAAAATAAAACTACCATATGATCCAGCAAACCCACTACTGGGTATATAGCCAAAGGAAATGAAATTAGTCTGTCAAGGAGATATTCTGCACTCCTGTGTTCATTACAGCATTATTCACAATAGCTAAGATATGAAATCATCCAACCCACTGATGGATTAATGAATAAAGAAAATGTGGTGTGTGTGTGTGTGTGTGTGTGTGTGTGTGTGTGTGTGTGTAATGAAATACTCAGCCTTTTAAAAGAAATAAATTCTGTTATTTGCAACATGAATGAACCTGGACAACATTATGCTAATGAAGCAAGCCAGGCACAGAAAGACAAATACTGCATGATCTCATTTATATGCAGAATCTTAGAAACTCCAGAATCTCTGCTTCATGGAAGCAGAGAATAGAATGGTGGTTACTAGGGACTGGGAGTGTGGGGTGGAGTGCGGAGGAAAAGGGGTGATGTTGGTCAAATAGTAAGAAATTTCAAATAGGGTAAATAAGTTTTGGAGATCTATTACACAGCATGGCTGCTGTAGTTAATAACAATGTATTATATTCTTGAAAACTGCCAAGAAAGTAGATCTCAAATGTTCTCCCATAAAAAAATGATAAGCATGTGAGATGATGGATATGTAAATTTGCTTGGTTTAGGTAGTTCACAATGTATACATATATCAAAGCATCATGTTGTACACCATAAACATATACAATTTTTATTTGTCAATTATACAAAAATGGCAAATTCTGAAGAGGAACTCAACTGAGAACCACAGTCAGCAACACTCCCAGCCATTGGGGAAGCAAGTGCTTCAGTACTGAGAGCAAAGCCCACCACAGTATCCACGACAGGTAGCCACCCTGGAAGAGAGGGAATGAGAGACCAGTTGGAAAAGAAAGTGGCTAAGCCAGCTGAAAGGAGACATCTAAAGGAAAGCAAAGCACATTAGGCTGCTAGAAATTGAACATCAACTCATTTTACTCGCCAACAACTTTTACAAAATGTTTTTAATCTTCAATTCAAATTAATATGGTTTTGGCCACCTGATATGGATCAATAGTGTACTAAATATGGATTTACACACAAATAGCTCTACAGGCCTACCTGGTCAATAATATGTGTTATTAAAGCTCCCTAAATGCATATTTATAGAACTGGACCAAGAATTCAGCCTTTCAAGGATCCCCCAATACCATGTGGGTCTCAGGAGTCCCCAGCCACCCCATACAGCAGGACTAAAAGAAATGGGACTTGAAGCAGCTAAGAGAGAAATATCAAGTGATTTTCCCCAGGCCAGCTGAAGAGGACTTCATACCTTCATTTCCTGTTTGTTAATAGAGTTGACCCATTGATAGAACATACGATTAACCTTATCTTGTGCAGATGAGGGATCTGAAGATATGAGATGTAAAGGGACCTGCCCAAATTCACAGAATAGGTGAAGCTCAGACCAGAGCCCTGACCAGAGCCCAGAACAGTCTTCCTGTTCAGAACAGTGTAGTAGAGTTAGAAGAAAGAGTCTGTCTCCTCCTAGCTGTGTGAACTAAGGCACATTGCTAAACTTCTTCATATCTCAGTTTTCTCTTCTGCAAAATGGAAGTAATAAATAGTGCCTACTTGGTGGGTTTGTAAAGATTAAATGAGAGAATTACCTGAAAGTATTCAGTCACTTGCCTGCCTTAACCATTCAGTAAATGTAAGCCATCCATGTTACTCTCACAGTACTCCTTTACAGTGGGTTTGTGCTATAGTCTGAATATTTGTTTCCACTCAAAATTTATATATTGAAGTTTAATCCCCAATGTGATTATATTGGGAGGTGAGGACTTTGGAAGGTAATTATATCATGAGGGTAGAGCCTTTATTAATGCAATCAGCGCTCTTACAAGAAGAGACATGAGAGGTATGATTTCTCTCTCTTGGCCATGTGAGGATACAGCAAGAAGGCAGCCATCTGCACACCAGGCAGAGAGTCTTCATCAGACACTGGATCTGCCAGTGCCTTGATCTTGGACTTCCCAGCCTCCAGAACAGTGAGAAGTAAATGTTTGTTGTTTAAGCCACCCAGTCTATGGTATTCTATTAAAGCTGTCCTAATGGACTAAGACAGCTTGATCAAGTTTTTCTCACCATGACTCCACTTAGTATTTCAAACAGGGAGATATCTTCAATATCCAAAGACCGTGAAGGGTAGGAAATATCTCCCTGTCCCATCTCCACAGTTGGAAGCTGGGACATCAGTATTTTCTCTGCTTTGGAAACAACCTTCTTTGAAGTTTCTGTGCTCAACCATTCTCAATGGCAGAATGCGGCCCTTCCCTGACCAGAGGACTGGAAGTGGGAAGTAGGAGTGGGGGCTTCTTTTTCTGTATCCATGAGCCATAACAAGGCTGCAACTGCTTAGGAGGTATTCATACCCATGTTCAGTCACACCACTCTTACAGGATCACTTGAGCAGCTGCAAAGACCCCAAATATCTCCTGCTATCCTGAGTCCAAGTGTCCCAAATGTCTTCGTTTGACATTCATACCTTTGAGTATCCTCCAGCTTTTTCTTCATTAAAATAGAACTACTTTGTGTTAATACTATTGTCAGCTCGAAAGCATATGTGGTCCTGAAATTGTGAGGCCTTTCTTGGTGTTAAAGAAATCCCTCACAGATTGATAATTCATTTATGTTAATATTTTTAGATTTTTATCCAACCAAAGGCACTAAGACTTTAAAATTCCCATAGAGTCCAATTTATAAAACCATAGTTTACCACATGACTGCCTCCTCCAAAGAGGCCGGTGGCTCTGAGAAAGTGACTACTGGTGTTAGTAGCTTGGCAGGGGTGAGTTTGGCATGACCCCTGCAGAGCTGAGAGCAAAACTCTTTGCTGGAAAAAAAAAAAACAGGAAGGGTTTTGAAGCAGCAACACTGGCCTGGGTGGTCAGACCTGGAGACCCAGAGCTCACCGAGGAGCGAGGGAGCAGTATGAGAATATATAAGAGTAGCAGCTGCGGGGAGCAGGTTGGGAAAGGGAAAGGAGGAGGAGCTCCCCAGACTGGACCTGTTGGCCCAAGGGCCCCTCGCAGGCCAAGCCCACTAGGCCATGGGGCACATCGCTGCACAACCACCCTGTGAAAATGGCCCTCTCACAGTGTCCTCATCGGCCTCAAGATAGAGCAGGGGAGCTGAACCCTGAATGGAATCTGTCTTGATTAGAAACCATTCTCATCACAGCCCAGCCTCACCAGCCCGGCAACAACCAGGGCACCGATTTCTCTCCCCAAAAGGTCAATCGATAGGATGGATGTCTGCATCGAGGGCATCTGGCAGCCAGTCCATCACCTCCCATGGCTCTGTGCCCTGTCAGCTCCCTAATGGTTTCTCCCCACTCTCAGGGCCACCCCTCACCTGAGGTGGCCAAGCATGGCCAGATCATCACAAATGATAAAGAGTGTCAGAAGCAATTAGGACACTCGGAGCACAGCAGCCCCCTGTTTTCCTAGTGCTCAAGACTCAGGTGAGAATGTCACATTTTCATTATCATGCAGCAAAAACCTCCCCTTCTCACTCGTACAGGCCCACATGAGGAGGTGGCCCAGAGCAGTGGCATTCGAGCCACATCTCACCTCGGAGGAGACAGCCAATGTGAGCCAAAGTGTCTCCAACCACATCAGTTGGAATGGCAACCTCCCCAGCTGAAGGGGATCTGGGCCAGAGAATCAAAGACCACCATAACCCTTTATCCTTCTCAACTTCAGTCTCCCCACATGTGAAACTGGGGTAAATAACCTCACTGGATCTATTTCATTGAAATGCTATCAGGCGCAAATCAGACAAGAGAAAATTAAGTATTTACAAACATACAATGTTTCTGAAAGGGAAAAGTCTAGGAGTCAGAAGACTGCAGGTTTGGTCCAAATGTTGGCATTAACTGGCAAGACAGCCATCAGCAAGTCACTTGGGCTCTGTGGGCCTTAGTTTACTGACCTGTAAAATGAGATCTCTGGTCCAAATCTTGCAAGTCCTCCCAGCTCTCAATGGGCAAAGGAAGGGACATGACATTTCAGGCCTCATATCTGGGGCAAGATTTAAATGTTTGACATTGGTCCAGATTGGTAGTCTAGACCCCACCCTCTGCTGATGCCCACAGTGTGTGCCCAGGGCCTGGTTTCACCAACCTGGAGCTATCAGACCAGCTGCTCTCCTTCCTAAGACACTTACAGCTTCACTTACCCCTCAATTACCTGGCTCCTGCCCCACAGGTCTCCTTTTCATTTCCTCAGACTCTCCCACTCCCTTTTGCATGTTCTGTTCTTGCTGCCTGCCTGGTTCTCTCTTGCCTTGCTGCCCAGTGGATCTGACTACCTGCATGTGTATGTGAGGACAGAGGTTTAGTCTGTTTTGTCCCCCTTTGTATTCCTAGTGCACAACCAGCACCCCCACATAGTGAACGTTCTGTGACTATTTGCAGGATGGATAAATGAATGCATGAATGAGCATATAAACTATATAAAGAGATTTCCAAATTAGAACCTCTATTTGTTTATATCTAAATAATCATTTTTTGCTTTAAAATATTTGTGGGAGATGATGCATATTATCTACTAATATGCATCCCGAGCTTTCTGACCAGAAGAACCTGGTTTTATTCAGGGCTACTCTTCAGACCTCCTCACAGCTAAGGGTGACCTGTGACTCACTTCAGGCCAATGAATTGCAAGCAGAAGTCTAGTGGGAGGGCATTCAGGAACCCATTGTTTTCCTGATAAAAGGTAAAGACTCTGCCAAAACACCATGCCTTTTGCCATTTGCAAAAGTCGCTGCCTGGAACTTGGACCTGGTCTCTGGAGGCAGAGCAGCCATCATGGGAGTATGAGGACAAAGGCCACATGCTAAGAATGACAGAAGAAGATCAAGGAGCCAAGATGGCCGAATAGGAACAGCTCCGGTCTACAGCTCCCAGCATGAACGACGCAGAAGACGGGTGATTTCTGCATTTCCATCTGAGGTACCGGGTTCATCTCACTAGGGAGTGCCAGACAGTTGGCGCAGGCCAGTGGGTGCGCGCACCGTGCGCGAGCCGAAGCAGGGCGAGGCACTGCCTCACTCGGGAAGCGCAAGGGGTCAGGGAGTTCCCTTTCCGAGTCAAAGAAAGGGGTGACGGACAGCACCTGGAAAATCGGGTCACTCCCACCTGAATACTGCACTTTTCCGACCGGCTTAAAAAACGGCACACCACAAGATAATATCCCGCACCTGGCTCGGAGTGTCCTACGCCCACGGAGTCTCGCTGATTGCTAGCACAGCACTCTGAGATCAAACTGCAAGGCGGCAGCGAGGCTGGGGGAGGGGCGCCCGCCATTGCCTAGGCTTGATTAGGTAAACGAAGCAGCCAGGAAGCTCGAACTGGGTGGAGCCCACCACAGCTCCAGGAGGCCTGCCTGCCTCTGTAGGCTCCACCTCTGGGGGCAGGGCACAGATAAACAAAAAGACAGCAGTAACTTCTGCAGACTTAAATGTCCCTGTCTGACAGCTTTGAAGAGAGCAGTGGTTCTCCCAGCACACAGCTGGAGATCTGAGAATGGGCAGACTGCCTCCTCAAGTGGGTCCCTGACCTCTGACCCCCAAGCAGCCTAACTGGGAGGCACCCTCCAGCAGGGGCACACTGACACCTCACACGGCAGGGTATTGCAACAGACCTGCAGCTGAGGGTCCTGTCTGTTAGAAGGAAAACTAACAAACAGAAAGGACATCCACACCAAAAACCCATCTGTACATCACCATCATCAAAGACCAAAAGTAGATAAAACCACAAAGATGGGGAAAAAACAGAACAGAAAAACTGGAAACTCTAAAAAGCAGAGCGCCTCTCCTCCTCCAAAGGAATGCAGTTCCTCACCAGCAATGGAACAAAGCTAGATGGAGAATGACTTTGATGAGCTGAGAGAAGGCGGCTTCAGAAGATCGAATTATTCTGAGCTACGGGAGGACATTCAAACCAAAGGCAAAGAAGTTGAAAACTTTGAAAAAAATTTAGAAGAATGTATAACTAGAATAACCAATACAGAGAAGTGCTTAAAGGAGCTGATGGAGCTGAAAACCAAGGCTCAAGAACTACGTGAAGAATGCAGAAGCCTCAAGAGCCAATGCAATCAACTGGAAGAAAGTGTATCAGCAATGGAAGATGAAATGAATGAAATGAAGCGAGAAGGGAAGTTTAGAGAAAAAAGAATAAAAAGAAATGACCAAAGCCTCCAAGAAATATGGGACTATGTGAAAAGACCAAATCTACGTCTGATTGGTGTACCTGAAAGTGATGGGGAGAATGGAACCAAGTTGGAAAACACGCTGCAGGATATTATCCAGGAGAACTTCCCCAATCTAGCAACGCAGGCCAACGTTCAGATTCAGGAAATACAGAAAACGCCACAAAGATACTCCTCGAGAAGAGCAACTCCAAGACACATAATGGTCAGATTCACCAAAGCTGAAATGAAGGAAAAAATGTTAAGGGCAGACAGAGAGAAAAGTCGGGTTACCCTCAAAGGGAAGCCCATCAGACTAACAGCTGATCTCTCGGCAGAAACCCTACAAACCAGAAGAGAGTAGGGGCCAATATTCAACATTCTTAAAGAAAAGAATTTTCAACCCAGAATTTCACATCCAGCCAAACTAAGCTTCATAAGTGAAGGAGAAATAAAATACTTTACAGACAAGCAAATGCTGAGAGATTTTGTCACCACCAGGCCTGTCCTAAAAGAGCTCCTGAAGGAAGCACTAAACATGGAAAGGAACAACCGGTACCAGCTGCTGCAAAATCATGCCAAAATGTAAAGACCATCGAGACTAGGAAGAAACTGCACCAACTAACGAGCAAAATAACCAGCTAACATCATAAGGACAGGATCAAATTCACACATAACAATATTAACTTTAAATGTAAATGGACTAAATGCTCCAATTAAAAGACACAGACTGGCAAATTGGATAAAGAGTCAAGACCCATCAGTGTGCTGTATTCAGGAAACCCATCTCATGTGCAGAGACACACATAGGCTCAAAATAAAAGGATGGAGGAAGATCTACCAAGCCAATGGAAAACAAAAAAAGGCAGGGGTTGCAATCCTAGTCTCTGATAAAACAGACTTTAAACCAACAAAGATCAAAAGAGACAAAGAAGGCCATTACATAATGGTAAAGGGATCAATTCAACAAGAAGAGCTAACTATCCTAAATATATATGCACCCAATACAGGAGCACCCAGATTCATAAAGCAAGTCCTGAGTGACCTACAAAGAGACTTAGACTCCCACATATTAATAATGGGAGACTTTAACACCCCACTGTCAACATTAGACAGATCAACAAGACAGAAAGTCAAAAAGGATACCCAGGAAATGAACTCAGCTCTGCACCAAGCGGACCTAATAGACATCTACAGAACTCTCCACCCCAAATCAACAGAATATACATTTTTTTCAGCACACCACACCTATTCCAAAATTGACCACATACTTGGAAGTAAAGCTCTCCTCAGCAAATGTAAAAGAACAGAAATTATAACAAACTATCTCTCAGACCACAGTGCAATCAAACTAGAACTCAGGATTAAGAATCTCACTCAAAACCGCTCAACTACATGGAAACTCAACAACCTGCTCCTGAATGACTACTGGGTACATAACGAAATGAAGGCAGAAATAAAGATGTTCTTTGAAACCAACGAGAACAAAGACACAAAATACCAGAATCTCTGGGACACATTCAAAGCAGTGTGTAGAGGGAAATTTATAGCACTAAATGCCCACAAGAGAAAGCAGGAAATATCCAAAATTGACACCCTAACATCACAATTAAAAGAACTAGAAAAGCAAGAGCAAACACATTCAAAAGCTAGCAGAAGGCAAGAAATAACTAAAATCAGAGCAGAACTGAAGGAAATAGAGACACAAAAAAGCCTTCAAAAAATTAATGAATCCAGGAGCTGGTTTTCTGAAAGGATCAACAAAATTGATAGACCGCTAGCAAGACTAATAAAGAAAAAAAGAGAGAAGAATCAAATAGATGCAATAAAAAATGATAAAGGGGATATCACCACCGATCCCACAGAAATACAAACTACCATCAGAGAATACTACAAACACCTCTACGCAAATAAACTAGAAAATCTAGAAGAAATGGATAAATTCCTCGACACATACACTCTCCCAAGACTAAACCAGGAAGAAGTTGAATCTCTGAATAGACCAATAACAGGAGCTGAAATTGTGGCAATAATCAATAGCTTACCAACCAAAAAAGAGTCCAGGACCAGATGGATCCACAGCCGAATTCTACCAGAGGTACAAGGAGGAACTGGTACCATTCCTTCTGAAACTATTCCAATCAATAGAAAAAGAGGGAATCCTCCCTAACTCATTTTATGAAGCCAGCATCATTCTGATACCAAAGCCAGGCAGAGACACAACAAAAAAAGAGAATTTTAGACCAATATCCTTGATGAACATTGATGCAAAAATCCCCAATAAAATACTGGCAAAACGAATCCAGCAGCACATCAAAAAGCTTATCCACCATGATCAAGTGGGCTTCATCCCTGGGATGCAAGGCTGGTTCAATATACACAAATCAATAAATGTAATCCAGCATATAAACAGAGCCAAAGACAAAAACCACATGATTATCTCAATAGATGCAGAAAAAGCCTTTGACAAAATTCAACAACACTTCATGCTAAAAACTCTCAATAAATTAGTTATTGATGGGACGTATTTCAAAATAATAAGAGCTATCTATGACAAACCCACAGCCAATATCATACTGAATGGGCAAAAACTGGAAGCATTCCCTTTGAAAACTGGCACAAGACAGGGAGGCCCTCCCTCACCACTCCTATTCAACATAGTGTTGGAAGTTCTGGCCAGGGCAATTAGGCAGGAGAAAGAAATAAAGGGTATTCAATTAGGAAAAGAGGAAGTCAAATTGTCCCTGTTTGCAGATGACATGATTGTATATCTAGAAAACCCCATCGTCTCAGCCCAAAATCTCCTTAAGCTGATAAGCAACTTCAGCAAAGTCTCAGGATACAAAATCAATGTACAAAAATCACAAGCATTCTTATACACCAACAACAGACAAACAGAGAGCCAAATCATGAGTGAACTCCCATTCACAATTGCTTCAAAGAGAATAAAATACCTAGGAATCCAACTTACAAGGGATGTGAAGGACCTCTTCAAGGAGAACTACAAACCACTGCTCAAGGAAATAAAAGAGGATACAAACAAATGGAAGAACATTCCATGCTCATGGGTAGGAAGAATCAATACTATGAAAATGGCCATACTGCCCAAGGTAATTTACAGATTCAATGCCATCCCCATCAAGCTACCAATGCCTTTCTTCACAGAATTGGAAAAAACTACTTTAAAGTTCATATGGAACCAAAAAAGAGCCCGCATCGCCAAGGCAATCCCAAGCCAAAAGAACAAAGCTGGAGGCATCACACTACCTGACTTCAAACTATACTACAAGGGTACAGTAACCAAAACAGCATGGTACTGATACCAAAACAGAGATATAGATCAATGGAACAGAACAGAGCCCTCAGAAATAACACTGCATATCTACAGCTATCTGATCTTTGACAAACCTGGAAAAACAAGCAATGGGGAAAGGATTCCCTATTTAATAAATGATGCTGGGAAAACTGGCTAGCCATATGTAGAAAGCTGAAACTGGATCCCTTCCTTACACCTTATACAAAAATCAATTCAAGATGGATTAAAGACTTAAACGTTAGACCTAAAACCATAAAAACCCTAGAAGAAAACCTAGGCATTACCATTCAGGACATAGGCATGGGCAAGGACTTCAGGTCTAAAACACCAAAAGCAATGGCAACAAAAGACAAAATTGACAAATGGGATCTAATTCAACTAAAGAGCTTCTGCACAGTGAAAGAAACTACCATCAGAGTGAACAGGCAACCTACAAAATGGGAGAAAATTTTTGCAACCTACTCATCTGACAAAGGGCTAATATCCAGAATCTACAATGAACTCAAACAAATTTACAAGAAAAAAACCAACAACCCCATCAAAAAGTGGGCAAAGGACATGAACAGACACTTCTCAAAAGAAGACATTTATGCAGCCAAAAAACACATGAAAAAATGCTCATCATCACTGGCCATCAGAGAAATGCAAATCAAAATCACGATGAGATACCATCTCACACCAGTTAGAATGGCGATCATTAAAAAGTCAGGAAACAACAGGTGCTGGAGAGGATGTGGAGAAATAGGAACACTTTTACACTGTTGGTGGGACTGTAAACTAGTTCAACCATTGTGGAAGTCAGTGTGGCAATTCCTCAGTGATCTAGAACTGGAAATACCATTTGACCCAGCCATCCCATTACTGGGTATATACCCAAAGGACTATAAATCATGCTGCTATAAAGACACATGCACACGTATGTTTATTGCAGCATTATTCACAATAGCAAAGACTTGGAACCAACCCAAATGTCCAACAATGATAGACTGGATTAAGAAAATGTGGCACATATACACCATGGAATACTATGCAGCCATAAAAAATGATGAGTTCATGTCCTTTGTAGGGACATGGATGAAATTGGAAATCATCATTCTCAGTAAACTATCGCAAGAACAAAAAACCAAACACCGCATATTCTCACTCATAGGTGGGAATTGAACAATGAGATCACATGGACACAGGAAGGGGAATATCACACTCTGGGGACTGTGGTGGGGTGGGGGGAGGGGGGAGGGATAGCATTGGGAGATATACCTAATGCTAGATGACGAGTTAGTGGGTGCAGCGCACCAGCATGGCACATGTATACATATGTAACTAACCTGCACAATGTGCACATGTACCCTAAAACTTAAAGTATAATAATAAAAAAAAAAGAAAGAGAAAGTGAAAAAAAAATAATAAAGTGGATGAGTTTAAAAAAAAAAAAAAAAAAAGAATGACAGAAGAAACAGCCTGGCCCCTGATGACTTGCCTGAATAGCTACATTAGCTCTGGACACGCTGTTCCTGGTCTATTTTTCATGAAAGAAAACTAAAGCCACTAATTATTTAGTCACTGGGGTCAGATTCTGCTACAAACAGCAAAATGGAATCCTGAGTCAACAGCTAATCAGAAATGAGCAATGTGACTGTTCAAGAATTATTCACTGAGCACCTACTATGTGTCAGGGACTAGGATAAATGTTTTTAATATTTTGGAGTACAAATCTGAACATGACTGCTGTTTCCCTCAAACTAAGTGAAAATCCTCTAATTGATAAATGTCTGGTGGCAGCTTTTCAGTAATATTCTTGAAGTTTTCTTTAACTGCTTCTGTTGCTCATCTTCTGGGGAGGTCTCTTCATACATGTTTTGCCTCCCCAACTAGCAGGTTAAACCATATGAAACTGCTGTCTCTATAACTCAAAAATATATGTACATTCACTGTGATTTAACTTAAATGTCACATCTGACTCCTTAATGTGAACCATAGACTTTTCTCTGTGGTCTTGATTCAACCCCTGCAACACATGCAATTCATAAGGGAATATTCTCCTTAGAAAAGGAAAGGGAAGTCTCTTCCTGTCCCAGAGCCTCAACTTCCTCATCTTTATAATGGGAAGGGCGGGCTACAATCTCTCTAGGATTGCTGACACCAACTGATATAGTTTGGAGATGTGTCCCCACCCAAACTTCATGTTGAATTATAATCCCCAGTATTGGAGGTAGGGCCTGGTGGGAGGTAATTGGATCATGTGGGTGGATTTCTTATGAATGGTTTAGCACCATCCTCTTGGTGCTGTGCTCGTGATAGTGAGTGACTTCTCACGCGATCTGGCTGTTGAAAGGTATGGCGCATATCCCTCTCTTTCTTGCTCCCACTTTCACCATATGATGTGCCTGCTCCCCGCTTTTGCCTTCTACCAAAAGGCTTCCCTGAAACCTCCCCAGAAGCCAAGCAGATGTCAGCACCATGCTCCCTGTCAAGCCTGCACAATTGTGAGCCAATTAAACCTCTTTTCTTTATAAATTACCCAGCCTTGGGTATTTCATTATAGCAATGCGAAGATGGACTAACACACCAGACTAACACAGTGGTCTAGAAAGTGAAAGCAACACCCCCAGGGGCCTCACTGCTCAGTGAAGATGCCAACCAGGCTCTGAGCACTGCTGCCGATGAGAATTCCATAGAGATCCCAGAATCAGATGTGGCTGGTAACCCAGCAGTCCCCTGGAGATTTTCTTGCCCATTCCTCTGCCCGTAACACTGGCCCTGCCTTCAAGTGTTCCCAGTAAGAGCAGCTCAGTGCAGTTAGAAGCTATATCTCTGGGGCAGTCTCTCTGGGTGGGCAGACAGTATCATAGCCTTGCACCTGTTTCCTTTTCTTACCAAAATAATAATAATAATAATAATAATGATGATGAGAGAATACAAAATGACAACAGCACCTTGACTATCAACTACAAAAAATTAAAATACGTATGCATGTGAACTGGATGTCCATGCTACCATATAAATATGAAATTCTTGGTGATGGTGGCATCAAAGGTCACTTAAGAATTCTTTCCTCATTACATTATATTTTCAATAATAATTCAAAAAGCTGTTGTGATGAAAAATGAGCTGTGGAGCATGGAAGAAAGAGTTCAAAGTTCCAAAGAGACACATTACTACTTAAATTCCAATGCTGCCCATTTAGAGTGAGGATTTCTATATGGAGATGGAGCCAGCTCCTGACATCTCTCTCCCATCTTTGGAAACAGCTGCTCCCTCCCCAGCCTGTCAACCACCCTTCCCTGACAAATCCATCCTTCCTGGTGAGAGCAGTCAGGCCAACAGCCCTCCATCCCTGCTGCCAAGTTTCTCTGGGTGAACTCCAGGGTAAGGTGCATTGAGGGAGTTAATTGCACCAGCCCCCATGCCACCCCCAGCCCAGCACACTGACAATTTGGCAATGGCACTACTGGTACAAGAGCAATATGCCAAGCAGCTGGTGGCAGAGAACTCTGATTTATTAACAGGAATCCTGGGATGGCAGCCAAAGTGCCCCTCTTTCCCAAGGAGCAGCAGGGCCCAGCAGTCGGTGGATGTGCACCCTTAACCAGGGCCCAGCACATATGTAGGTGACAGAAATTCCACAATTAAAGCTTCATCTCTTCATTCCCTTTAGAGTTAAGTAGTTTCTACACGACCTGCAACCACTCCCCTACCCACAAAGGGGGGTAACACATTAAAACTTTGTTAGTCATTTACACCTCTGTGTGAATGACTGTCAGCTCCTTTCTTTGCTCAGCAGCCAAGGTGTGTGTTGGCCTGGAACCCAGCACAGGTATATTTTTATGGCTTTTTAGAGCCTGGGAATGGTGTCCAAGGAAAGAACTTGGGTCGTCTAGAGCAATGAGTATGCCCATTGGAATGAGAGGGAGAGCCCCAAGAGGAGAGGTGGCTGGTTCGAAATGCAAACAGCACCAGCATCATGGTATTATCCAGGGCAGTACTAAGGCCATGACTCTCCCCACCACCTCTCCCACACATCCATTGGCCTCTCCCACAGACCAATAGCCAGTGCCCCACTGACCTCCAGTGGCCACCACAATGCTGGGCAACCAATAGACAAGAGGCCCAGGCTGAGGGAACCTGCCCACCCTCGCTTATTCAGTCATTCATCCACCCTCTCACCCATTTTTCATACTTCCACCCAAACGTCATTCAAAAAGTATTTATTGAATCCACACTATGCCAGTCACTATAAGCACAAGGGATGCAACAGTGACCCAGTGACACAAGTCCCTGCTCTTATGAAGCTCTCGTTCTAGCTGGGAAAGCAAGCAAGTCAACAGCAATCACAGTAGCATGCAGCTAAGTGCTGTGTAAGAGATGGGCAGGGAACTATGGGAGCTTCTAGGAGGGTCACTGAACTCAGATGTGGGACTGGAGAAGCTTCAGTCTCCCCACCTTTAAAATGGCAGCATCACTGCTTGCCCAGCCAACCTTATAGGGTTGCTGGGAGAATGAGCTGAGATAATGCTTGTGAAAGAACTTTATAAACTGTAAAGCACCATGCAGATGTATAGAAGTGTTGTTATCACTGCCAATATGTTCATCTTGTTCATCCAGGCTTCTTCCAAAAGACAAGGGAAAGGACCACCAGGCCCTTTCTAGGCATTCCAGGGCTGAAGCCTGCAGGCCAATGCTCCCTCAAAACAGGACAATCACCTAACATGGAAGTGCTTGAATGCTGGCTCACTACAAGCAGTCTTACTGGTTTATCCAACAATGGGGGCAGTTGCATAAAATCATTCACAGTCTAGGAATTCTTCAGTTTTGCCCCTTATTCATTTTTGTATTGGTGTGAGGGTCTGTATGAGTATACAGGAGGAGTTGATGGGCATAAGAGGACCAGGCTAAAGATTCACTCTGTGCATGGAGCATAGGGAAGTTCACAGGCTGAAACCATGGTTGCAGGAGCACACTGTGTTTGCCAAGTGCATTAACCAGAAATTCACATTAACCTCAAAGGACAAGAAGGAAACTCCATCCTATGACAGGCTCTTTGGATGAAGGCTGTTTTCAATACAGAGTGAGGTCATTGAAGCCAGAGAATATGTCTGCTCCATGGGATCTGGCATGAAGCAAGCCCCTCACCCAAAGCTATAAGCAACAGAGAAGCCAACAATTGTTTGCTGACTGTTGGAAATAATGTACCATCCTGTGTTCACAGATAGAAGAAGAGCAGGAATTGCATCTTCATCTTCTAGAGATGGGAATTGAGACACAGTGAGGATGAAAGACATCCCCAAAGGAAGTAAGGACAGAGAGGATACCAGAGCCTGGTGTCATGACTATGTATTTTGGGGCTCATTCCTCTCTCTGGAAAGACAGCACTCTGTCGGGGTGGATTACATTTCCAATCGTTCACTACTAGCAATCCACTTAACTTCTATAATCTTCACTAGCCTATATCTGTAAAATTGACCATGGGTGTTAGTCCATCTCATAGACTTGCTGTGAGACTCAAATAGGATAGTGTATTTAATAAGCATTGTGTAAACTCTCTGGTTCAAGACATATCAAAGAGATCATCATTATTGTATGGATTCCAAGGATGGTAACTAGGGTGATGCAATCTCGGAGGGCATAAAGAAACACCTTCAAAACACTGAGAACTAAACTTCAAGCCCTTGGAAACTGTAGCCATCAGCCATTAGCTGGAGCCAGGGGAGCCTGGGTTTATGTGGTCCTTGAGGGAGGGATGAGAGGGGGCTGCCTTGGGCTCTAAGGTCACTAGGAATGTCCAAAGCAAAAAGCCACCTGCAATGACTTCCTTTGCAAGTGACAGCTACAACCCACCAGAGGACAGTACTGTATATTCCAACAACAGGAAAGCCTGTGTTCTAGATCTGTCTCCACCACAAATGTGTATGGTGACTTGGGCTTTGTAACTCATCCCCCAGGACCCAATTTCATTTATAAAGTCCACAACACATGCCCAACTCACTCATGAGTTATTGGGAGACGTTGCTATTATAAAATAAATACCAAAAATCTGCATCAGTATTTAATCCACTGTGACATAAGAACAAATATATTGTCGGTCTCTGCATCTGGTTTCTGACACAGAGTCCTAAAATTCTTGGAATTTCCTGACTGATGAGGATAATAGAGGCATCTTACAAAGAGCTCCTAAATCCCTTGGAACTTCCTGGGTGAGAGGAACGTCTTTTGTTCTAATGAGGCAACTCTTTGGTGGGCTCCTACATAGCTTCGGGATGGGAGCTGGTCACCAGAAAGGCCAAGCCATGATTAGAAGCTTGAAATTTTCAGCCCCATCCTCATCCTCTGGGGAAGGGAGAGGGGATAGAGATTGAGTTACTAATCCATCATTCCTGTATGATGAGGCCTCCATAAAAAATCCTGAACTCTAGGATTCAGAGAACTTCCAGGTTGAACACTTTCATGTGCTGGGAAGATGGTGTACCCCAACTCTACAAGGACAGAAGCTCCTGCTCTCAGGACTCTTTGGGACCTTGTCCTATGCACCTCTTCCTTAGGCATATTATTCCTTATGCATTTGTGTCCTTTATAATATCCTTTATAATAAACTGGTAAACTAAGTAAAGTGTTTCCATAAGTTCTATGAGCTATTATATAGCAAGTTACAGAAACTGAGGAGAAGGTTGCAGGAACTCTACACCCAAGTTGGACGGAAATGGGAATACCCTGGGCACCCAATACTTGTAACCAGCATCTCAAGTGGGGGACATTCTTGTGGGACTTAGCCCTTAACCTGTGAGGTCTGCACTAACTCAGGGTATTTAGTGTGGTTCCAGAATTGAATTAAATTGCTGGACACCCAGATGGTGTCCACAGAGAACTGGTGTGGAAAACCCACATATTTGTGGTCAGAAGTGTTATGAGTAGAAAAATATTTTTTCTTGTATCCTCCAAGTGTGTATTACATGCCCAAATGTCTGCTTTCTCTTAATTGATGAAATGTTATAAGCTGTGTTCCAGTAGGAAGGCATCACAAAGAACAACTAGTGAAATACAAAATTCAAAATTGCCAGAATTAAACGGGTAAATTACAGCCAATATTTATCAGGCATAATGGTTTCTTCCCCCCGCCCCATCTTTTCTCCATCAAATTATTCAGATGGGCACCCCCATTTTGTTCCATATCATGGTTTGGGCTCTACAGTGTAACCAATATGTTGAGGTCCTATCAAAGGCAAGGTACAGGGCAAGTCATCCTTGAAAATCACATCAAGTGAGCTTTTAGTCTATAGCATTTGTTCATTTTTAATATAGGTGATTAAACAAGTGATTTTTTTTTAAAAAAAAAAAGGAGCTCCGATGCCTTTGGTTAAACACATTAATATAAATGATTTTAAAAAAGCTAATCTCCTAATGAGTTGAGAATTTTATATTGATTCAGTAATTACAAAGCGTATTGCAAAATCAATGACAAATACTCCTGAAATTCATATTGATTGGCTAACTCCAATAAGATTGTATTGAACAGAGACGATATATTTAAGAGTGTAAATGTGTGTTCTTGTTAACACATTCAGCGACAAATAAAAGCACGAGGGTAGACCTCAGGCCCGCTTGGAAGGGACTCTGTATACTGCTCATGCTCTTTCTACATGCTTGGTTCTGGCTTTCGAAGCTGCTGGTTAATGAAACATAAGATTATTACTCCCTTGTGCATTTAAGTTTTCGGGTCTTTATACAATAATTAATTAGGATTATGTGACAAGAAGAGAATTTCCACTAGGAAAAGAAAAACTAATAGTACTGCTTTAACAAATGATGCTTAAACTCCTATTGACTCAACTTAATTTATTTAATCTTTCTACCTAGACCACCCTGAAGGTAATTATTCACTTTAAATACTTTTAAACCAGTATCTTTTAAGTCTGGGATTTCTCACGTAGCCACTTAGTGTCTAATAAAGTAGGCTTCCTGGGAATGAAGTGTTTCAAATTATATTAGAAATGGATAGATCCTTGAAACATACATCTCAGCGGTTCTCAAAGTGTGATCCCTGGATCAGCAGCCTCAGCATCACTGGAGAATTTGTTAGAAATGCAAATTCCCAGGGCCCCACCACCGACCTACTAAGCCAGAAACTCTGGGGGTTGGGCCTGGAGACCTGTGTTTTCACAAGGTGATTCCAATGCATGCTCAAGTTTGAGAACCACTGCTGTCGATCATTAAGATTTTCCTGAGCAATTTACTACATACTTAGAACTATGCTACATGTTATGGGAGAATATGTGGTACTTGCTCTTAGGGAGCCTACAATCTGGTTAGGGTGTTAAGATTTACATAAAGATGCTCCTTGACTTATGAGGGGGTTAAGTCCTAATAAACCCACCATAAGCTGAAAATATCCTAAGCAGAAAATGTATTGAATACACCTAACCTACCGAACATTGTAGCTTCATCTAGTCTACCTTAAACATGCTCAGAACACTTACAGTTGAGCAAAATCTTCTAACATAAATGCTATTTTATAATAAAGTATTGAATAGCTCATGTAATTTGTTGCATACTGTGCTGAAAGTGAAAGTGAATGGTTGTATGGGTACTTGAGTACAGTTTATATGAATGTGTATCACCTTTGCACAGCGGTAAAGTGGAAAACTCATAAGTTGAACCATCATAAGACCATCATGTCAGGGACCGTTTGTACTTGATTCTGTCACCAGCTAGCTTTAAAATGTTAGCAAGACCTCTGGACCTGCTTCTTCATTCATAAGAAGATAAAGTTGCCCTAGATGATCTCTTAAAGTTGTATCAAACTCCAGATATCATTCTTTTGGCCTACAGATTTGAGAAAAAAATGACTTTGTTCACAGTTCTATACTGGCAAGCTATACGATTTGAAACACAAGAGGTCTCATCACTTTCCTAGCTAACTCCCCACTGGAATGACATATTAGTGTTCTCCAGAGAAACAATAGGAGACTACACACACACACACACACACATACACACACACACACACACAGATTTATTATAAGGAACTGGCTCTCACAATTATGGATGCTGAAAATTCCCTGATCTTCCATATGCAAGCTGGAAATTCAGGAAAGTCAGGGATGTTCCAGTCCAAGTCAAAAGCCTGAGAACCAGGGTGCTGATGGTAAGTCCCCCAATATTGCAGCTCAAGCAATCCACTAGAGAAAGGAAAGTCTTCTTCTGCCTTTCTGTTATTTTCTGGGCCTCGATGGATTGGATCATGCCCAGCTACGTTAGGGGAAATGTACTGTAGTCAGTCTACCAATTCCAATGTTAATCTCATCCAGAAACACCCTCAGAGACACACTCAGAAATGTTTAGCCAAATATCTGGGCACCCTGTGGTCCGGTCAAGTTGATGCATAAAATTAACCATTGTGAATGGATGGTCTCTGATTTTCCTTGTAAGAGGCACACCTCTGGGTCCTACCACAGGGACAAAACCATCTCTGGAAAGAAGAATGTCATAGAGAGGGGAAGGGAAATACCTCCCCCTCCTGTGGGATTCCAATGTGCCCCACCTGGTGAGAACCACTGCTCCAGCCCATTCCTACATTGGGGATCTCTGAGCCTGGGCCCCCAACAGACAAGATATAGGGTTAAAAGGTTTTCCTGGGATGAAGGAAGAGAGAACTGCATGACCAAATCTTGGGTGGTGAGAAATTTTATTTATTTGGCCATATCAAGAAAATCCTGAACTAAGGAAGGCAAGTTCTGTGTGATAAAGGAACCAGGTGAAAGAGTAAGCCTTGAAATAAAAATCCCTACAACTCCACAGCTGTGTCTAAGGCTGCCTCTACCTGACCCTTCCTGAACCCCTGACCTACCCATCTTCCCACATCTCCCAGCACACATTGTGCTTAGGAGGTATGACTGTTTTTAATGAAATGATTACTTATTCATGGTTCATTACTGGCCCTGAAGGTAATCCTCCAGGAAAAGTTTCTAACATGGTTTACATGAAGACACTATCACTGAAAACATTATTAGGGATTGCCAAGGGGAAATGGGCAAACTTATTTAGGAATGTGGCACATAACTTGGACACAGGAAGGAGAACATCATGCACCAGGGCCTGTTGGGGGGAGGGGGGAGGGATAGCATTAGGAGATATACCTAATGTAAATGACGAATTAATGGGTGCAGCACACCAACATGGCACACATATACATATGTAACAAACCTGCACACTGTGCACATGTACGCTAGAACTTAAAGTATAATTTAAAAAAAGCCTTAACATGATGTCATATTTAAAACAATGCACCTTTTTAATAGTGATGGCATGTTAGAGCTGGAAGGGTCTTCAGAGGTCATAGAATCCCCTTGTTTTACAGTCTATGTAGCAAACTTTAGCACTTAATTGTATACTCTTTCATAGGACAATAAATGATTTGTTCATTATTCTTGTACTCCTTTTGGTTAGGCTGAGAACCAAGACTTGAATCCAGAGCTTTTGCCCTCTGAAGCCAGATCTCTCTGCATCACTGAATGAGGTGTCTTTTATAGCAGAAAGAGAAAACAGAGAACAAAACAAGACATTTCTTTATGCTGCCAATTGTGCATTCTCCTTCCTGAAAATATGCTTTGATGAAAAACACCTTTCATTCAATCTTCAAGTAAAATGGGCATTGCAAAATATGCAATATCATTCCCAAGGCTTTGCCTGCCCCATGTCACACCACCATGTATCCCCAAAAGTGTTTGTATGTCTGTTTGAGATCTTCTCTTCTGGGTTCCCAGACACAGCCAACCCCAAGAAAATGTTCAAGATCCCTCCAACTCAGTCCTGCTCTTCTCATTTATATCCTTTGGGAAACATCTACATAACTAATTTATACTAAGGAATTACATATTGAAAATAGGTTCCTGTCTCACAGATATGTGAATCTTAACAAAAGGCATGGCCCTTACCCAAAAAGTGGTGCAATTTAAAGCATCAGTGGTCAACAAGTTGGAGAATATTTTCAGCCACAGAAGAGAGGAAGATGTCACTGCTGCCCCTTAGTCACTCCACACAGCTGATTTTGATTCTGTGGGGTGGCTGTCCCCCTTTTGGCAAGGTTTCCCTTTTAAATGGCCCAATCGATATTCATTAGGCATTGCCAGCTCCTTGTCTCTCCCTAACTGATTTATCCACCATGCTATAAAACCCATTAAAAATTAATTCTCTAATAGACAAGGGCTCAGATTGGCTGCTCGGAGGTTTCAGATACAGGGCAGATGTGCATTGCCTCTAGGAGGGAGAGACTCAAAGGCAGGGGCTATCCAGGAGTAGAACATCCCCTCCCTAGGTCCATGTGCCCAGAAGATTCCATGAGCAGCTCTGGTGACACTCATCTGCCCCAAGAAAATTGTGTCCCAAAGCCTTCCAAATGGGAAGGGAACATTGATCTGGTCTTCCTAATCAAGGACTGGAAAATAGTGGACCTGGGTGATCTCCTGACCCAAATGGGCCCATCTGGGAGGGAGGAGGGAAGGTAATATTTCTTGTGCAGAAAACCCATCCCTGGCCAGATGGCTAGCCCTTTCTGGTCCTCTTGGGCTTCGGTTTTGTTGAATTTTGCTGGCCTCCTGCCTCTCAGGGAGTGTTTCCCTCTAGTGCTTCTTTTTCTCTCTGACCTTTGGGTGTAAATATTCCTCAAGATCCTCCTCCTCCCTCCACTTCCCTTCTTTCTTAGCAGTCTCATAATTCTAGCTATCATCTTTTATGCGCTCTTTCATTCAGCAAGTAAATATATTGAACAGTGCTATATGACAGGCACTATAACCAGAGCTAGAGATGCACGGCCATTCCTGCCCTCCGATGTCTCCAGTTCTAATAGGAGAAAGAGGCACCTAAGACAAGCAATCCCAGTGACATAAGCAGAGCTTCAGAACATGGAGGAGGCACAGGCAAGAGGCCCCAACCCACGGGGACAGGGAGGTTTTCCAGAGGAGGGCGTGAGGTCTGGCTGGAGAACAGAATGGCCCCATGGGGAGCAGCCAAGCAGACACACTGGTGAGGGTAAGGCCCAGAGAGAGGAAAGAGCTGGGATGTTTCTAGGCCACGGAGGAAATCAAGGTGAGTGTGAGGCAGGAGTGGTGAGGGCTAGGGTGGAAGAGGTGAGCAGACGTGGATTGCCATGAGCTTTGAAGGCAAGAAAGGGTTTTACCTAAGAGAGATGGGTGGTCAGATTTCTTTTTTGAGAGAGATCACTGGAGCTGCAGTGTGGAAAACAACAAGAGGGGGTGGAAGATTGAATTAGGGGAACCCAAAAGGCAATATTCCAGGTAAGAGATGATGGTAGCCTGGCCCGGAGCCGTGACAGTGGCAGTACCTAGACGTAAGCTATAACAAGAAATAAGATCTAGCGAGAATAACTGAGGGAAGTGGGAACTTGTTCACTGTTAGACCCCTCAGGCTGAGAACAGAGCCTGGCATGAAAGAATGAATGGGTGGATGTAAGAAGGGAAAAACTCAGAAGACAAGCCCTGGGTCAACCTAAAATGTGATTAATACCAATTGGTAGATTTAGTAATAAACTGACAAATTTGAACCTAAGAATAGATTTTCTTTTTTGTAATGTTCCATAATGTATCTTCATCGTAAAAAAAACAGCACATGCTTATTCATTAATTTATTTCACAAATACTTATTAAGCAACTACTATGTACCAGGCACTATGCTAGATGCTGGGGATATAATAATAAAATAGGTATGGTCCAGGCCCTCAAGGAACTTACACTTCATACTATCCATATTGACACAATGTTGCGTTCTAGAAAAAGTAAGTGGGAGGAGGGAGCACATGCTGTTCCCACTTCCCTCCCTGTCCACACATGGGAACTGTCTGTCCAGCACATCACTAACAGGCCTTCTCTTCCTGCACTGTGTGCCTAGGAAAAATACCCAGGCCCTCAGCTCCAGCAGTAATGCCAAGCCTCCCACACAATGGCCAATAGCATCATGTTGAAGATCAGCATTTCTCTTTGCACAGCCTGACCTAGAGTTTGACCCAGTTGGCAGGACATGGCAGTCTCTCTGAAGGATGAGTGAGGGGCCTCCCACTTGTAGAACAGATTTCACGAACTTTGCCACACCCTGGCTGCAAGACCAACTTCCCTATGCTCTGTGAAATGTCTTGTGCACTGGTAGGCAAACGGGGAGGCAATTAAGTGGCCCAGGGATAAGGAGGAGGCCTGAGGAGACTTTTCAAAGGATGGAGACTGGAGACTCGAGGGCTGAGATTGTGGCTGAAAGTTATGAGAGGCATG
Organism: Homo sapiens; assembly: GCF_000001405.40. Lineage (NCBI taxonomy): Eukaryota > Metazoa > Chordata > Mammalia > Primates > Hominidae > Homo > Homo sapiens. The sequence continues at coordinate 47,336,336 of NC_000018.10, read as the reverse complement.
AAAACAGACATGGTGTTACATCCAGGTGGCAGAATTTGTTCAGCAGCTGCCCCCAATCTTAAAAGATGTAAGAAGTAGTCCTGATAAATAAAACTTCCTAAAAGAGGTAAAAATTACAAGGCAGCAGACAGCAATGCAGGTGGATTCAAGGAGGATTTAGATAAACTTATGAAAATATTCCTAATGGTTAAAGGACATTTGGAGGATTGGGGGAAATCCCAAAGTTGTTGAAGCCCCATCAACTGCCCTTTTTCAGGAGTAGACACCAAGACTGGATGAACCAATGGATGGTCCATGGTGGCATTTCTGATCCCCATAGTACAATGATGCCCAAAGCAGGCCTGAAGCACATCCAAAGGCCTCAACTCAGCCTGTTCTAGCCCTCAAGGACATGGTTGGCTTTTTCCTATCATTAACTTGAAATTTATAATCACCATCCCTGTCCTGAAGTCTGTGTATTTCCAGATCTGTGAGCATTGCTGCCTTCCTCCAAGAAACTTCACTCTTATTATGGCATCTCACCCCATCGTTCCTCAGAACCTGGGATTAGGCAAGTCCTACCTCAGAGCCAGGGCCCAAAAGAGACGAATTGGATTGCTACTCACTCTCTGGCTGGGAGGCCAGTGTGAAGTCCTCTGGGAAACTGACAGTGGTCCTTCCTGTCTCTCTCCCAGCTCAGAGGGCTTGCTCAATACCATTGCCAGGGGAAGCTGTTCTATTTACAGGCTCCCAGGAAAAATGGTTCCCAAGAGCCCAGGCTAGAGAACCTGACTCCCTTCACATCCCTCCTTCTCCACCCAGCATTAGATTCCAACCACCTGCCCCTAGCTCCCCTGGTGCATTTCCTTGCCCAAGTCCCTGACCATAAAGTAGATTGGCTGCCTGGTCAATTTCCTGATTGCCCTACTCTGCACATCTTTTCCAATGAGTTGGGAAGATACATCAGTCAGAGTCACCCCCATTTCCCCAACAGGCAGTTTTCTTTCTTGCCCCATTGGACAGCTTCTGTGCTGAGCCCATCAATGGGAGAGGCCCAGAGCCTGGGTTCTGGATTTCCTTCCCAGACAGCAGTGTTCCTGGTCCTCACTGGCTGATTGCAAATTGCTGCTTTCACTTTGTTTCTGGCAGAGAGATTTTGTCCAGTTTCCATTGCAACATACTGACCACAAAAAGCAGGCAGGCTAGTCCAGGGAAGATGGACTCTGACACCTTACACCCATTCCCAATGGGAACTCCAATGTCCAGGCTCTGCTGGCTCCAAGAACAGGAATACAGATGATTTGAGCCTTCAGGGTCTTTTCCCATCCATTCCCAATATTCTTACATTGTCCTCCATCTCTCCTATCCATACATTTATTCATTCAACAAATACTTTTTAAGGACCTACTATGTATTAGGTCCTGGGAATACCAGATGAAGTAGACAGATCTAGCCCCAACTTCACCAAATTTACAGGGAAAAAAAAAGAACAACCTTATTTGTATTTTGATGTTCTGTGTATTGGCAGAGAACATGGTGCTTATATGCAAGTGTGTATCCACCAAAATGTTTTGTCCCCGCTGCGGGGTATATTTTGAGTAAAGGAGTCTATCCGATACTCTCTCAAATCTCATTCCACAAGTAATATTGTGTTCTGGCTCCACTGTTGTTCAGTTCTGCCTGAACCCTGATGTCTGCCCTCCTGGACTATGCCAACCCCTCCCTCCTCTAACTGTCACAGCCCCTCCCCACCTCTCCTGCCACTCTGCCCCGCTCAGCACACTTTCCGTTTAATGCAGCCCTAGCTGGAAGCAAGAGCAGCAAGACTAATTTCATTTCTCTTCTTTTCCTTTGGTGAGTCGATCTGTGACAACCCTTTTTATGCATTTAATTCATTCTCGATTTCTCATAATCAGGGAGAAGGTATCCCCTAAGGTTAGGCAAGAGCTTGTCAGAAAAAAAAAAAAAAGAAAGAAAGAAAAGACAGTGTAAATTCACAGAGGTAATCATAGTCTATCTCCACTTCCCACTGCCCGTGGAACTATTAACTAATATCATTCTCTAATCTTTTTTTGTACTTATTTATTTTGTAGTGAGAAACTAGCGTTATAAACACCCCTACTGTCAAAACTTGTCATCCCCATTACCTCTAGGCGGGCTTCATCTCTGTTATTCTAATTTCAGAGTTTCTCAAATTCACAGCCGCTGGAAATTGAGTACAAAATCCATTATCATTTGTATATTTTAATTATGCAAATGAGGCAGCTCAGCTGCGATGTCCGGGACCTGCAGGGATGCCTGACTTGATTCTGGGTGATTACAATTTATCCAGTCGAGTCACTTTAATTGTAACAAGCTAATTACATTGTTTCATTTGGCTTTAACAAAAGAAAAACAGACAGGAAGCTGGATGTGGCTTGGGGCCCCCGGAATAGACCGCTGCCTCTCCCCAGGCTAGGATGGACGTGGCCAAGGGAGTGGGTGCAGGCTTCCCTGCCCAATCAAGGGGCCACTGGAGGACCCCAGAAGAAGGGCGGGCAGTGGCGAGGTAGTGGAGGCAGCTGCCCCTCTGGGCAGAAGACAGCCCACCCATAGTCTCTGTCAGGGGTGGCAGGAGAACTTTCACAGTGGCCAGGAGTTTATCCAATGGTAAGCCTGACCTTGAAGAAATCAGACCATCTTTCAGAAGGGCCCTTTCCACATAAGCTTTTCTTGGCTACAAGCTAATGTATTTGAGGACCCACCTAATTTCCACTGTTGTATATGTACAATGTTTCTGACTAAACCTAGGTCCCCCCTGCACTGAATGTTGAAGCCAGTGAGAATCTTGTGGAAGTGTTTCCTATGGTCAGAATAGAGAGGATGCAGAAGTGGGCAGGGGAGCAGAGGGCAGACAAATGATGGAGAGAATTCGGACAAATTCCATAAAGTGGGGAGGATGCTTTATGAACTCATTCATTAGGGTTGTGTTTTTATTTCTGTGATCAATGAAAAACAGTTATGCATTTGAACTGAAAGTAGCTGTTTTGTCTTACAGTCATTACTGCCTGCCAGCAAGAGAGAGAAGGTGCTTAGGTTTACAAGTGTGTTCAATATTTTAGCAGAATGAGAGTCCCAGGAAGCACAATCCTCACTTACATTAACAAATGGCCATGCCTTATAACAGAGTTACAGCAGGACCAAAATTAAAGTGTTTGCTACAAGGGATAACTCAAGTCTGGCCACGCAGTCTGCCAAACACATTTTTTTTTTTTTGAGACTGAGTCTGTTGCCCAGGCTGGAGTGCAGTGGCATGATCTCAACTCACTGCAACCTCCACCTCGTGGGCTCAAGCGATTCTCGTGCCTCAGCCTCCCAAGTAGCTGGGACTACAGGCATGCACCACCACACCCAGCTAATTTTTATATTTTAAATAGAGATGGGGTTTTGCCATGCTGGCCAGGCTGGCCTCAAACTCCTGGCCTCATGTGATCCACTTGCCTCAGCCTCCCAAAGTGCTGAGATTACAGGCATGAGCCACTACGCCCAGCCCACTTTTTTTTCTAGTAATTATTTTGGTTCACCTCCTCCCAGCACCAGAGTCCATGACCTTTCCACCTCTCAGCCTGGACTAGACAAAACCTGTGAGGAGGCTCACTTGCCTAACAGATGGCAATAAACACGGCAACAAAGTCCAGAAACCAGATTCCGGCCCAGTAATGTCAGTAAATCAATCAACCAACAAATATTTATTGGGGTTTACCGAGATGCTATTATAATCACAGTCTCTACTTTCAAGGTGATTATACTCCAAAGACAGAAATAAGGCTTATGGGTTTTCAAAGGAGCAAAGCTAGAGGGCTCAGAGGAGGTGTGACGGGAAAGAGATCTGTGGGGACCAAGATAGTCAGTATTTATAACATTACCTTCACTGTTGAAGGGGCTGCATTCCAGGTGAGGTAGACACTAAGCTGGGTCAGAGCTATGGTTGGATTTTATTCTGTTACAAAGAGTGGCCATTTGTTATCATAAGGGGTTACAAGTAGGATGGAAACAACATGGCCAGAGGCTGGAGTTCCTGTGGGGGAAGAGATGGCTGGAAAGACAGCGACAACGGTGGAAACAGGCTCTAATTAGCCAGGAACAAAGGCAGAGCAAAGGGGTTTGCTGCCAGCCTCGTGGTGCTAAGTACGTGATACAAAGGGTATGGCTTTCCCCATCAAGTCCACCCTGTGAAAACAGCATGTCTACCTGCAATACCAGCCTGGACACAGTGAGACAAAAGAGTCTGGGGGTGGACAGAGGAATGGCTGGCTGTGATGGTCGGATGTCTGCAGGATTCAGGATGACAAGTTGCTTGGTGAGTGTGGTGACACTGGGGTGTGAGTTGACAGGTTTTTTTTTTTAAAGAAGGTTGTATCTCCATGGATGAGCAGGAAGGAGATTTGTGGAAGGAGGAACCACATGGGCAAAGATGCAGAGGGAAGAGCAGCACAAAGCAGACTCAGAAGCTGGAAGGAGGTGGGTGGAGAAACGGCTGGTGGGTGCAGTGAAAGCAAGGATTCCACAAGCTATTTATGGAACCACCTGGCTCTGAGTTCCAGGTTGGCAGTTTCTTCTTCTCCTGCTGTCTAGACACCCAAAAGAGGAACCTGGTGTCATATCCAGCATGTGGTCACACCAAAGGAGGTACCCCAATAAATACACATGGCAGAAAAGAAGGGACAGAGGGAGGGAGGGAAGAACACAACACATGGTTGGAATTAGAAGATAAAGTTTCTCCTCCCAGACCCACTAACCAACCAGCTTGGCAGTTGAATTATGACACTTAAGGGCTCAGAACATGTTTCCAATCCATCAAAGGGGAAAGGGTGGGGTGTGGGGACAACAGGATATCTGTAATGAATCTTCCTGACACAGGTCTCATGAATTGAGAATTTGGTGTCTTTAAATCTCACTAGGTGGTGTCAGTTTGTGCTTAGAAATTCTGCTCTGCATTGGGGTGAGTGGTTGGTACAAAAAGAAAAAAAAATTGAGGCTGCCGCTTCTGCCTGAATTCTCCAGCTCTAAGTAAATTAGAGCCAGATGCCCAGTTCCTCATCGCTCCATCAGATGACTCCATGGAGTCATTATAATACTTTATGGGCATTAACTCACTGATTCTCATCATGCCCTGGGAGGGAAGCGCTCAGGATCATTATCCTCCTTGTGCCCAGGGAAGGGGGGAGCATCTCATTCTCTCCATGTGTGCATCCCGACAGCACCTGTCCCCCGAATGCACTGGAAGGGGAACGCCAGGATCAGCCGCACTCTGGAAAGATGGATGAGCTGGAGTCAAGGTTCTGGGAAGGGAAAGCAGTGATGGTGGGGGAGGAAGGGCCAGCAGCAGAGGGATGAAAGAGATGCATCAAAAGGGAGGAAAATTGGCTGAGATCGACTCGGCGATGTCTAAGGGATGCAGAGAACCAATTACAAATACTGGAACAATCTAGGCTTGGAAGAGGGAAGGAGGGAGGGAAAAAGCAGTGAGGCCAACCTGGGGAGGTGGTGTGGAACAAAGTGGGAGCGATGGTGAGATGGGGCCAATGGGCAGCCCTGGGGGTGCTGAATGGGAACTTCCAGAAAGTATTTACCAACTCTTTTGTTTCCCCATTCAAAGACTTCCTCATCTGGGGGCAAATTTTACATGTTTCTTCATCCCAGGAGGTCTTACAATTATTAAATTTTAGAGTTGAAGGCAACATTCGAGTTTAGATTAACTCCCTTATTTTACTGATGAGGGAACTGAAGCACAGAGACGGGAAGTAAGTGGCCAAGGTCACACAGCAAGTGTGACCACTCTGGGACAGGCTTGCACATCTCCTAACTCCCACTGGCCTGATGTCACCTTCTTGTCTCTGAATTTCTTCTCACACTTAACAGGAACCGTATCACCTGACACTTGATTTTATGCTCTCATATAATTCATTTCTCCTCTTTTCAAGCAATCAGAAATCTATTAGGTGCCAAAACCATGCCTTGGGCATCCCTGTGGCACCCTCAGAGCATAACCCAAGATATGGCACAGAGAACGGGAAAGGCTGGTATCTGGCTGGATGGGGGCATGTGCAACAGTCTGTGTCAGAGCTCCCACCAGAGATGCCAAACCTCCAAGAAGGAAGTTTGGAAATATAAGTTGGGAAGGCACTGGGAATCCACCAGAGAACAAGCCAGAAGGAAGGGGATAAAACCATGAACTATTGCCATCACTGAAAACACCAGCCAAGCAGCCCAAAGACATCAGAGCTTATGTGTAGCTGTGAACAAACGAGGTCTCTGGACACCAGAGAGCAAGTGATACCCCAGTTGGTAAAAGATACAGCAGTCTGTTCCAGCATTTTTGTGGCCTCAGCATTATATTTAAGCCACTGGACACTCTGTGTTCACTCATAACATCTCCCAGCTTTCAGATGCTTGCTGAAGGTGAAGCGCATCCTCATATCTAAATAGCATGATGATTAAGCACGCAGACTCAGGGGCCAGACTGCCCTTAGCACAACTCTCAGTCTTACCACTTACTAGCTATATAGACTTGGGCAAGTTCCTGAACTACTCTGTGCCTCTAATTCTTCATCAGTAAAACGGGAGTAATAAATGCATCTGCCTCATAGAATTATTATAAGAGTAAAGGAATTAATACATAAAAACACACTCAGGGCTGGGTGTGGTGGCTCATGCCTGTAGTCCCAACACTTTGGGAGGCTGAGGTGGGAGGATTGCTTGAAGCCAGGACTTCAAGACCAGCCTGGTAAACACAGTGAGACCCCGTGATGGGTAATATTGAGTGTCAACCTGATTGCATTGAAGGATGCAAAGTATTGTTCCTGGGTGTCTGTGAGGGTGTTGCCAAAGCAGATTAACATTTGAGTCAGCAGACTGGGAGAGACAGACCCACCCTCAATCTGGGTGGGCACCATCTAATCAGCTGCCAGCGCAGCTAGAAATAAAGCAGGCAGGGGAAGACGGAGGAGCAGACTTGCTGGGTCTCCCAGCCTTCCTCTTTCTCCCGTGCTGGATGCATCTTGCCCTCAAACATCAGACTCCAACTTCTTCAGCTTTTGGACTCTTGGATTTACACCAGTGGTTTGCCAGGGGCTCTCAGGCCCTTCAGCCACAGACTGAAGACTGCACTGTTGGCTTCCCTACTTTTGAGGTTTGAGGACTCAGACTGGCTTCTTTACTCCTCAGCTTGCAGATGGCCTATTGTGGGACTTTATCTTGTGATCATGTGAGTCAATACTCCTTAATTAACTCCCCTTCACCCCTTCATATGTAGATCTATCCTAGTAAGCTCTGTCCCTCTAGAGAACCCTAATATAGACCCCCATCTCTACAAAACATTTTAAAAATTAGTCAGGTGTGGTAACATGCCCCTGTATTCCTAGCTACTAGGGTAGAAGGGTTCCTTGAGCCCAGGAGATGGAGGTTGCGTGAGCTAGGATCATGCCACTGCACTCCAGCCTGGGCAACAGAGTGAGACCCTGTCTCTCAAGTACACACACACACACACACACACACACACACACACACACAGAGAGAGAGAGAGAGAGAGAGAGAGAGAGAGAGATTGAGAATTCCTGACATTTCCTAAGCACTCAGTAAATATCAGATAGTCCTACTACTTTGTTTCCTCACTGTGTGAGTACATTGAGTTGCAAAGACCATCCTTTTATTCGTTCTCTAACAAACATTTGTTAAGCACCCATTCTGTGTCTGATACTGCAACAGGCGCTGGTACACACAGGTCAAAAGAGCCAAATCCCCACAACACGGGGACTGAAATCTAGTGAAAGAAATCTGCTAGCACACTAAAAGTGTTACATCCAGATGGGGAGGGTTCTTGGCAAGAGATTTGCTTCTACACGTCTGTAGACCCTTGGCTTGGAACGGGGCTGCATCTGCAGTTGGTGTTCCTTGGGTACTTGGAAGCTCCACAGCTTGCTGCTAAACACTAAGATCGGCCCCATACAACAGCAGACAGGCTGTGTACTCAACGGGCTTCTGTTCCAACATGGAGCATAAAGGCATGGTTCGAATAGATGCGCAGAGACTGTTCGGGCATTTGAATTGGAAACATCGGAAGCATAACCAGACAAGATTAAATATGCACACTCCACACGGCCACAAATAAGTACATTGGTGAGATGATGAACCAGGAAGAGAGACCTTCCTTTCTCTTCCTAGAAGTTTGTAAAGGATCCAGGGAAGAGATGCAATTTGAAGAGGAAACAAAACCAAACCCACACAAGAAATATAAATACAGACCCCTCCTAATTGCAAGATATGTAAATATAGACCCGCCTCCTACCTATAAAATTCAGCCTCACTCATCACTGCTGCCCCTGGTTTCAAGGAACATTGTGGATTTTTCACTTCAGTTCCATGGAATCTTCAAATAGCCAACCACCTACGTGACTGTTAAAGTTGGCAAGTGTGAACTCATCCACCTCTCTCATTTGAAAGATGAATATACCGAGACACAGGAGGAAATGCAAGGCATTCAGGATCACACAGACAGTCAGCTCCAGAGCCAGGGCCAGAAGCAGGTCTCCAGCTGCCTGGAGCCAGTGGTCTGTCTGCTCACCAGGTGCCTTGCTAGGTGGATGCCTTGTTTGTTTGCTTTTCCCAATGTTAAAATTCCTTCCAAGGGCAACAGGTTCAGTCCCAGGTGAGAATGGAATTGGACTGGCCCAAGGAAAGGAGGCTGCAGGCTCAGCTGGTCTGGGTGGCTCCCTCCCAGGGGGACCAGGAAGGCCTCCGCCCCCAGTCACTTCACCAGCTCTCAATATCTAACGTTTCTTTACCAGGTGACAGAATTTTCTCCAGGTAAGGCCTTTAGATGAGGAAAGCGCTTGCCACCACTTCCCTTGGAGGACCATTACCTGAACTTGGTGGTCACCCAAGCAGGGCACACATGAACAGCCACCACGTCCACATGCTGCCCTGTGCTGGGCACTTCATAAGCATCATCTCTTTGAGTCCTCACAGGAGCTACTAGTTCTAGCCCAACTTTACAGATGAGAAAGCTGAGGCTCAGCAAGATTAATGAATTTGCCCAATTTGCCCCGCTCTCCAACGGCAGGCCAAGAATATTTCATTCCAGCCCCACTCAGCCAGCCACCACCATGCTGCCTCCACTCTGTGACTGTTCTTTCTACTAAGATCTTTTTATTTTATTTTCTCCTCAACCCTTTTTTTTTTCGAGACAAAGTCTTACTCTGTGGCCCAGGCTGGAGTGCAGTGGTGCCATCTTGGCTCACTGCCACCTCTGCCTCCCGGGTTCAAGCAATTCTCCTGCCTCAGCCTCCTGAGTAGCTGGGAACACAGGCGTGTACGACCATGCCCCACTAATTTTTGTATTTTTAGTACAGGTGGAGTTTCACCATGTTGGACAGGTTGGTCTTGAACTCCTGACCTCAAGCGATCCTCCTGCCTTGGCCTCCCAAAGTGCTGGGATTACAGGCATGAGCCACTGCACCCTGCCTCTCCTCAACACCTTCTTCTCTGGTCCTTCTCTGACAACAGTTTCGTTCAACCCAAGGAAAAAAAAAAAAAACAAAATATCTCTCCAGCTACTAATGTGCCTGACTCGGTGTTAGGGAGGCCTCTTCCTTGAACTGGGCAGATGAGACATGCTGTCATGAACAAGGAGAGGCCAAAGGACTCCGTGCAAAACCCAAGGCCAAGCTGTGCAGCCCTCCAGTGCTCCAGCTGGGGACAGAACACCTGCCAGGTAGGCCGGCTAATGCTGGACACAGAGAGATGGTTAGACTTGACTTGGGGGAGAGAGATATTTCAGAAAAAGGCAAGAGCCAGAGAGGAAGTTTCTCTTTCTCAGCTCTATTTACTTCTATTTACTCTGCTTGAACAGATAGCTTTAGCCTGCCTGAGCATGATTGTGTTTTAAGTTGTATTCTTGGGGGAGATTTTTCTCTCTGCCTTCTACCTAGTACAGAGCCCATGTGTCAGTTCCACCAGCATAGAATGCCAGAAATCTCAAAGGTGGAGAGACTTGCTTAGCTAGTCCTACCCTTCCAGGAACTGCCATACTGAAGTCACCCCCAGACTCACCCTCCTAAGACTGATCCAAGACGACCCCACCCTTCCCTCTTTCAGTGGCTCAGAGAAAAAGGCAGGCATCCCATCCTAGCTGTCCACACCTGCCATACAATAGATGGCGGGCTCTGAATAATTAACGAGAATCATTTTGTAATGCGCTGACCCCTGAACATTGCACATCACTCATTCTGATACTCCTGCTCTCCCCTGCTCCCTCTCCATCTCTCTCATTCCGACAGCTCAACCTTCCCTCCTGGGCTTCCACAGAATACCACATCCACTGGCCCCCGCATGCCTTACAAGCTGCATCATACCTGCAATGAAGCCTGGCCTATGATACTCCTTAGATGAGACAAGTGGAATGGGGTAAATGGCTGGTTGGAGAAGCTCTTGCTTCAGGGGCTGGCCCCTGTGTAACCCAGGGAATGTCCAAAAGCTCCAGCCTAGGGAGAGGCAAGCCAGAGAGTCATAGGCCTGGAAGGGGTCTGAACACAGGCTGGGTGGCCTGTCCTCCGGAGGCTTACGCTCTAAATGGGCAGGAAGCTTCACACAGGTAATGCTACCAGATCTGTACAAGGTCCCCAAAGAGTTTTCTCAGTCCCTGAATTTGATGTCAGTCTATTAGTACGGGTCACCCCTGTGTGCCCAGGCCTGTGAAGGGTGATATGGAGGGACGTGGGAGAAAACTGAGTCCCCCTCCCATGGTGCTTTCAACCCAACTGGGAGAAGGGGACTCATACACAAAACCATTAGAGAAAAATGCGAAGGCTTGGTACATTTCTGGAAGAGACACACAAGACACTGGTATTCCCAGTTACCTCTGGAGACTGGAAATACAAGAAGGGAGCAGGAGAACAAAGTTTTGTTTTTGCTTTTCACTTTATACACTGCGTTCTATGGGAATTTCTTACAACAGTGTATTGTTTTTCAGTTTGTTAAGCTTTTTACTTGCTGTTAGGACACAGTGGCAACCTCTAAGCTCCTTACATGCAGAACCAAAAGCTGAAAGTTTCTCTTTTTATAATTTTCCTTTATTTTTTCTTTTTAAAGACAGGGTCTCACTTTGTCACCTAGGCTGGAGTGGAATGGTGCAATCATGGCTTACTACAGCCCCAAACTCCTGGGCTCAAGTGATCCTCCTGCCTCAGGCTCTTAAGTAACTGGGACTACAGGTGCAAACCACCACACCTGGCCAATATATTTTAGAGACAGGGTCTTGCTATGTTTCCCAGGCTGGTATAATTTTTTTAAACACCTTTGTAAAAAGAGACCAAACCAAGACTGAACTGGAAGCTGCTCTGAGGGTCTGTGATGTATGTCTTTGTTTGTGTTCCCAGAATCTAGAACTTTCCCTGAGCAGCAGAGATGCTCAATCAAGAGTTGCTGAATGTGGAATAAAGATGATGCTATTAAGGTGTTCAAGATAAGAGTGGGAAAGAATCAGAGGACAGGGTTGTGGGTGGGTGGGACAATGACCATTTAAAAAGCTTCAAAAAGGAGCTAGGCAGGATTTAAATAAGCAGAGACACAAAGAAAGGATGGTAAAGGCAAGAGAGAAAGTTGTCAGCCTTCAGTAAGCAGTTTTGGATGGATGGATGGATGGATGGATGGATGGATGGATGGATGGATGGATGGATGGATATCATGATCTAAGGAAAGAAGGTACAGATGTGGAAAAGAGGCAGGACCAGTGAACAAAGCAGCATGGAGATAAAACTAGGGAGGCAGCGTGGAGCCTTGACTCTGACCTAAAGGCTGGAAGGACACGCCATCTCAGATCTGAGGTAGTCAGCAGGCACCACGAAGCAGAGTGACCAGTCACTGCAGACCACAGCCAGAGCTGAGATCTGGCCTCCTCACCTGCCCTCACTGTTCTCTCTACCATACTCTGCTACTCCTGCACCAGCAGCTCCCAGCCCCAAACAGTGTGAAGATGGCTTCATCTGAACCACCTAAGGGGAGGAGGGTATTGGTAAACCATGCATTCTTAGGCTCCGTTCCCTGAGATCCTGACTTAGTAAGTGCTATCCAGGAATCTGCATTTTTATTTTATTTTATTTTAGAGACAGAGTCTCCCAGGCTGTCACCCAGGCTGGAGTGCAGTGGCATGACCTCATCTCACTGCAACCTTCAGCGCCCGGGTTCAAGCAATTCTCGTGCCTCAACCTCCCAAGTAGCTGGGATTACAGGAGTGCACCATCATGCCCAGCTAATTTTTATATTTTCAGTAGAGACAGGGTTTTGCCATGTTGGCCAGGCTGGTCTCAAGCTCCTAGCCTCAAGTGATCCTCCCTCTCGGCCTCTCAAAGTACTGGAATTACAGGCATGAATCACCATGCCCGGCTCAGGAATATGCATTTTAATTGAGAAATAATTTCTATGTTTATGGAGTAAAATCATTCCATAATGTATACATATCGTGTGTGTGTGTGTGTATGTATATATATACACACACACACACATTATGGAATGATTAAATCAAAGTAATTAAAATACCTATTACCTCACATACTTATGTTTTTGCATGGTACGAACATTTAAAATCTCTTAGCAATTTTCAAATATACATCACAGTATTATTAACTATAGTCACCATTCTATGCCATAGATCTCAAAAACATATTCCTCCTGTCTAACTGAAATTTTGTACCCCTTAACCAACATTGTTGCTACAATGCCTGGAGCTGCTGCATCCAGTTTGGGACTATGAGGCAACAAATATGAGGACCAAAAAAATATTCCAAGGATGATGTCACTGAAAGGAGGCAGGAGCCTATGTCCTTGATGACAGTGCTGGGCTCAGAACCAGCCCTGGACAATGTGTACCTGAACCTCCTCTCAGAATCCTTCACCTCTTGGCCTTACACGACTGGAGATAACTAAAGGAGTGCTTTTCATGCCACCATGAGTCATATTTCCTATTCTTTGCAGCAGAAGACATCCTCCCTTAATACAGTGACTCATTTACACAGCTTCAAAATTAGCAAGTGCTGACTCCAACTCCTTCACATCAGCTTGGTGGATGCAGCTGGTATGAGTGACCATCCACTGACAAGAATCGCAGTGGAAACAAACCCACAGCGTTCACTTTTGTCCATCAGGTGATTTTAATTTCCTCCTTTAAATTCCCTAAAGGAAAGAGAGAAGATCTAATATGTACATATGCTTGGGCTGTCTGTGATTTTAACTAACTTACCAATGGTTGGGGTTTTGCAAGGGGCTTTGAGAGAGGGGAGGGTGGGTGGGGAGCAGTGCAGTTTCTCAGGGAGAGACCCCTTCTCTCTGCTGCAAAGACACAATTATTTGTCTGCTAGCTGTTTTCCAAAATCCTTTAACCAAAGAATATAGTCTTTCTTCCTTCTTAGGAAAAAAATTTAGAGTAGTGGGCAGGTTGAAAGGATGTGGACTTCAGAGGTGAGTGAGGGCTAAGTTTGATGCTTACTGTCCCACTTATAAGCTCTATGTATTCAGCCTTGTTTACCTTTGCTGAGGCTCAACTTCACTCTTTAGCAAAAGGAGAAAACAATTAAAGCAAATGGGCTATTATAAGAGTTAAATGAGGTAATGTATCAGGGAGGGTTCTAGGAAGAATTTAAGTATACATGTGAGGTTCTGTTTTTTTGTTTGTTTGTTTTAAAGAAAGATCTAAAACCAATATGACCAAATACTAGCACGTGTTAATTCTGGGTAGATAGAGTTTATACCCTCTGCACTTTTCTGCACCTTTGAAATATTTTATAATTTGAGGACAAAAATCCTGGCATAGTGAGTGACCCAGAATTGGGGTTCTATATTTGTGGTCACTCCCAAAGAAGGTCTGTTTGAAGCTGCAAATGATGTGGAAAGGGGAACCCAGCAATTCACACATGCACTCACATGCCAAGGGATGGCCTGCTGGCCTGGATTACATGTAACTAAAGCCCTCCTGGGCACCTGGGAACAGGTGAAAGGGAGAAGACAGCTCACAAGGACAAGAGGGTAGCCCTGGAGACCGAATACCAATTGCATAGTTTCATCACAACTAGTTTCTTCTAGCACAATTTCATGCATGCAACTGGTGCTCAATAAATTCTTGCTATGGGGCTAATTAGCTAAGACAGGACCTGGTTCAGCGTAAGTTCCCGACAAACAGGGAGTATCTCTTCTATTTCTTTGATGTCACCTTCGGTACCTGGCACAACACTCTGCCCACAGAAGCCTCATGTCTTGGTGTTGCTGTGAGCTTTATATCCCTTGTATGGTTCTTACAGGAAGCAGGAAGTCACTGTCTCAATCCTGTACCTGTCCCCTCCTTCCAGGAAGTGGGGCCTATAAAACACAAGGCTCCTTAGGGTGCAGCTCAAGTGTGATTATGAACCCCATTCAGTAGTTTTTGAGTAAAACAACAGGAAAAACAAATTGCACTTCCCCCAGTTTGAGCCCAAATAATGCCATCCCTGGGACTTCAAAACTCCAGGCCTTGGTAAGAGGCTGGGATAATTACACTGATGAGCTTCCAAAAGATTGCACAGAAATAATGAAGCTGTAAACAACACAACCATCATCCGTTTCTCTTGGGCCCTGGTTGATTTTGGTGAGGTTCTTAGTTCCATTTCTGCAGATCCCACCCTTGGCAAGACTGTGGTGCCCAATAGCTTGGACTTCAACATTCAATTTGGCCTTTATAGCCCCTCTGGATTCTCCCACCCACCACCCTTCCCTTAGGACCCAGTGCAATTCTCCTGCTTCTGCCTCTCCTGTCATGTGAGAGTAAGCATAGAGCTGATAACATTTAAGTTTCGATTCAATTCAGTATTTGCCCAGCATGGAAGTCTCTGTGCTCATCATTACTGCAAGGGTGGTAAAGCTGAGGAAGATCTGATTCCTATCCTCAAACAGTTGTCTGTTCAGATCTGATTCCTGTCCTCATAGACCTAGTGGAAGGGACACACCAATCCATACGGGAAAGTAAAACAATAGTCATTTGTGAAGCAATACAGCTCTTGGGACAGGAAACTGGAAGATGGCACGTGAGTCTGGGGAAATCTGGACAGATTTATAGAGAAGATCTGCTATTTGAATTTAGCCCTGAAGGGTAGATTTAATGTTGATCAGTGGAGAGACAGCAGTGTAGAAGGGAGTACAAGGGAGAAGGGAGACTAGAGAGGGTGTTCCAGGAGGAGGAAGCAGTAGGAGAAAAGGCATAGAGATGCAAAAGCCAAAAAGATGTTCGGAGAGTAAAGAGTTGCCCTGTCTATCTGGCATGTTGGCAGACTGCAGAGTAAAGCATTTTAATTGATCCCATAGGCAATGAGGAGCCATTTGAGGTGTTGAGAGCTTAGAATATCAACATCTTTTAAAGTCTCTGCAAGTCAAAAGAGTGGTAAGGTTATTTAATGGGGAGAGAAAAATGATTGACCTATTTAAATGTGTCATTACTGATGGAATTTCAGGTGGCTCAAGGGAAATTGGGGAAAGATACTCATACTTTAAATCAGAGCATTTTAAAAAAAAAAACTCAGCTTACATTTCTTTAGTGCACGCCAAGAGCCTGGCACTCTGATGGGTATTTAATACACATTATTTCACTGAATCCTAAAAGATTGGACTCTCTTCCATCATTTTACAGAAGAAACTGAGGTTTCTTTAAATGGTCCAAGGTCACATGACAGTGGAGCTGGAATCTGTAACCACCTAACTCCAACACCTATGATTTTCCTATC